>NC_000023.11:56343187-56659243 GCF_000001405.40 Homo sapiens | reverse complement strand
TGGGCGGCTGTTTGGGCAGACACGAGTTTACTGCAGTTTTTTTTTGTACCCCAATGGCGCCTGGAACCCCAGTGAGACAGACCATTCACTCCCCTGGAAAGGGGACTGAAGCCAGGGAGCCAAGTGGTCTTGCTCAGTGGGTCCCACTCCCATGGAGCCCAGCAAGCTAAGAACAACTGGCTTGAAATTCTCGCTGCCAGCAGAGCAGTCTGAAGTTGACCTGGGACGAACAAGCTCAGTGGGGGGAGGGGCATCCACCATTACTGAGGCTTTAGTAGGCAGTTCTCCCCTGACTGTGCTAAGGAGGCTGGGAGGTCTGGGCTGGGCACAGAAAAGCGTCTGTGGCCAGACTGTTTCTCTACATTCCTCCTCACTGGGCAGGGCATCTCTGAAGGAAAGGTAACAGCCCCAGCCAAGGGCTTAGAGACAAAACCCTCATCTCCCTGGGACAGAGCACCTGGGGAAAGGGGCAGCTGTGGGTGCAGTTTCAGCAGATTTAACTGCTACTGCCTGCCAGCTCTGAAGACAGCAGCTGATCCTGACAACAGGGATTCCCCAGCACAGTGCACAAGCTCTGCTAAGAGACAGCTTGCCTCCTCAAGTGCGTCTCTGACACCCATGCCTCCTGACTGGAAGAAACCTCTCAACAGGGGTCAACAGACACCTCATACAGGAGAGCTCTGGCTGTCATCAGGCCAGGCCCCTCTGGGATGAAGCTGCCAGAGGAAGGAGCAGCCAGCAAACTTTGCTGTTCTGCAGCCTCCACTGGTGATACCCAGGCAAACAGGGTCTAAAGTGGACCTCTAGCAAACTGCAGCAGACCTGCAGAAGAGGGCCCTGATTGTTAGAAGAAAAATTAACAAACAGAAAGCAACAACACCAACATCAACATAAAGAACCCAGATAAAACCCCCATCCAAAGGTCATCAGCCTCAAAGATCAAAGGTAGATAAATGCACAAAGATGAGAAAAAAAAAAAGCATAAAAACGCTGAAAATTACAAAAACCAGAATGCTTCCTCTCCTCCAAATGATCACAACTTCTCTCCAGCAAGGACACAAAACTGGATGGAAAATGAGATTGACGATTTGACATAAGTAGGCTTCAGAAGGTGGATAATAACAAACTCCTCTGAGCTAAAGGAGCATTTTCTAACCCAATGAAAGGAAGCTAAGAACCTCGATAAAAGGTTACAGGAACTGCTAACTGGAATAACCAGTTTCGAGAGAAACATAAATGACCTGATGGAGCTGAAAAACACAGCACGAGAACTTTGTGAAGCATGCACATGTATCAGTAGCCAAATCAATCAAGCAGAAGAAAAGATATTAGAGATTGGAGATCAACTTTCTGAAATAAGGCAAGAAGACAAGATTAGAGAAAAAAGAATAACAAAGAATGAGCAAAGCCTCCAAGAAATATGAAACTATGTGCAAAGACCAAACTTACGATTGATTGGTGTACCTGAAAGTTATGGTGAGAATGGAAGCAAATTGGAAAACACAGGAGAACTTCCTCAACCTAGCAAGACAGGCCAACATTAAAACTCAGCAAATACAGAGAACACCACTAAGCTACTCCTCAAAAGTGCAAGCCTAAGACACATAATCATCAGCTTCTCCAAGGTTGAAACAAAGGATGTGAGGAAGTAGAAAGACTTTTACACTGTTGGTGGGAGTATAAATTAGTTCACCCACTGTGGAAGACAGTGTGGCAATTCCTCAAGGATCTGGAACCAGAAATACCATTTGACTCAGCAATCCCATTACTGGGTATATACCCAAAGGATTAGAAATTATTCTATTATAAAGATGTATTTTATTGCAGCACTATTTACAGTAGCAAAGACTTGGAACCAAATCCAAATCCCCATCAATGATAGACTGGATAAAGTAGATGTAGCACATATACATCATGGAATACTATACAGCTATAAAAAAGAATGAGTTAATGTCCTTTTCAGGGACATGGATGAAGCTGGAAACCATCATCCTCAGCAAACTAACATGGGAATAGAAAATCAACCACTGCATGTTCCCACTTATAAGTGGGAGTTGAACAATGAGAACACATGGACACAGGGAGGGGAAAATCACACACCAGGGCCTGTCAGGGGGTGGGGAGTAAGGGGAGAGAGAGCAATAGGACAAACCCCTAATGCATGCAGGGCTTAAAACATAGATGATGGGTTGATAGGTGCAGCACACCACTATGGCACATGTATACCTGTGTAACAAGCCTGCACATTCTTCACATGTATTCCAGAATTTAAAGTGAAATTAAAGAAAAAAAATAGAACGCCTAGGCAATACCATTCAGGAAATAGGCATGGGCAAAACTTCATGACTAAAATACCAAAAGCAATTGCAACAAAAGCCAAAATTAACAAATGGGATCTAATCAAACTAAAGAGCTTCTACACAGCAAAAGAAACTATCATCACAGTGAACAGGCAACCTACAGAATGGGAGAAAATTTTTGCAAGCTCCTCATCTGACAAAGATCTAATATCCAGACTCTACAAGAAACTTAAACAAATTTACAAGAAAAAAACAAACAACCCCATCAAAAAGTGGGCGAAGTATATGAACAGATGCATCTCAAAGGAAGACATTTATGCGGTTAGCAAACATATGAAAAAAAACTCATCATCATTGGTCATTGGAGAAATGTAAATCAAAACCACAACGAGATACCATCTCACATCAGTTAGAATGGCAATTATTAAAAAGTCAGGAAACAACAGTTGCTGGTGAGGATATGGAGAAATAGAAATACTTTCACACTCTTGGTGGGAGTGTAAATTAGTTCAACCATTGTGGAAGACAGTTTGGTGATTCCTCAAGTATCTAGAACCAGAATTACCATTTGACCTAGCGATCCCATTACTGAATATATACCCAAAGGATTATAAATCATTCTACTATAAAGACACATGCCCATGTATGATTATTGCAGCACTATTTACAATAGCAAAGACTTGGAACCAGCCTAAATGCCCACAAATAATAGAGTGGATAAAAAAAAATGTGGTACATGTACACCATGGAATACTACGCAGGCACAAACATGAATGAGTTAATATCCTTTGCAGGGACATGGATGAAGCTGCAAGCCATCATTTTCAGCAAACTAACACAGGAACAGAAAACTAAACACCACATGTTCTCACTCATAAGTAGGAGTTGAACAATGAGAACACATGAACACAGAGAGGGGAACGTCACACACTGGGGCCTGTCATGGGGTGGTGGTCAAGAGGTGGGAGAGCATTAGGACAAATACCTAATGCATGTGGGGCTTAAAATCTAGATGGTGGGTTAATAGGTGCAGCAAACCACCATGACACATGTACACCTATGTAACAAACCTGCAATTTCTATACGTGTATCCTGGAACTTAAAGTAAAATAACAAAAGATCCTTTTTAGATAAGCAAATGTTGAGAATGCTTGTTACTACCAGAACAAACTGATCTTGAAAAGAGCACTGAATACAGAAAGGAAAGACCACTACCAGCTAAAACAAAAGCACACTTAAATATATAGACCAATGACACTGTAAAGCAAATACACAAAAAGTCAGCATGAAAACCAGCTAATGACACAATGACAGGATAAAACCCACACTTATCAATACTAACCTTGATGTAAACAGTAAGCCTTGATGTAAATGCCCCATTTAAAAATACAGTGAGAATCCAAGATGGCCAATTAGCTATGGTCTAGGGTACTCACAGAGAGAAATAAAAAGAGGCAAGTTAATTCAACACCTTCAACTGATATATTCTGGTTCTTGCATTGGGCCTGACTAGGCAAACAACTCAACCCACAGATAATGAAGAAAAGCAGAGGGAGCAATGGTCCATGGAGCCAAAGGAACCCCCATGCCCAACCAAGGGAAGCAGTGAGTGATTGTGTGACCCAGCCCAGGTAATTATGCTTCTCTCATGGATCTTAGCAACCCACAGATCAGGAGATACCATCACAAGCCCACATTACCAGGGCCTTGGGTGCAATACACAGAGCTGTGTAAAGTCTCAGTAGTGCAGCCACTCAGGCAAACACAAGGACCCAGGAATTTTACATATTCTTGCCCCAGAATCACTAGCAAAGTGAAAAATCCATCCATCCATATCCATAGAAAGTGGGCTGATTCTGGGGAGCCAAGAATCATCATTCTTCAGGCCCCACTTTACAGCACCTCACAAGTTAAGACCCTCTGATTTAGAATTCCAGCCAGCCAAAGGCAACAGGCTAGAATCTGCCTGAGACAGGTTTAAGTTCCCAGGGAGAGGGGCTGCAACCATTACTGTGGTTTGGTAGACTCAGATTTTCCAGCCTGCAGCTTTAGAGAATACAAATGGTCCAAAAGAGGAAGGGTCACTCAAAATGTAGCACAGCTTCCTTGTCAGATTATGGCCAGACTGCTTCCTTAAGCAGGACCTTGGTTCATTGCTGCTCACTGAGCAGGACCTCTATGTGGGGGCTTCAGCCACTCTGGCCATGGTTCTATGTACAGAGCTCTGATCTCTCCCTGGGTAAGAGCTCACAGGGAGAGGAGCAGCTGCCATTTTTGCAATTCAGTTGACTTAGTTGTTCCAGTCGGCCAGCTTTGGAGAACATAAATGGTCAAGACAAGAAAGGGTACCCCGCAACACAGCACAACTGGACTACCATAGCAGCCAGACTACTTATTTAGGCAAGTCTCTGATCCATTTCCTCTTGACTAGGTAAGATTTCTGAACAGGGGTCTCCAGCCACTTCATACTGGTGCATTCAGGCCAGAAAAAATGTCAGTACCACACTGGGATGGAGATTCCAGATAAAGAAGCTGGCTGTCATCTTTGCAGTTTTGCAGACTTCACTGGTGATCCCTCCTGGAATGGGAAGGACTGAGGCAACTAGAATCTGAAGTGGACCTCCAGAAAACCACAGCAGTTCTCTGGTAGAGTGGCCTGACTGTGAAAAGGAAAACAAACAAACAGAAATAAACAACAACAATATAAATAAAAAAGACCCCACAAAAACCTCATCCAAAGGTCAGCAACTTCAAAGTTTGCAGGTAGATAAGCCCAGAAAGATGAGAAACAATCAACATAAAAATGCTGAAAACTCAAAAAGTCAGAATGCTCCCTTTTCTCCAAGTGACCACAACACCTCTGCAGCAAGGGCACAGAACTGGGCTGAGGTTGAGATGGCAGAATTGACAGAAGTAGGCTTCAGAAAGTAGATAATAACAAAGTTTTCTGAGTTAAAGGAGCATGTTGTAACCTAATGCAAATAAGCTAAGAATTATAATAAAATAACACAGGAGGTGATAGATGGAATAGCCAATTTTGAGAGAAACATAAATGACCTGATGGAGATGAAAAGCACAAGAACTTCACAATGCAATCTCAAGTATCACTAGTAGAAATGAGTATGCAAAGGAAAGAATGTTAGAGCTTGAGGATTATTTTTTGAAATGAGACAGGCAGACAACAATAAAAAAGAATGAAAATGTATGAACAAAACCTCTGAGAAACATGAGATTATGTAAAGAGAATGAACCTATGACTAATTGGGGTACTTGAAAGAGATGGGGAGAATGGAACCAAGTTGAAAAACATACTTTGGGAAATCATCCAGTAGAACTTCATCAACATAGGAAAACAGGCCAACATTCAAATTTAGGAAATGCTGAAAACCCCAGTAACATACTCCATGAGTAGATCAACACCAAGACACATAATCATCAGATTATACAAGGTCATAATAAAAGAAAAAATGTTAGGGGCACCAGAGAGAAAGGCCAGCTCACCTACAAAGGGAAACCCATCAGACTAACAGTGAACTTCTCAGAGGAAACCCTACAAGCCAGAAGAGATTAGGGGCCAATATTCAATATTCTTAAAAAAAGAAATTTCCAACCCAGAATTTTATATGCAGCCAATTAAGCTTCATAAGCAAAAGGGAAATAAGATCCTTTTCAGACAAGCAAAGGCAGAAGGAATTTGTCACCACCAGGCCTGCCTTAAAAGAGCTACTGAAGGAAGCACTAAATATGGAAAGAAAAATCCATTACCAGCCACTACAAAACACACTAAAGTACACAGAAAAGTAAAACTATGAAGCAACCACATAAAAGAGTCTGCAAAATAAACAGTTAACATCAGGATGACAGAATCAAATTCACACATCACAACACTAACCTTGAATGTAAGTGATCCAAATGCCCCAGTTGAAACACACATAATGGCAAGCTAGACAAAGAGCCAAGACCCATTGGTATGTTGTCTTCAAGAGACCCATCTCACATGCAAAGATTCAAAATAAAGGGATGAAGAAAATTTTACCAAGCAAATGGAAAACAAAAAAGCAGGGGTTGCAATCCTAGTTTCTGACAAAACAGATTTTAAACCAACAAAGATCACAAAAAGACAAAAAATGACATTACATAGTGGGAAAGTGTTCAATTCAACAAGAATAGCTAACTATCCTAAATATATATGCACCCAATATAGGAGTAGCCAGATTTATAAAGCAAGTTTTTAGAAATTTATAAAGAGACTTAATAGTGGGAGACATTAACACCGCCACTGACAATATTAGCAAATCATTAAGACAGAAAATTAACAAAAGGATTAAGGACCTAAATGCAGCTGTGGATCAAGTGGGCCTGATAATCTGCAGAACTCTTCACCTAAAAACAACAAAATACAGATTTTTCTCATTGCCACATAGCACTTACTCTGAAATTCATCACATAATCAGAAGTCAAGTATTCCTCAGCAAATGCAAAAGAAATGATATCATAACAAGCAGTCTCTCAGACCATAGCACAATAAAATTAGAACTCAAGATTTAAAAAATTCAGTCAAAACCAAACAACTACATGGACATTGAACAACATGCTCCTGAAGGACTCTTGGGTCGATAATAAAATTAAGGCAGAAATTAAGTAGTTCTTTAAAACCAATGAGACCAAAGAGAAAACGTATCAGAATCTTTGGGACACAGCTTAAGCCATGTTAAGAGGGAAATTTATAGCACCAATTGCCCACATCAAAAAGCTAGAAAGATCTCATGTTAACAACCTGGCATCTCACCTAAAAGAACTAGAGAACCAAGAGCAAGCAAACCCCAAAGCTAGCAGAAGACAAGAAATAACAAAGATCACAGCTGAACTTTGTTCATAGAGAGGAGATAGAGACACAAAAACTCTTCAAAAAAATCAATAAATCCAGTAGGTTTTTTTTTTTTTGATTAATGAAATAGATAGATTGCTAGCTAGACTAATAAAGAAGAGAACAGAAAAGTATCAATTAAGCACAATCCGAAAAGATAAGGGGGATATCACCACTAATGCAACAGAAATAAACAACAATCACAGTATACTATAAACACCTCTATACACATAAACTAGAAAATCTAGAAGAAATTGATGTATTCCTGAACACATCCACCCTCTCACTACTGAACCAGGAGGAAGCTAAATCCCTGAAGAGACCAATAATGAATTCTGAAATAGAGGCAGTAATAAATACCTACCAACCAAAAGAAGCCCAGAAACAGATGGATTCACAGCTCAATTCTATGAGAGGTACTAAGAAGAGCTGGTACCATTTCTACTGTGACTATTCCAAAAAATCAAAAAAAAAAAAAAGAAGGACTTCTCCCTAACTCATTCTATGAGGCCAGGATTATCCTGATACCAAAATGTGACAGAAATGTAAAAAAAAAGAAAACCTCAGGCCAATATCCTTGATAAACATCAGTGCAAAAATCCTCAATAAAATACTAGCAAATGGAATTCAGCAGCATATGAAAAACCATGTCCGCCATGATCAAGTTGGCTTTAACCCTGGAATACACAGTTGGTTCAACGTATGCAAGTCAATAAATTTGATTTAGTACACAAACATAACTAAAGACAAAAAACCACAGTATTATCTCAATAGATGCAGAAAAAGCCTTCAATGAAATTCAGCATCCCTTCATTTAAAAAACTCTCAATAAACTAGGTATTGAAAGAATGTACCTCAAAATAATAAGAGCTATATATAAGAAACGCACAGCCAATATCATACTGAGTAGGCAAAAGCTGGAAGCATTCCTCTTGAAAACTGACACAAGACAAGAATGCCTTATCTCACCACTTCTATTAAAATAATATTGGAAGTTCTGGCCAGGGCAATCAGGCAAGAGAAATAAATAAAAGTTATTCAATCAGGTAGAGAGGAAGTCTGATTATCTTTGTTTGCAGATGACATGATTCTATATCTAGAAAACCCCATCACCTTAGCTAAAATCTTAAGCTGATAAGCAACTTCAGCAATCTGGGTGTACAAAATCAATGTGCAAAAATCGCTAGCATTTTTATATTCCAAAAACAGGCAAGAAGAGGGCCAAATTATGAATGAATTTTCATTCACATTTGCTACAAAAAGAATAAAATACCTAAGAATACAGCTAAACAGTGAACTGAAGAACCTCTTCAAGGATAACTACAAAGCACTGCTCAAGGAAATCAGGAAGGACACAAACAAATAAAAAAAAATTCCATGCTCATGGATATAAAGAATCAGTGTCATGAAATTGGCCATACTGCCCAGAATAATTTATAAATTCCATGTTATTCCCATTAAACTGTCATTGACAGTTTTCACAGAATTACAAGAAACTATTTTAAAATTCATATGAAACCAAAAAAGAGTTCATATAACCAAGACAATCCTAAGAAGAAAGAACAAAGCTGGAGGAATCATGTTACAGGACTTCAAACAATATTACAAGTCTACAGCAACCAAAAGAACATGGTACTGGTACAAGAACAGACACATAAATATTTGGAACAGAATAGAGAACTCCGAAATGTACCACAAACTTACAAACATATGATCTTCAACAAACCTGATAAAAACAAGCAATGGGGAAATAGTTCTCTATTTAATAAAGGGTGCTGGGAGAACTGGATATCTATACTTAGAAATTTGAAACTGGGCCCTTTCCTCACACAATATAAAACAATTTAGTTAAGATGGATTTAAGACTTAAATGTAAGACCCTTAATTATAAAAACCCTAGAAGTAAACCTAGGCAATGTCATTCAGGATATAGACACAGGCTAAGATTTTATAATGAAAACATCAAAATAAATTGCAACGAAAGCAAAAATTGACATGTGGTATCTAATAAAGAGCTTCTGCACAGCAAAATAAACTATCATGAGCAGTGGACAACCTACAGAATGGGAGAAAATTTTTGCAATCTATACATCTAACAAAGGTCTAATATCCAGAGTCCATAAGGAACTTAAACAATTTACAAGAGAAAAACAAACAGCCCCATTAAAAAGTGGGCAAAGGGGCCATGCATGGTGGCTCATGCCTGTAATCCCAGCACTTTGGGAGACTGAGGCAGGCAGATCATGAGGTCAGGAGATCGAGACCATCCTGGCTAACATGGTGAAACCCCACCTCAACTAATAATACAAAAAATTAGCCAGGTGTGGTGGCACACATCTTTAATCTCAGCTACTTGAGAGGCTGAGGCAGGAGAATTGCTTAAACCTGGCAGGTAGAGGTTGCAGTGAGCCGAGATTGCACCACTGCACTCCAGACTGAGCAACAAAGTGTGACTCCATCTCTAAATAAATAAATAAACAAATAAAATAAAAAGTGGGCAAAGGACATAAACAGGCACTTCTCAAAAGAAGACATACAAGCAGCCAACAAAAACATTTTTAAAAGTTCAATGTATTTCCTTCAGTTCTGCT
Organism: Homo sapiens; assembly: GCF_000001405.40. Taxonomy (NCBI): domain Eukaryota; kingdom Metazoa; phylum Chordata; class Mammalia; order Primates; family Hominidae; genus Homo; species Homo sapiens. The sequence goes on along the minus strand of NC_000023.11, from coordinate 56,649,485 downwards.
CTGAATTTAGTTATTTCTTGCCTTCTGCTAGCTTTTGAATGTGTTTGCTCTTGCTTTTCTAGTTCTTTTAATTGTAATGCTAGGGTGTCAATTTTGGATCTTTTCTGCTTTATCTTGTGGGCATTTAGTGCTATAAATTTCCCTCTACACACTGCTTTGAATGTGTCTCAGAGATTCTGGTATGTTGTGTCTTTGTTCTTGTTGGTTTCAAAGAACATCTTTGTTTCTGCCTTCATTTCGTTATGTACCCAGTAGTCATTCAGGAGCAGGTTGTTTAGTTTCCATGTAGTTGAGCGGTTTTGAGTGAGTTTCTTAATCCTAAGTTCTAGTTTGATTGCATTGTGGTCTGAGAGATAGTTTGTTATAATTTCTGATCTTTTACATTTGCTGAGGAGAGCTTTACTTCCAACTATGTGGTCAATTTTGGAATAGGTGTGGTGTGGTGCTGAAAAAATGTACATTCTGTTGATTTGGGATGGAGAGTTCTGTAGATATCTATTAGGTCCGCTTGGTACAGAGCTGAGTTCAATTCCTGGGTATCCTTGTTAACTTTCTGTCTTGTTGATCTGTCTAATGTTGACAGTGGGGTGTTAAAGTCTCCCATTATTAACGTGTGGGAGTCTAAGTCTATTTGTAGGTCACTCAGGACTTGTTTTATGAATCTGGGTGTTCCTGTATTGTGTGCATATATATTTAGGATAGTTAGCTCTTCTTGTTGAATTGATCCCTTTACCATTATGTAATGGCCTTCTTTGTCTCTTCTGATCTTTGTTGGTTTAAAGTCTGTTTTATCAGAGACTAGGATTGCAACCCCTGCCTTTTTTTGTTTTCCATTTGCTTGGTGGATCTTCCTCCATCCTTTTATTTGGAGCCCATGTGTGTCTCTGCACGTGAGATGGGTTTCCTGAATACAGCACACTGATGGGTCTTGACTCTTTATCCAATTTGCCAGTCTATGTCTTTTAATTGGAGCATTTAGCCCATTTACATTTAAAGTTAATATTGTTATGTGGGAATTTGATCCTGTCATTATGATATTAGCTGGTTATTTTGCTCGTTAGTTCATGCAGTTTCTTCCTAGTCTCGACGGTCTTTACATTTTCGCATGATTTTGCAGCGGCTGGTACCGGTTGCTCCTTTCCATGTTTAGTGCTTCCTTCAGGAGATGTTTTAGGACAGGCCTGGTGGTGACAAAATCTCTCCGCATTTGTTTGTCCGTAAAGTATTTTATTTCTCCTTCACTTATGAAGCTTAGTTTGGCTGGATATGAAATTCTGAGTTGAAAATACTTTTCTTTAAGAATGTTGAATATTGGCCCTCACTCTCTTTTGGCTTGTAGAATTTATACCGAGACATCCGCTGTCAGTCTGATGGGCTTCCCTTTGTGGGTAACCTGACCTTTCTCTCTGGCTGCCCTTAACATTTTTTCCTTCATTTCAACTTTGGTGAATCTGACAATTATGTGTCTTGGAGTTGCTCTTCTCGAGGAGTATCTTTGTGGCATTCTCTGTATTTCCTGAATCTGAATGTTGGCCTGCCTTGCTAGATGGGGGAAGTTCTCCTGGATAATATCCTGCAGAGTGTTTTCCAACTTGGATCCATTCTCCCCATCACTTTCAGGTACGCCAGTCAGATGTAGATTTGGTCTTTTCACATAGTCCCATATTTCTCGGAGGCTTTGTTCATTTCTTTTTATTCTTTTTTCTCTAAACTTCCCTTCTCACTTCATTTCATTCATTTCATCTTCCATCGCTGATACCGTATCTTCCAGTTGGTCGCATCGGCTCCTGAGGCTTCTGCATTTCTCACGTAGTTCTCGAGACTTGGCTTTCAGCTACATTAGCTCCTTTAAGCACCTCTCTGTATTGGTGCTGGGAAAACTGGCTAGCCATATGTAAAAAGCTGAAACTGGATCCCTTCCTTACACCTTATACAAAAATTAATTCAAGATGGATTAAAGACTTACATATTAGACCTAAAACCATAAAAACCCTAGAAGAAAACCTAGGCATTACCATTCAGGACATAGGCATGGACAAGGACTTCATGTCTGAAACACCAGAAGCAATGGCAACAAAAGCCAAAATTGACAAATGGGATCTAATTCAACTAAAGAGCTTCTGCACAGCAAAAGAAACTACCATCAGAGTGAACAGGCAATCTACAAAATGTGAGAAAATTTTTGCAACCTACTCATCTGACAAAGGGCTAATATCCAGAATCTACAATGAACTCAAACTAATTTACAAGAAAAAAACAAACAACCCCATCAAAAAGTCGGCAAAGGGCATGAACAAACACTTCTCAAAAGAAGACGTTTATGCAGTCAAAAACATGAAAAAATGCTCACCATCACTGGCCATCAGAGAAATGCAAATCAAAACCACAATGAGATATCATATCACACCAGTTAGAATGGCAATCATTAAAAAGTCAGGAAACAACAGGTGCTGGAGAGGATGTGGAAAAATAGGAACACTTTTACACTGTTGGTGGGACTGTAAACTAGCTCAACCATTGTGGAAGTCAGTGTGGGGATTCCTCAGAGATCTAGAACTAGAAATACCATCTGACCCAGCCATCCCATTACTGGGTATATACCCAAAGGACTATAAATCATGCTGCTATAAAGACACATGCACACGTATGTTTATTGCAGCACTATTCACAATAGCAAAGACTTGGAACCAAGCCAAATGTCCAACAATGATAGACTGGATTAAGAAAATGTGGCACATATACACCATGGAATACTATGCAGCCATAAAAAATGATGAGTTCATGTCCTTTGTAGGGACATGGATGAAATTGGAAATCATCATTCTCAGTAAACTATTGCAAGAACAAAAAACCAAACACCGCATATTCTCACTCATAGGTAGGAATTGAACAATGAGAACACATGGACACAGGAAGGGGAACATCACACTCTGCAGACTGTTGTGGGGTAGGGGCTGGGGGGAGGGATAGCATTGGGAGATATACCTAGTGCTAGATGACGAGTTAGTGGGTGCAGCACACCAGCATGGCACATGTATACGTATGTAACTAACCTGCACATTGTGCACATGTACCCTAAAACTTAAAGTATAATAATAAAAAAATTAAAAAAAAGTTCAACATAACTGATTATTAGAGGAATGCAAATCAAAACCACCATGAGATACCATGTCATTCAAGTCAGAATGGTGATTATTAAAAAGTCAGCAAACAATAGACATTGGTGAGGTTGCAGAGAAAAAGGAAAGCTTTTACACTGTGGGACTGTAAATTAGTTCAAACATTGTGGTAGACAGTGTGGTGATTTCTCAAAGACCTAGAGGCAGAAATACCATTGGACCCAGCAATCCCATTACTGGATATATACCCAAAAGAATATAAATTATTCTACTATAAAACACATGCATGCATATGTTTATTGCAACACTATTTCCAATAGCAAAGACATGGAATCAACCCAAATGACCATGAATGATAGACTGGATACAAAATGTGGTACATATACAAGATGGAATACCATGCGTCCATGAAAAGGAACAAGAGTATATTTTTTGCAGGAACATGGATAGAGTTGGATGCCATTATCCTTAGCAAACTAATGCAGGAACAGAAAATCAGACACTGAATATTCTCACTTATAAATGGGAGCTGAATGATAAGAACACATGGACACATGGAAGGGCAACAACAAACACTGGGTCCTGCTGGGGGTCAGTGGGGGGAGTAACAGTATCAGGAAGAATAGCTAATGGATTCTGGGCTTAATATCTAGGTGATGGGATGATTTGAGCAGCAAACCACCATGGTACACGTTTACATTTACCCATCAGAATGGCAACATTTTTAAATGTGATAATATAAAATTTGTCAATAATATGGGAAATGCATACTCTCATACTCTGCTGTTGGATATATATATTAAAAGATAATTTCAATAAAAATGCGTATTCTGTAAAAAAACAAATAAAACACACAGAATTGGAAGCTGGATAAAAAATCAGGACCCAATTGTATGCTGTCTTTAGCAGACCCATCTCACACATAGGCTCAAACCCATAGGCTCACAATAAGTGGATGGGGAAAAAAATCTATCAAGCTAATAGAAAACAGAAAAAATCAGGTATTGCGATTCTAACTTCAGAAAAAAACAGACTTGAAACCAACAAAGATAACAAAAGACAAAGAAGGGCATTACATAATAATAAAGAGTTTAATTCAACAGGAAGACTTAGCTATCTTAAATACATATGCAAACAACATAGGAGCACCCAGATTCATAAAGCAAATTTTTACAGATGTACAAAGAGATGTAGACTCTCACACAATTATAGTGGGAGATTTCACAGTTCACAGACAGTATCAGACAGATTACTGAGGCAGAAAATTAACAAGCATATTGAGAACCTGAACTTAACATTGGACCAAATGGATCTGATAGACCTCTAAGAACGCTCCATGCAAAATAACGGAATATACATTCTTCCCATCATCACATGGCACATACTGTAAATTCTACCACATAGTTGGGTATAAAACAATCTTCAGCAAAGGCAAATGAAAACAAAAGAATAGAAAACAGAAAAAATCAGGAATTGCAATCATTCAAAAATCATACCAAACACAATCTCAGTCCACAGCACAATAATAATAGAAGTCAAGGCTAAAAAATGTTGCTCAAATCCATGCAATTACATAAAAATCAAATAACATGCTCCTGAATTATTTATGGGTGAATAATGAAATTAAGGCAGAAATCAAGAAATTTTTTTGAAACTAATGAGAACAAAGATACAACATACCAGAATCTCTGGGACACCATTAAGGCAGTGTTAAGAGGGAAATTCGTAGCACTAAATACTCACATAAAAAAGATAGAAATATCTCAAGTTAACAACTTAACATGGCAACTGAAAGAATTAGCGAAAGAAGAACAAATCAACCCCAAACCCAGCAGATGACAAGAAGTAACCAAAATCAAGATGAACAGAAGGAAATTGGGACATGAAAAGCCATTCAAAAAAATCAACAAATCTAGGAGTTGGTTTTGTATATATAACTAATAAGATAGGCCACTACCTAGACTACTAAAAAAGAAAGGGGAGAAAATTCAAGTAAAAGCAATTAGAAATGATGAATAGGATAGTATCACTGACCCAACTGAAATAAAAATAAGCACCAGAAACTACTACAAACACCTCTATGCACACAAACTAGAAAACCTAGAAGAGACGGATAAATTCCTGGACACATAAAACTTCCCAACACAGAATCAAAAAGACATTAATTACTTGAAAAGATCAATAATGAGCTCTGAAATTGAATCAATAACAAATAGCCTAACAACAAAGAAAAGCCCAGGACCAGATGAATTCACAGCCAGATGCTACCAGATGTACAAAGAAGAGCTGGTACAATTCCTACTGAAACTCTTCCAAAAACTGAGAGAGATGGTCTCTTTCTCAACTCATTCTATGGGGTGAACATTATCTTGTTATGAAAACATGGCAGAGACACAATAACAACAAGAAAACACTTCAGGCCAATATCCTTGATGAATATTGATGTAAAAATTATCCACAAAATACATCCTAACCAAATCCGGGAGCACATCAAATAGTTAATTCAGGCTGGGCACGGTGACTCATGCCTGTAATCCCAGCTCTTTGGGAGGCTGAAGCAGGTGGATCACTTGAGGTCAAGAGTTTAGGATCAGCCTGGCCAACACGGTGAAATCCTGTCTCTAGTATCTATGCAAAAATTAGCCAAGTGTGTTTGCGCATGACTGTAATCCCAGCTACTTGGGAGGCAGAGGCAGGAGAATCGCTTGAACCCCAGAAGTGGAGTTTGCTGTGAGTCGAAATCATGCCACTGCACTTCACCGAAGGCGATAGGCTGAGTGAGAATCTGTCTCAAAAGAAAAAAAAAAAAAAAGTAGTCACTAATTCCACCATGATCAAGTAGGCTTAATCTGCACGATGCAAGGTTGGTTCAGCATGCACAGATCAAAACGTTTGATTCAGCACATAAACAGAACTATAGACAAAAACCACATGCATATTTCAATAGATACAAAAATGTCCTTTGATAAAATTCAACATCTTTTCATGTCAAAAACTCTCAATAAACTAGGTATTGCAGGAACATACTTCAACATAATTAGAGCCACCTATAACAACTCCACAGCCAACATCATACTGAATGGGCAATAGCTGGATATTGTCCTCTTGAAAACAAGCACAAGACAAAGATGTCTTCTCTCACCACTTCTATTCAACATAGTATTGGAAATCCTAGCCAGAGTAAACAGGCAAGAGAAAGAAATATAATGGACATCCAAATGGGAAGAGAGGAATTCAAAATATCCCTGGTTGCAGACAACATGATTCTATATTTAGAAAACCACATAGTCTCGGTCCCAAAGCTTCTTCAGCCTGCAAAAACAACTTTGGCAAATTTTCAGGATACCAAATTAACGTACAAAAATCACTAGCATTTTTATATGCCAATAGCAGCCAAATTGCAAGCCAAATCTGAGCAATTCCATTCGCAATTCCCACAAAAATACTTAGAAATACAGCTAACCAGGGAAACATTGCCAAAGAAATCAGAAAAGACACAAATTAATTTTAAAAATCCTATGCTCATGAATAGAAATAATCAATATCATTAAAATGACCATAATGCCCAAACAACGTAAAAATTCAGTGCTACTCCTATCAAACTACCAATGACATTCTTCACAAAACTAGGAAAAAAACTACTTTAGAATTTATATGGAATAAAAAACAGAACTTGAATAGCCAAGCCATTCCTAAGCACAATGGACAAAACTACAGGCATCATGTTACCCAACTTTAAACTATACTACAGGGATACATTATCCCAAACAGCATGGAACTGCTACAAAAACAGGCACACAGACCAACGAAATAGAATAGAGAGCCCAGAACAAAACCACACACCTATGACCATTTGATCTTCAACAAAGCTCACAAAAACAAGCAATCGAGAGAAGAATCCCTATTCAATAAATGGTGCTGGGATAACTGGTTAACCACCTGCAGAAGATTGAGGCTGGACCCCACCCTTACACTATATAAAAAAATCAACTCAAGATGGATTTCATTTTTTAATGTAATACCCAAAACTATAAAAACCCTTAATGACAACCTCGGCAATAACATCCTGGATATAGGATTGAGAAAATATTTAATGAAAAAGACATCAAAGGCAATGGCAACAGAAGCAAAAATTGATAAATGGGATCTAATTTTGTTTTTTTTATCTTTAGAATCTGTACCATCCAATTCTTTTTTTTAAAATTTTATTATTATTATACTTTAAGTTTTAGGGTACATGTGCACAATGTGCAGGTTAGTTACGTATGTATACATGTGCTATGCCGCTGTGCTGCACCCATTAACTCGTCATCTAGCATTAGGTATATCTCCTAATGCTATCCCTCCCCTCTCCCCCCACTCGACAACTGGACCCAGAATGTGATGTTCCCCTTCCAGTGTACATGTGTTCTCATTGTTCAATTCCCACCTATGACGGAGAATATGCGGTGTTTGGTTTTCTGTTCTTGCGATAGTTTACTGAGAATGATGATTTCCAATTTCATCCATGTCCCTACAAAGGACATGAACTCATCATTTTTTATGGCTGCATAGTATTCCATGGTGTATATGTGCCACATTTTCTTAATCCAGTCTATCATTGTTGGACATTTGCGTTGGTTTCAAGTCTTTGTTATTGTGAATAGTGCCACAATAAACATACGTGTGCGTGTGTCTTTATAGCAGCATGATTTATAGTCCTTTGGGTATATACTCAGTAATGGGATGGCTGGGTCAGATGGCATTTCTAGTTCTAGATCCCTGAGGAATCCCCACACTGACTTCCACAATGGTTCAACTAGTTTACAGTCCCACCAACAGTGTAAAAGTGTTTCTATTTCCCCACATCCTCTCCAGCACCTGTTGTTTCCTGACTTTTTAATGATTGCCATTCTAACTGGTGTGAGATGGTATCTCATTGTGGTTTTGATTTGCATTTCTCTGATGGCCAGTGATGATGAGCATTTTTTCATGTGTTTTTTGGCTGCATAAATGTCTTCTTTTGAGAAGTGTCTGTTCATGTCCTTTGCCCACTTTTTGATGGGGTTATTTGTTTTTTTCTTGTAAATTAGTTTGAGTTCATTGTAGATTCTGGATATTAGCCCTTTGTCAGATGAGTAGGTTGCGAAAATTTTCTCGCATTTTGTATGTTGCCTGTTCACTCTGATGGTAGTTTCTTTTGCTGTGCAGAAGCTCTTTAGTTTAATTAGATCCCATTTGTCAATTTTGGCTTTTGTTGCCATTGCTTTTGGTGTTTTAGACATGAAGTCCTTGCCCACGCCTATGTCCTGAATGGTAATGCCTAGGTTTTCTTCTAGGGATTTTATGGTTTTAGGTCTAACGTGTTAGTCTTTAATCCATCTTGAATTAATTTTTGTATAAGGTGTAAGGAAGGGATCCAGTTTCAGCTTTCTACATATGGCTAGCCAGTATTCCCAGCACCATTTATTAAATAGGGAATCTTTTCCCCATTGCTTGTTTTTCTCAGGTTTGTCAAAGATCCAATAGTTGTAGATATGTGGTGTTATTTCTGAGGTCTCTGTTCTGTTCCATTGATCTCTATCTCTGTTTTGGTACCAGTACCATGCTGTTTGGGTTACCGTAGCCTTGTAGTATAGTTTGAAGTCAGGTAGCATGATGCCTCCAGTTTTGCTCTTTTGGCTTAGGATTGACTAGGCGTTGTGGGCTCTTTTTTGTTCCATATGAACTTTAAAGTAGTTTTTTCCAATTCTGTGAAGAAAGTCATTGGTAGCTTGATGGGGATGGCATTGAATCTGTCAATTACCTTGGGCAGTATGGCCATTTTCACGATATTGATTCTTCCTACCCATGAGCATGGAATATTCTTCCATTTGTTTGTATCTTCCTTTATTTCATTGAGCAGTGGTTTGTAGTTCTCCTTGAAGAGGTCCTTTACATCCCTTGTAAGTTGGATTCCTAGGTATTTTATCCTCATTGAAGCAATTGTGAATGGGAATTCACTCATGATTTGGCTCTCTGTTTGTCTGTTATTGGTGTATAAGAATGCTTGTGATTTTTGTACATTGATTTTGTATCCTGAGACTTTGCTGAAGTTGCTTATCAGCTTAAGGAGATTTTGGGCTGAGACAATGGGGTTTTCTAGATATACAATCATGTCACCTGCAAACAGGGACAATATGACTTCCTCTTTCCCTAATTGAATACCCTTTATTTCCTTCTCCTGCCTGTTTGCCCTGGCCAGAACTTTCAGCACTATGTTGAATAGGACTGGTGAGAGAGGGCATCCCTGTCTTGTGCCAGTTTTCAAAGGGAATGCTTCTAGTTTTTGCCCATTCGGTATGATATTGGCTGTGGGATTGTCATAGATAGCTCTTATTATTTTGAGATACGTCTCATCAATACCTAATTTATTGAGAGTTTTTAGCACGAAGGGTTGTTGAATTCTGTCAAAGGCCTTTTCTGCATCTATTGAGATAATCATGTGGTTTTTGTCTTTGGTTCTGTTTATATGGTGGATTACATTTATTGATTTGTGTATATTGAACCAGACTTGTATCCCAAGGATGAAGTCCACTTGATCATGTTGGATAAGCTTTTTGATATGCTGCTGGATTTGGTTTGCCAGTATTTTATTGAGGATTTTTGCATCAATGTTCATCAAGGATATTGGTCTAAAATTCTCTTTTTTGGTTGTGTCTCTGCCCAGCTTGGGTATCAGGATGATGCTGGACTCATAAAATGAGTTAGGGAGGATTCCCTCTTTTTCTATTGATTGGAATAGTTTGAGAAGGAATGGTACCAGTTCCTCCTTGTACCTCTGGTAGAATTTGGCTGTGAATCCCTCTGGTCCTGGACTCTTTTTGGTTGGTAAGATATTGATTATTGCCACAATTTCAGAACCTGTTATTGGTCTATTCAGAGATTCAACTTCTTCCTGGTTTAGTCTTGGGAAGGTGTATGTGTCAAGGAATTTATCCATTTCTTCTAGATTTTCTAGTTTATTTGTGTAGAGGTGTTTGTAGTATTCTCTGATGGTAGTTTGTATTTCTGTGGGATCGATGGTGATATCCCCTTAATCATTTTTTATTGCATCTATTTGATTCTTCTCTCTTTTCTTCCTTATTTGTCTTGATAGCGGTCTATCAATTTTGTTGATCCTTTCAAAAAACCGGCTACTGGATTCATTAATTTTTTGAAAGGTTTTTTGTCCTCTTTCCTTCAGTTCTGCTCTGATTTTAGTTATTTCTTGCCTTCTGCTAGCTTTTGAGTGTGTTTGCTCTCGCTTTTCTAGTTCTTTTAATTGTGATGTTAGGGTGTCAATTTTGGATCTTTCCTGCTTTCTCTTGTGGGCATTTAGTGCTATAAGTTTCCCTCTACACACTGCTTTGAATGTGTCCCAGCGATTCTGGTATGTTGTGTCTTTGTTCTCATTGGTTTGAAAGATCATCTTTATTTCTGACTTCATTTCGTTATGTACCCAGTAGTCATTCAGGAGCAGGTTGTTCAGTTTCCATGTAGGTGAGCTGTTTTGAGTGAGTTTCTTATTCCTGAGTTCTAGTTTGATTGCACTGTCGTCTGAGAGACAGTTTGTTATAATTTCTGATCTTTTACATTTGCTGAGGAGAGCTTTACTTCCAACTATGTGGTCAATTTTGGAATAAGTGTCGTATGCTGCTGAAAAAAATGTATATTCTGTTGATTTGGGGTGGAGAGTTCTGTTGATGTCTGTTAGGTCCGCTTGGATCAGAGCTGAGTTCATTTCCTGGGTATCCTTGTTAACTTTCTGTCTCGTTGATCTGTCTAATGTTGACAGTGGGGTGTTAAAGTCTCCCATTATTATTGTGTGAAAGCCTAAGTCTCTTTGTAGGTCACTCAGGACTTGCTTTATGAATCTGAGTGCTCCTGTATTGGGTGCATATATATTTAGGATAGTTAGCTCTTCTTGTTGAATTGATCCCTTTACCATTATGTAATGGCCTTCTTTGTCTCTTTTGATCTTTGTTGGTTTAAAGTCTGTTTTATCAGAGACTAGGATTGCAACCTCTGCCTCTTTTTGTTTTCCATTTGCTTGGTAGATCTTCCTCCATCCTTTTATTTTGAGGCTATGTGTGTCTCTGCACGTGCAATGAGTTTCCTGAATACAGCACACTGATGGATCTTGACTTTTTATCCAATATGCCAGTCTGTGTATTTTAATTGGAGCATTTAGTCCATTTACATTTAAAGTTAATATTGTTATGTGTGAATTTGATCCTGTCATTATGATGTTAGCTGGTGATTTTGCTCGTTAGTTGATGCAGTTTCTTCCTAGCCTGAATCGTCTTCACATTTTGGCATGAGTTTGCAGTGGCTGGTACCGGTTGTTCCTTTCCATGTTTAGTGCCTCCTTCCGGAGCTCTTTTAGGGCAGGCCTGGTGATGACAAAATCTCTCAGCATTTGCTTGTCTGTAAAGTATTTTATTTCTCCTTCACTTATGAAGCTTTGTTTGGCTGGATATGAAATTCTGGGTTGAAAATACTTTTCTTAAAGAATGTTGAATATTGGCCCCCACTCTCTTCTGGCTTTTAGAGTTTCTGCCAAGAGATCTGTTGTTAGTATGATGGGCTTCCCTTTGTGGGTAACCCGACCTTTCTCTCTGGCTGCTCTTAACATTTTTTCCTTCATTTCAACTTTGGTGAATCTGACAATTATGTGTCTTAGAGTTGCTCTTCTCGAGGAGTATCTTTGTGGCATTCTCTGTATTTCCTGAATCTGAATGTTGGCCTGCCTTGCTAGATTGGGGAAGTTCTCCTGGATAATATCCTGCAGAGTGTTTTCCAACTTGGATCCTTTCTCCCCATCACTTTCAGGTACACCAATGAGACGTAGATTTGGTATTTTCACATAGTCTCATGTTTCTTGGAGGCTTTGTTTGTTTCTTTTTATTCTTTTTTCTCTAAGCTTCCCTTCTCGCTTCATTTCATTCATTTCATCTTCCATCACTGATACCCTTTCTTCCAGTTGATTGCATCAGCTCCTGAGGCTTCTTCATTCTTCACGTAGCTCTTGAACCTTTGCTTTCAGCTTCCTCAGCTCCTTTAAGCACTTTTCTGTATTGTTTATTCTAGTTATACATTCGTCCAAATTTTTTTCAATGTTTTCAACTTCCTTGCCTTTGGTTTGAATTTCCTCCTGTAGCTCGAAGTAGTTTGATCGTGTGAAGCCTTCTTCTCTCACCTCGTCAAAGTCATTCTCCATCCAGCTTTGTTCCCTTGCTGGTGAGGAGCTGTGTTCCTTTGGAAGAGGAGAGGTGCTCTGCTTTTTAGAGTCTCCAGTTTTTCTGCTCTGTTTTTTCCCCATCTTTGTGGTTTTATCTACTTTTAGTCTTTGATGATGGTGATGTACAGATGGGTTTTTGGTGTGGATGTCCTTTCTGTTTGTTAGTTTTCCTTCTAAAAGACAGGAACCACAACTGCAGGTCTGTTTGAGTTTGCTAGAGGTCCACTCCAGACCCTGTTTGCCTGGGTGTCAACAGCGGTGGCTGCAGAACAGCGGATTTTTGTGAACCATGAATGCTACTGTCTGAACGTTCCTCTGGAAGTTTTGTCTCAGAGGAGTACCCAGCCATGTGAGGTGTCAGTCTGCCCCTGCTGGGGGGTGCCTCCCAGTTAGGCTGCTCGGGAGTCAGGGGTCAGAGACCCACTTGAGGAGGCATTCTGCCCATTCTCAGATCACCAACTGCATGCTGGGAGAACCACTGCTCTCTTCAAAGCTGTCTGACAGGGATATTTAAGTCTGCAGAGGTTACTGCTGTCTTTTTGTTTGTCTGTGCCCTTCTCCCAGAGGTGGAGCCTACAGAGGCATGCAGGCCTCCTTGGGCTGTGGTGGGCTCCACCCAGTTTGATCTTCCCAGCTGCTTTGTTTACCTAAGCAAGCCTGGGCAATGGCGGGTGCCCCTCCCCCAGCCTCATTTCCGACTTGCAGTTTGATCTCAGACCGCTATGCTAGCAATCAGTGAGACTCCGTGGGTGTAGGACCGTCTGAGCCAGGTGCGGGATATAATCTCCTGGTGCACTGTTTTTTAAGCCCACTGGAAAAGCACAGTATTGGGGTGGGAGTGACCCGATTTTCTAGGTTCTGTCTGTCACCCCTTTCTTTGAGTAGGAAAGGGAACTCCCTGACTTCTTGCACTTCCCGAGTGAGGCAATGCCTCACCCTGCTTTGGCTCATGCACGGTACGCTGCACGCACCGTCCTGTGCCCACTGTCTGGCACTCTCTAGTGAGATGAACCCGGTACCTCAGATGGAAATGCAGAAATCACGCATCTTCTGTGTCGCTCACGCTGGGAGCTGTAGACCGTAACTGTTCCTATTCGGCCATCTTGGCTCCCACCCCCCGGGATCTAATTTTCTTAAGAACCTCTACCCAGCAAAAGAAACTATCAGCAGAGTAAACAGACGACCTAAAGAATGAAAAAAAAAATTTCAGACTATGAATCTGGCCAAGTTCGAATATCCACATCTTTAAGAAACTTAAACAAATTTACAAGAGAAAAACAAACAACTCCATTAAAAATTTGCAAAGGACATGAACAGACACTTCTCAAAGAAGACAAACTTACAGGCAACAAGCATGTGAAAAACATCTCAATATCACTAATCATTAGAAAAATGCAAATCGGGTGGGGAGGAGCCAAGATGGTCGAATAGGAACAGCTCTGGTCTACAGCTCCCAGCATGAGTGACGCAGAAGATGGGTGATTTCTGCATTTCCAACTGAGGTACCAGGTTTATCTCACTGGGGAGTGCCAGAGAGTAGGTGCAGGACAGAGTGCACTGTGCACCAGCCAAAGCAGGGTGAGGCATCGCCTCACCTGGGAAGCACAACAGGTGAGGGAATTCCATTTCCTAGTCAAAGAAAGTGGTGACCGATAGCACCTGGAAAATCGGGTCACTCTACCCTGATACTGCGCTTTTCCAATTGGCTTAAAAAATGGCACACCAGGAGAATATACCCTGCACCTGGCCCAGAGGGTCCTACGCCCACAGAGTCTCACTCATTGCTAGCACAGCAGTCGCAGATCAAACTGCAAGGTGGCAGCAAGGCTGGGGGAGGGGTGCCTGCCATTGCCAAGGTAGTTGTTTGATTAGGTCATCAAAGCGGCCATGAAGCTCAAACTGGGTGGAGCCCACCACAGCTCAAGGACGCCTGCCTGCCTCTGTAGGCTCCACCTCTGTGGGAAGGGCACAGACAAACAAAACGACAGCAGTAACGTCTGCAGACTTAAATGTACCTCTCTGACAGCTTTGAAGAGAGTAGTCATTCTCCCAACATGCAGCCTGAGATCTGAGAAGGGGCAGACTGCCTCCTCAAGTGGATCCCTGACCCCCAAGTAGCCTAACTGAGAGGCACCCCCCAGTAGGGGGGGAATGACACCTCACACGGCCGGGTACTCCTCTGAGACAAAACTTCCAGAGGAACGATCAGGCAGCAGCATTTGCGGTTCACAAATATCCACTGTTCTGCAGCCACCACTGCTGATACCCAGGCAAACAGCATCTGGAGTGGAACTCTACCAAACTCCAACAGACCTGCAGCTGAGGGCCCTGTCTGTTAGAAGGAAAACTAACAAACAGAAAGGACATCCGCACCAAAACCCCATCTGTAGGTCACCATCATCAAAGACAAAAAGTAGATAAAACCACAAAGATGGGCAAAAAACAGAGCAGAAAAACTGGAAACTCTAAAAAGCAGAGTGCCTCTCTTCCTCCAAAGGAAAGCAGCTCCTCACCAGCAATGGAACAAAGCTGGATGGAGAATGACTTTGACGAGTTGAGACAAGAAGACTTGAGACGATCAAACTACTCCGAGCTACAGGAGGAAATTCAAACCAAAGGCAAAGAAGTTGAAAACTTTTAAAAAAATTTAGACTAATGTATAACTAGAATAACCAATGCAGAGAAGTCCTTAAAGGACTTGATGGAGCTGAAAACCAAGGCATGAGAGCTATGTGATGAATGCAGAAGCCTCAGTAGCTGATGCAATCAACGGGAAGAAAGGGTATCAGTGAGGGAAGATGAAATGAATGAAATGAAGCAAGAAGAGAAGTTTAGAGAAGAAAGAATAAAAAGAAACAAACAAAGCCTCCAAGAAATATGGGACTTTGTGAAAAGACCAAATCTATGTCTGATTGGGGTACCTGGAAGTGACCGGGAGAATGGAACCAAGTTGGAAAACACTCTGCAGGATATTATCCAGGAGAACTTCCATAATCTAGCAAGGCAGGCCAACATTCAAATTCAGGAAATACAGAGAACACCACAAAGATACTCCTCGAGAAGAGCAACTCTAAGACACATAATTGTCAGATTCACCAAAGTTGAAATGAAGGAAAAAATGTTAAGGGCAGCCAAAGAGAATGGTTGGGTTACCTACAAAGGGAAGCCCATCAGACTAACAGCGGATCTCTTGGCAGAAATTCTACAAGACAGAAGAGAGTGGGGACCAATATTCAACATGCTTAAGGAAAAGTATTTTCAACCCAGAATTTCATATCCAGCCAAACAAAGCTTCATAAGTGAAGGAGAAATAAAATACTTTACAGACAAGCAAATGCTGAGAGATTTTGTCACCACCAGGCCTGCCCTAAAAGAGCTCCTGAAGGAAGCATTAAACATGGAAAGGAATAACCAGTACCAGCCACTGCAAAAACATGCCAAATTGTAAAGACCCTGAAGGTTATGAAGAAACTGCATCAACTAATGAGCAAAATAAACAGCTAACATAATAATGACAGGATCAAATGCACACATTACAATATTAACCTCAAACGTAAATGGGCTAAATGCTCCAATTAAAAGACACAGACTGGCAAATTGGATAAAGAGTCAAGACCCATCAGTGTGCGGTATTCAGGAAACCAATCTCATGTGCAGAGACACACATAGGCTCAAAATAAAGAGATGGAGGAAGATCTGCCAAGCAAATGGAAAACAAAAAAAGGGAGGGGCTGCAATCCTAGTCTCTGATAAAACAGACTTTAAACCAACAAATATCAAAAGAGACAAAGAAGGCCATTACGTAATGGTAAAACGATCAATTCAACAAGAAGAGCTAACTATCCTAAATATATATGGACCCAATACAAGAGCACTCAGATTCATAAAGCAAGTCCTCAGTGACCTACAAAGAGACTTAGACTCCCACACAATAATAAGGGGAAACTTTAACACCCCACTGTCAACATTAGACAGATCAACAAGTCAGAAAGTTAACAAGGATACCCAGGAATTGAACTCAGGTCTGTACCAAGCAGACCTAATAGACATCTACAGAACTCTCCACCCCTAATCAACAGAACATACATTCTTTTCAGCACCACACCACACCTATCTCAAAATTGACCACATAGGTGGAAGTAAAGCACTCCACAGCAAATGCAAAAGAACAGAAATTATAACAAACTGTTTCTCAGACCACAGTGCAGTCAAACTAGAACTCAGGATTAAGAAACTCACTCAAAACTGCTCAACTACATGGAAATTGAACAACCTGCTCTGGAACAACTACAGGATACATAATGAAATGAAGGCAGAAATAAGGATGTTCTTTGAAACCAACGAGAACAAAGACACAACCTACCAGAATCTCTGGGTCACATTCAAAGTGGTGCGTAGAGGGAAATTTATAGCACTAAATGCCCACAAGAGAAAGCAGGAAAGATCTAAAATTGACGCCCTAACATCACAATTAAAAGAACTAGAAAAGCAAGAGCAAACACATTCAAAAGCTAGCAGAAGGCAAGAAATAACTAAAATCAGAGCAGAACTGAAGGAAATAGAGACACAAAAAACCCTTCAAAAAATTAATGAATCCAGGAGCTGGTTTTTTGAAAAGATCAACAAAATTTACAGACCGTTAGGAAGAGTAATAAAGAAGAAAAGAGAGAAGAATCAAATAGATGCAATAAAAAATGATAAAGGGGATATCACCACTGATCCCACAGAAATACAAACTACCATCAGAAAATACTATAAACACCTCTACACAAATAAACTAGAAAATCTAGAAGAAATGGATAAATTCCTCGACACATACATCCTCCCAAGACTAAACCAGGAAGAAGCTGAATCTCTGAATAGACCAATAACAGGCTCTGAAATTGAGGTAATAATCAATAGCTTACCAACCAAAAAAAGCCCAGGACCACATGGATTCACAGCCGAATTCTACCAGAGATACAAAGATGAGCTGGTACCATTCCTTCTGAAACTACTCCAATCAATAGAAAAAGGGAATCCTCCCTAACTCTTTTTATGAGGCCAGTATCATCCTGATTCCAAAGCCTGGCAGTGACACAACCAAAAAAGAGAATATTAGACCAATATCCTTGATGAACATTGATGCAAAAATCCTCAATAAAATACTGGCAAACTGAATACAGCAGCACATCAAAAAGCTTATCCACCATGATCAAGTGGGCTTCATCCCTGGGATGCAAGGCTGCTTCAACATACGCCAATCAATAAATGTAATTCAGCATATAAAGAGAGCCAAAGACAAGAACCACATGATTATCTCAATAGTTGCAGAAAAGGCCTTTGACAAAATTCAACAACTCTTCGTGCTAAAAACTCTCAATAAATTAGGTATTGATGGGACGTATCTCAAAATAATAAGAGCTATCTATGACAAACCCACAGCCAATATCATACTGAATGGGCAAAAACTGGAAGCATTCGCTTTGAAAACTGGCACAAGACGGGGATGCCCTCTCTCACCACTCCTATTCAACATAGTGTTGGAAGTTCTGGCCAGGGCAATCAGGTAGGAGAAGGAAATAAAGGGTATTCAATTAGGAAAAGATGAAGTCAAATTGTCCCTTTTTGTAGATGACATGATTGTATATCTAGAAAACCCCATTGTCTCAGCCCCAAATCTCCTCAACCTGATAAGCAACTTCAACAAAGTCTCAGGATGCAAAATCAGTGTCCACAAATCAGAAGCATTCTTATACACCAATAACAGACAAACAGAGAGCCAAATCATGAGTGAACTCCCATTCACAATTGCTTCAAAGAGAATAAAATACCTAGGAATCCAACTTACAAGGGACATGAAGGACCTCTTCAAGGAGAACTACAAAGCACTGCTCAATGAAATAAAAGAGGATAGAAACAACTGGAAGAACATTCCATGCTCATGGGTAGGAAGAATCAGTATCGTGATAATGATCATACTGCCCAAGGTAATTTATAGATTCAATGCCATCCCCATCAATCTTCCAATGACTTTCTTCACAGAATTGGAAAAAACTACTTTAAAGTTCATATAGAACCAAAAAAGAGCCCACATGGCCAAGTCAATCCTAAGCCAAAAGAACAAAGCTGGAGGCATCATGCTACCTGACTTCAAACTATACTACAAGGATACAGTAACCAAAACAGCATAGTACTGGTACCAAAAGAGAGATATAGAACATGGAACAGAACAGAGCCCTCAGAAATAATGACGCATATCTACAACCATCTGATCTTTGACAAACCTGACCAAAACAAGCAATGGGAAAATGATTCCCTATTTAATAAATGGTGCTGGGAAAACTGGCTAGCCATATGTAGAAAACTGAAACTGGATCCCTTCCTTACACCTTATAGAAAAATTAATTCAAGATGGATTAAAGAGTTACATGTTAGACCTAAAACCATAAAAAACATAGAAGAAAACTTAGGCAATACCATTCAGGACATAGGCATGGGCAAGGACTTCATGTCTAAAACACCAAAAGCAGTGGCAACAAAAGCCAAAAGTGACAAATGGGATCTAATTAAACTAAAGAGCTTCTGCACAGCAAAAGAAACTACCATCAGAGTGAACAGGCAATCTACAGAATGGGAGAAAATTTTTGCAACCTACTCAGCTGACAAAGGGTTAATATCCAGAATCTACAATGAACTCAAACAAATTTACAAGAAAAAAACAAGCAACCCCATCAAAAAGTGGGTGAAGGAAATGAACAGACACTTCTCAAAGGAAGACATTTATGCAGCCAAAAAACATGAAAAAATGCTCACCATCACTGGCCATCAGAGAAATGCAAATCAAAACCACAATGAGATACCATCTCACACCAGCTAGAATGGCGATCATTAAAAGTCAGGAAACAACAGGTGCTGGAGAGGATGTGGAGAAATAGGAACACTTTTACACTGTTGGTGGGACTGTAAACTAGTTGAACCATTGTGGAAGTCAGTGTGGCAATTCCTCAGGGATCTAGAACTAGAAATACCGTTTGACCCAGCCATCCCATTACTGGGTATATTCGCAAAGGATTATAAATCATCTGCTATAAAGACACATGGACAGATATGTTTGTAGCGGCACTATTCACAATAGCAAAGACTTGGAACCAAACTAAATGTCCAACAACGACAGACTGGATTAAGAAAATGTGGCACACATACACCATGGAATACTATGCAGCCATAAAAAATGATGAGTTCATGTCCTTTGTAGGGACATGGATGAAACTGGAAAACATCATTCTTAGCAAACTATCACAGGAAGAGAAAACCAAATACAGCATGTTCTCACTCATAGGTGGGAAATGAACAGTGAGAACACATGGACACAGGAAGGGGAACATCACACACTGGTGACTGTTGTGGGGTGGGGAGAGGGTGGAGGGATAGCATTAGGAGATATACCTAATGCTAAATGACGAGTTAATGTGTGCAACACACCAACATGGCATATGTATACATATGTAACAAACCTGCACGTTGTGCACATGTACCCTAAAACTTAAAGTATAATAATAATAAAATTTAAAAAAAAGAAAAATGCAAATCAAAACCATGAGATACCTTCTCACACCAGACATAATGGCTAGAAATAAAAAAGTCAAAAAACAACAGATGCTGGCAAGATTATGGAAAAAGGGGAACACTTATGCACTGCTGCTGCAAGTGTAAATTTGTTCAACCATTGTGGAAAGCAGTATGTGATTCCTCAAAGAGCTAAAAACAGAAATAGCATTCAGCCCAGCAATCCCATTACTGGGTATATACCCAGACTAATAAAATCATTCTACCATAAAGACACCCACATAAAGACACACACATGCTCATTGTAGCACCAGTCACAATAGCAAAGCCAAGGAATTTACTCAAATGACCATAGATTACAGATTGGATAAAGAATATGTGGTGTATATACACCATGGAATACTATGCAGTCATAGAACAAGATCATGTCTTTTGTGGAAACATGGATGAAGCTGGAGGCTATTATTCTTAGCTAACTAATGCAGGAACAGAAAACCAAACACTGCATGTTTTCACTCTTAAGTGAGAGCTAAATAATGAGAACTTATTGACACAAAGAAGGGAGGAAAAAACACTAGAGTCTACTTGAGGGTGAAGGGTCAGAGAAGGGAGAGGAGCAGAAAACATTACTATTGGATACTAGGCTTACTACCTGGATGATGAAATAATCTGTATGACAAACTCCCATGGCACGAGTTTAGCCATATAACAAACCTTTTAACCCTAAACCTAAATTAAAAGTTAGAAAAAAAAAACAAAGGAAAACTAAATGCATACTCTTTTGTTTGCGGGTGCAGAGTTCTGTAATATCTGTTGGGTCAATTTGGTCAAGTGTCAAGTTCAAGTTCTGAATATCTTTGTTAGCTCTCTCCCTCATTGTTTTGTGTAGTAGTGACAGTGGGGTGTTGAAGTCTTCCACTGTTACAGTGTGATTACATAAGTCTCTTCATAGGTCACTAAGTTATTTTAGGAATTTCGGTGTTCCTGTGTTGATGTATATATATTTAGGATAGTTAAGTCTTCTTGTTGAATTGAACCCTTTAGCATTATGTAATGCCTTTCTTTGTCTTTTTTGATTTTTGTCAATTTAAAGTCTGTTTTGTCTGAAATTAGAATGACAACCTCTGGGTTTTATTTTTTTTTTTTTTTCCTCATTTGCTTGGTATTTTCTCCATTTCTTTATGTTGAGTCTATGGGTGTAATTGCATGTATCACAGGTCTCTGGAAGACAGCATACATTTAAATCTTGTTTCTTTTTTCAACTTGTCACTTTGCCTTTTAATTGGGAAATTTACATTTGAGATTAATATTGATTTGTGCAAACTTGGTCCTGTCATTGCATTGGTAGCTGATTATTATGCAGAATTCATTTTGTGTTTGCTTTATAGTTAAGTGTGTGTTGTGGTGGCCATTAATAGTCTTTTATTTCCATATTTAGCACTCCCTTTTAAAGGACCTCTTGTAAGGCAGGTCTGGTGGTAATGAATTCCCTTAAATTTGCTAGTCTGAAAATATTTTATTTCTCCTTTGTTTATGAAACTTAGTTTGGCTGGATATGAAATTCTTGGTTGGAATTTCTTTTCTTTAAGAATGCTGAATATAGGCCTCCAGTTTCTTTGGGTTTGTAGTGTTTCTGCTGAATGGTCTGTTGTTAGACTGAGTGTTCCCTTTGTAGATGATCTGCCCCTCCACTCTGGCTGCCTTTAATATTTTTTTCACATTGATCTTGAAAAATATGACTATGGGTCTTGCAGATTGTTGTCTTCTGTATTATCTCACATGGCTTCTCTGCATTTCCTCAGTTGGAATGTTGGCCTATCTAGCAAGGTTGGGGATATTTTCAGAAACAAAATCCTGAAATATAATTTTCAAGTTGCTTGCTTTCTCTCCCTCTCTTTCAGTGATGCCAATGAATCATAGGTTGGGCCTCTTTACATAATTCCACTTTTCTTGGAGTTTTCACTTATTCTTTATTATTCTTTATTTGTTTATTTTTGCCTGACTAGTTGATTTGAAGAACTAGCCTTCAATCTCTGAGAATCTTTCCTTAGCTTGATCTATTCTGCTGTTAATACTTGTGAAAGTATTATGAAATTCTTGAAGTGAGTTTTTCAGCTCTATCAGCTCAGTTTTTTTTGTCTTAAAATGGCTACTTCATCTATATTTTCAATCAGTGCATGGTTTGTGTACCTCTCATGTAGAGCAAGTGATGGCTTAAACTTTTTTGAGCACAAAAAATGATATTCAGTCAACCATATTGAAT
The DNA here is from genome assembly GCF_000001405.40 of Homo sapiens. Taxonomy (NCBI): domain Eukaryota; kingdom Metazoa; phylum Chordata; class Mammalia; order Primates; family Hominidae; genus Homo; species Homo sapiens. The sequence goes on along the minus strand of NC_000023.11, from coordinate 56,627,314 downwards.
CTCACAGAAGCTTAGATTCAATGGCAGGTATTGCTGAGCATAGGATGATGTCAGTGTGCAACATGTACTTATTTTTTTTTGCTTTCATTACCATACAGCCCGTAGTCCTGTTGCATAACATGGATGCATTCAGGCAAGCAGTTATTTATTTACTTATTTATTTATGCAAAAATTATACATCAATCACATAGTAGGTGCCAGGCATTAGAGATAAAATGATGAACAACAATATCCACTTTCATGGGGTCTAAAGTCTTGTGGGAAAGATAAGCTTTAATCAAATTTCAAAATCATAATATTATTAACTAATGTTACAAATGAAAGGTATTAGAATCTATAAGAGTGGAACAGGAGGTCCTGATCTACTCTTGGTAGTGAGATGTTAGATATTCAATGAATGTTTTTTGAAAAAGTATACAAATGATTAATTACAAGATTAATTACAGCTTCTCAAAATTAAGATTCTACAAAAGTATGACAGAGACTGCTACTTATCTCTCAATAATTGTTCTCCCTTGCTATAAAAGTAGACATGTTAAGCAGGTGTATGGCAACTCAGGGGAAAAAAAAAAAGATTGTTTTCCAGATTTCCTTGAATACAGATATTGTTACATGAATAGGTTCTTGACAATATCATGTGAAAAAATAATGCATGAAACTTCAGAGTAGTATTCTGATGCTTGGTGTGGTGGCTCATGCCTGTAATCCCAGCACTTTGGGAGGCCAAGGAGGGTGGATCACGTGAGGTCAGGCATTCAAGAACAGCCTGGCCAACATGGTGAAACCCCATATCTATAAAAATACAAAAATTAGCTGGTCATGATGGTGAGTGCCTGTAACCCTAACTACTCAGGAGGCTGAGGGAAGAGAATCACATGAACCCGGCAGGCAGAAGTGGTAGTGAGCCGAGATTGTGCCACTGTACTCCAGCCTGGGTGACAGAGCAAGACTTTGTGTCAAAACAGAAAAAAAAAAAAAAGCAGCTTCAGAGTAGCATTGTTAAAGTGGAAGGGGCCAGCCCTCCTCTTTTCTTCTCCCCACTGACTTTAATTCTATTATGGGTATCTTGAAACATGAGGGATAAAGTGAATACCACAGTGATGGCAGAATCACAAGAAAAACAAAAAACAAACCTGGGCCCCTGGTATCTTTGTAGAGCAGAGTAACATGCCACCTTGGAATGGACTTGGAGTTTTTACAGGTGTGATAAACTTTTATCCTATTTAAGCCATTATCTTCAGGTTTCTTTCTTTTTTAATTTATTTCTTCTAAAAAAAACCCCACAAAAAACAAAAAATAAACAAACTGGATACTTTTGCAGAATGTGCAGGTATGTTACATAGGTATACATGTGCCATGGTGGTTTGCTGCACTTACTGACCAATCCTCTATGTTTCCTCCCCTCACCCCTCACCCCCCAACAGGCCCTGGTGTGTGTTGTTCACCTTTCTGTGTCGATGTGTTCTTAATGATCAACTCCCATTTATGAAGGAGAACATGCAGTGTTTGGTTTTCTGTTCCTGTGTTAGTTTGCTGAGAATGATGGCTTCCAGCTTCTTCCATGTCCCTGCAAAGAACATGATCTCATTCTTTTTTATGGCTGCATAGTATTCCGTGGTGTACATGTACCACATTCAGTCTATCATTGATGGGCATTTGGGTTGGTTCCACGTCTTTGCTACTGTAAATAGTGCTGCAATAAACATACGTGTGCATGAGTCTTTGTAGTAGAATGATTTATAATTATTTGTGTATATACACCATAATAAGATTGCTGGGTCAAATGGTATTTCTGGTTCTAGGTCCTTGAGGAATCACCATACTGTCTTCCACTATTGTTGAACTAACTTACATCCTCAACAACAGTGTAAAAGCATTTCTATTTCTTCACATCCTCTCCAGCATCTATTGTTTCCTGACTTTTTAATAACTGCCATTCTGACTGGCATGAAATGGTATCTCATTGTGGTTTCAATTTGCATTTCACTGATGATCAGTGTTGTTGAGCTTTATTTCATATGTTTGTTGGCCACGTGAATGTCTTCTTTTAAGAAGTGTATGTTCATACCTTTTGCTCATTTTTTGATGGGGTTGTTTTTTTCTTGTAAATTCTGAATATCAGACCTTTGTCAGATGGGTAGATTTCAAAAATTTTCTCCCCTTCTGTAGATTGCCTGTTTACTCTGATGATAGTTTCTTTTGCTGTGCAGAAGCTCTTTAGATTAATTAGATCCCATTAGTCAATTTTGGCTTTTGTTGCAATTGCTTTTGGTGTTTTTGCCATGAAATCTTTTCCCATGCCTATGTCCTGAATGGATTTCCTAGGTTTTCTTCTAGGGTTTTTATGGTTTTGGGTTTTACATTTAAGTGTTTAATCCATGTTGAGTTAGTTTTTGTATAAGGTGTATGGCAGGAGTCCAGTTTCAGTTTTCTGCATATGGCTAGCCAGTTTTCCTAGCAGCATTTACTGAATAGAAGATCCTTTTTCCTATTTTGTTTTTGTCAGGTTTGTCGAAGATCAGATGGTTGTAGATGTTTGGTGTTATTTCTGAGGTCTCTCTTCTGTTCCATTGGTCTATATATCTCTTTTGGTACCAGTGCCTTGCTGTTTTGGTTACTGTAGGCTTGTCGTATAGTTTGAAGTCAGGTAGCATGATGTCTCCAGCTTTGTTCTTTTTGCTTAGGATTGTCTTGGCTATACAGGGTCTTTTTTGATTTCATATGAAATTTAAAATAGGTTTTTCTAATTCGGTGAAGAATGTCAATGGTAGTTTGATGGGAATAGCATTGAATCTATAAATTACTTTGGGCAGTATGGCCATTTTCATGATATTGATTCTTCCTGTCCATGAGGGTGAAATGTTTTTCCATTTCTTTGTGTCCTCTCTTATATCTTTGACCAGTGTTTTGTAGTTCTCCCTGAAGAGGTCCTTCATGTCCCTTTTTAGCTGTATTCTTAGGTACTTTATTCTCTCTGTAGCAATTATAAATGGGAGTTCACCTATGATTTGGCTTTCTGCTTGCCTATTGTTGATGTAAATAAATCCTTGTGATTCTTGCACATTGATTTTAGATCCTGAGACTTTGATGAAGTTGCTTATCAGTTCAAGAAGTTTTTGGGCTGAGATGATGGGGCTTTCTAAATATACAATCATGTCGTCTGCAAACAGAGACAACTAGACTTCCTCTCTTCCTAATTAAATACCCTTTATTTCTTTCTCTTGCCTGATTGTCCTGGCCAGAACTTCTAATACTATGTTGAATAGGAGTGGAAAGAAAGGGCATCCTTATCTTGTACTGGTTTTCAAAGAGACTACTTCCAGCTTTTCAGAGAAATAACTGAAATCCTCACTTGGTTTGGTTTAACTTGATTTCTACACTTGATCTTAGGCAAAAGGCCAAGAAGTGGTGGTATAACTTGATTTCTCTGGCATGGACATAATGATCTGCAAGAGCAAAACAGATTAGTTTTAAATAAGGGTTTTACAGTATAAGGATTTTTTTATAAGAATTAATTTTCTGCACACATACACACGGCACATGAAGAACGGCAAGCAATCTAGCCAGGTTATACACTTCATCTCTACAAATAATAATTTAAACAACATGATAGGTGTGGTGGTGCATTCCTGTGGTCCCAGCTACTGTCAGGAAGCTGAGGTGGGAGAATAGCTTCAGCCAGGGCAGTCAAGGCTCCAGTTAGTTGTGATCACACCACTGCACTCCAGCCTAGGTGACAGAGTAATACTCTGTCTCAAATGAAGAAAACAAAATAAATAAATAAATAAATAAATAAATAAATAAATAAAAGAAAAGAAAAAGAAACCCAAGCAAAAGCATAACCTTTTATAATACTAATTAACTATTTTTAACTTGAGATAATTATCTCAAGTATTTAACAATAATAATTATTTCTTTCTTTAACTTGAGAATGACGACATAGAAAAATAAGACATAGTTTGACTTTTCAATGTTCTTTTTTAGTGTGAGTGTGTCAGAGGGTCATGCTCCTCAGCTTAAGGCATGTTATCACAATTCACGCAAAGCTCCCCACCTCCATGATGTTCATTTAGTTATTCTACTTTATCTTCATGCTCTATTTCCATTCTTATCTTTTTCCTCATCATAAGCAACCATTCTGATAAGTTTAGTGTATTTTTTATTTGTACATATTCTTGCAAAATGGATTTTGTCATTTCAAATATATGCATATGTTACCTTATTGTGTATTTCATTACCCATTTTTTCACTCTCAGCATTATATTACTCAGATACTTCTATGTTGCTATATCTAATCACCTGCTTCTGTGTCATAACACCTTGTTGTGTGCATCCAGCACATTTTACCATCCATTCTTCCAGTGGTTAACACCCAGATAGCTTCCACCTCTCTGCTTTACTGTACACTTTTGTACATGTTCTCTATGATCATTCTATCCTGGCCTCTCTCTCCTAAACTTTGATTCCATATTGGCAACTACTTGCTGAATGCCCTGGCAGCACCTTGACTTTAGCATGTTCAAAACCACTCACATAAATATGAAAGTGTTTTGTAAAATGATTGTTATTATTTTATTTCTGTCTGTATTTTTCCCCAAACAGGTTATATTTTCTGACCTTTTTCTTCTGTCAGTGGTACCACAATTTTCTCAGTTATAAAACCTTTAAATTGAGAAATCTCAGAGTCATCTTACTGACTTATTCACCTTTCTCATCCATATTCCTTACTAACCTAAAAATTATTCCTTTGTGATGTATCTTGCATACACGTTATTACTGGTGCCACTTCCCATTCTTCATTCTGTACTAATATGAGAATCTCCTAGTTGGTGTGTCTATCTGGTTGCTACCCATCCACGTCTATCCCCCCACAACACTCCAAGATATCCTAAATACTGCTACCAGATCAGTTGTTATCATGTAACTTTCTTCTTTGTTTAACGATTTTAAGTGGCTCTATTTTGCCTATATGTCTAATCAAACTCCTTACCCTGGAACTCAAAGCTACCTATGAGCTAGTCCCAGTCTCTTTTTAATGATAAAAATATCTAACACTACATAGGATTTACTATGTGCCAAGTACTGTTCTTAGCCCATGAGGTGAGTACTATTATTAGCCACAACTGGTAAATAACTGATTAAAAAGAAAACTTCCCCAACATATAACTACTAAGTGGCTGAACTTGTGTTAAAACTCAAGCAGTAAGATCCCAATGTCCATGTTCGTAACCACTACACATACTGCTCCGTTTTGATTGCATATGGTAAGAATTCTTTACATGTAGAAAAAAAGTATTGGTCACTGTTGCCTGCCCATGATATGTTCTTTTTTTTTTTTTTTGCTTTTATTAATATTGTTACCCCTTTTGGAAAGCCTTATTCCACCACCTCAACATTAATCTGTACTTCAAGGACCAATTCAAGCCCCAACAAAGGCTAGCCTACTTCTCATATTTCTATATTAAATTGGGAAATCTCAGTTCTTTTTCTTTACTTATATTGTTTCCTACTGTTTTATATGATATAATAACAGAAGTTAGATAAATAATAACAACAGTTAACATTTATGAAGCACTTACTGTATGCCAGTTTCCTTCTGATCCTATTTCATGTGGTCACTTAGAAAATATTAATGACAAACCAATGAGGTAAATAGTATTGCAACCCACATTTCTCAAAAGGATATAAGATGTGCAATCAATTTTAATTATTTATATGGACTACTGCTTTCATTATCTACTCATTAATCGAACCTTCATACTACAACTAGAATTATCTTTCTAAAATGCAAAACTGATTCTAGCCTTTCTTGCATATTGTCAAAGATTGCTCAAAGTCTACAGAATGAAGTTCAAACATTAAATATAGCACAGTATGTAAGATGTTTTACAATATGGTCTTTGCCTTGCTCTTGGACTTTAATTCCAACAATTTCTTTTTCTTTCCCACCCCTAAGTAACCCTAAATTTTAGCAACCTTAGATCTAGACCAAGTTCACGAAACTCATCCACTTATTCATGTCCACTGCTTTAAACTTACAATTCCCTCTGCCTGAAATGTCCTCTTTTACTCTACCCACACCCCCAATCTCCCTGTTGCTTTGTGTGAAATACTGTAGCATAGTGGCTTTGAGCAGTTTTGAGTTTGAATCTTGGCCCTGAGACTTACTAGCTAGGGCAAACTACTTGCCCTCTCTGTGCCTCAATTTTCTTATCAGAAAATGGATATAATAAAATATCCTAATTCATATGATGAGGAGGAAATTATAAATAATGCATATAAAGTATTCAACATAGTGTCTGGCACATAGTATTTAATGAATGGTTGGTTGTATGTGCACCCTTAAGCTTGTGGTAAAAGCAGTGAAGGACTGCTATCCACTGAGTTGATTATGGCACCAGAAGTATCATAGTAATCCATTAAGATTCTGCTAAAATAAAACATCCTCTCTAACTGCCCATCCCATCTCTTCATATTCTCTATTATTGCTGTAGTTTAGACATACCTCTATTGGAGCTGTTATCACAGCATACTGGAATTATCTATTTATCTATCTGTCTGTGCCTATTAACCCCTAAGATACATAGCAGTTTTGATTTAAATATCTCTGGATCCCCAGCACTGTAAGCCTGACTGTAAGTAATTATTGAATGATGAGTAAATCCTCAACAAACAAATGTGACATCAATCTAATTACTTTCACAATTTCATAATATGAGTAGAAATCCATTTATAGAAATCTATTTTGAATACCTGTGTGTATAAGAACAAGAAATGTATATGCAGATTTTGCAGATTTCTGAATGCAAGAAAAGTAATTATTTTCTAAAACAATAATAAAAGTCCAAGATAGTTGTTCCTAATTCGAACATATTATTTTATAACACAATTAAGCAGCTGAAAAGTAGCTGTGTAAAATTGATTCCTTCCGATTTCAGGTTTCTCTTTCTTATTGTTCTTGTTACTTTAAAGATACTTCTTCCCAGGTAAACTGATGGTCTAAAACCTTATGAGTAAGAATCACATTCAATTTGAGGAGTCAAGCAGAGTATTCTATTTCCCCTCTCAAATTAACAATGAAATTTTTACCTAAATTCTAAGGACAGGATCTTTATTTCAGGAGAAAAATGTCAGAAGACAAAAAGATAAGACTAGAACTGTACTAGACCCTCAACTGCTTCCTCTTCATGGGACAACCACAAACGTATTTTAAACACAATAGAAATTTTACCCTAACAGTTATTTGCAGTACTATTCTGACAGTTAAGAATCTCAAAAAGGGACTTTTTTAAAAGAAATGAAAATGGAGGAAGTTCCTCCAACAATGAAAGATGTCCAATTACACGGTCTCTGTTATATTATCATCACATAAAAATAGGGAGGACATACTCCCCAAACAGGAAGATTTTTTATTTGTTCGCATGTATTTGCAATGTAAAAATCTCTTTTGTATATAAAAATCTTTTGATATTGCTCCTTTCTCCTTTTCCCCATCTCAGTGTTTCCTGTTTATCTGGCTTTGTTCATGAAGAAGAAAAATATGGTTCATTCAATCTAACAATTTCTCAGTGTTTTAAATGCTTCTTTCAGAAATAGCCCTTTAGGGAATCCTGAAATGTTGTCCCATTTATTTTCTTCTGCCCATAAACCAGAGGCTGACAAGAGCTTGTGGTTAGCTGCCCTTAGTAAATCAAAGAAATAAAAGTCTCTTCAAGGACAAAGTAAAGGAGACAATGTACAATGTAAATGTTTTAAATCAGATGAAAAAAATCATTGAACTCAGCTGTACGCTGCAAGCCCAGAAGAGCTGAGCTTTAGATTTCAACATTTCAATGGCACTGAGGAAAGTAGCTAGTGTGCATTCCTCACTTTCTGCAGTCAAATAATCCTGCTTCTAATTATAGTATTTATAACAAAGATCCAGTGTTTTTAAAAGCAAATGAGAAAGAAAAAGCCAAGTCAGAAATATGAAAACACACCATATTGTAACCTCTTTGTAATGGCCCCTGATTTATTTCTGAAAATATAAAGGAAATATTTTCTAAAGAAATCAGTTTATAAGTGACCCATTTCTAATTTTATTAAACTCAAAATCTTTGTGACTAGAGCACCCCTCTCTTCTCTTTCCCTTCCCCCTTTCCTCCCTCCTTCCCTCTCTCCCTTTTTCCTCATCCTTGTAATCTAGTCTCTTCCCCCACCCCCGCACCTCCCACCCCACCCCTCGTCTTTCTCTTCTCTCTTTGACCAGTCTGTCTTAAATATGCACTCACTTATAAGAATGAATCCACCAATTTAAATTTGAAATGTGCTTCCCACCTTTTGTGTTACTCAGGTTCAGAGAAATTCAAGAAAGCAAAGTAGGTAACAGCTGAACTGGAAGTGTAAGCAAAAGGAGAAAACAACTTTAACTGAGAATTAAAAAATAGTTTTTCTTCTGCTTGCAAAAGAAAATCCTCAGCAGCATTTCCAGCCTCTTCGAATTAGCTCGTATCTATGGCTTTTTATCTGTTCATAATACAAAATGCTAGGATCCAGATGCTTTAAAACAATATTTTTTTTAAAAAATTGACCAAATAATGAAAGACAATCTGAGTTTTCAGAATTTCCCTTTCAGGAAGAACCCTGCCTGCTTTTGTATCTCTGGACTGCTTTCTAATGTGCAGGTTTTACTTGCAGTCATCTCCTAATACAGAGAAAGGACACACAGAGACATGCGCATCACCACCTCAAATGCAGAAGCGTCTGAATTGCAGAAGCAGTGAATTAGAAAGGAAAGAAAAGGGGAACAATGGAATAGTTACCTTGAATATCCAGCCACTGGGATACTTCCAGGTACAATCTCAGTCCCTTTCTGCCTTGCTGCCCTGCTGGCTCAGCTCTGCTTGTGAAGTGCCTTCCTCCCTTCTTCCTCTCCTTCGTTGTGTGCTTTGGTGCTTCATGAGTTTCCCTTTTTAATACAAGGAAGTATGTAGACCCTCCTCCTCTACTATGACATACTTGGCTTCCTTCCCTGCCAGCCTCCTACATGCAAATCCAAGCTCTCTATTCTGCAGTTTGAGGAGGAAGCAAAAAGAGAGATGATGGTGGTGGTAATGTTAATAAAAGAGTAGAATATTGGCATAAGAGAGAATTTTTGCTGATCATTTTATTGGTTCCAAAAACACAATAAACATTTAGCAGATTCAAATTATCTTAATGTTTTTTTTTTTTTTTTTTTTTTTTTTTTTTTTTTTTTTACTAAATTGGCAGTTGAATTATAAACTTAGATACATTAGGGATGTTTACTTTTGTAAATAAAAAATAAAAACTTGGGACCGCAATTCACTGTGCTGAAGATAAAAAAATTAAACTGAAAGATCAGTCATGCAAAAAACTGTCTTTCCCAACATAAAGGGTGGGAGAACATTCTTGCAATCTACCCATCTGACAAAGGTCTAATATTCAGAATTTATAAGGAATTTAAACACATTTACAAGAAAAAAACAGCCCCATCAAAAAGTGGGCAAAAGATATGAACAGACATTTCTCAAAAGAAGACATTTATGTGGCCAAAAAACATATGAAGAAAAGCTCAGCATCACTGATCATCAGAGAAATGCAAATCAAAACCACAATGAGATACCATCTCATGCCAGTTAGAATGGCAATCATTAAAAAGTCAAGAAACAATAGATGCTGGCAAGGTAGCAGAAAAATATGAATGCTTTTACACTGTTGGTGGGAACGTAAACTAGTTTAACCATTGTGAAAGACAGTATGGCGGTTCCTCAAGGACCTAGAACCAGAAATACCATTTGACCCAGCAATCCCATTACCGGGTATATACCCAAAGGAATATAAATCATTCTACTACAAAGACACATGCACACATATGTTTATTGCAGCACTATTCACAATAGCAAAGACATGAAACCAACCCAAATGCACATGAATGATAGACTGGATAAAGAAAGTGTGGTACATATACACCATGGAATACTATGCAGTCATAAAAAGGAATGAGATCATGTCTTTTACAGGGACATGGATAAAGCTGGAAGCCATTGTCCTCAGCAAACTAACACAGGAATAAAAAACCAAATACCACATGTTCTCACTCATAAGTGGGAGTTCAACAATGAGAACATATAGACACAGAGAGGAGAACAACAAACATCAGGGCCTGTTGGAGGGTGGGGGTGAGGGGAAGGAACTTAGAGGACAGGTCAATAGGTGCAGCAAACCACCATGGCACACATAAACCTATGTAACAAACCTGCATGTTCTATACATGTATCCCCCCTTTTTTAAGAAGAAAATAAAAACCTGCCTTTCCTTTTGTTCATAAGCAGATAGATACAGATAAAAATTTAAAAAATCTCTGTCAGTGGCAGGAGGCAGATAGGGTCAGGTCCTCAGTGAAACCCCACCTTCAAGCCAAAAACAGCCTGAAGGCTGAAAGACCAGACTGCTGGTTCTGGATGAAATCCTTGACCTGGAGTGAGAATTTCTGTTTGTATTTGCATGCCCTTTCCCAATTGGTTTATTCTGAATAATGCTTTTTAACCAATTGAATGTTGCCTTTCCCAATACTACCTACAGCCTGCCCCTCCCTCATCCCATGCCTATACAAACCCCAGACTCAGCCAAACTGGGTGATATGACTCGACTTTGGGTGAGAGACCACCTTCCCATCCCTTCTCCACTGAGAGCTGTTTTGTCACTCAATAAAATTATTTGACCTCATCACCCTTCAGTTGTCAGCATGATCTCATTCTTCTTAGACACAGGATAAGAATTTGGGACCCATTGAATGTGGGTACTCAGAAGGCTATGACGCTGTGGTCCTCTGCCCTCTGCTAGTGGATGGCAGCTGCCCCACACTACAGGAAGCAATGGCGGGGCCAAGCCATCCCTGGAGTCATGAGCCAGAGAGGGGCAAAGGGGTGACTGAGCTGTTAACATTCTGCCATCCATCAAGCTGTGGACAGCTGTGTTGGGGAAAAGCTGAGTGTTGGAAAAAAAGCTGAGGCAGGGCTTGCATGTCTGACATAATGTAAAAGAGTCTTGGAACATGTCTGGGGTCCAGGGTCTAAAACCCCTCCTGGCCTTTGGAACACCAAGCTTTGTGCCAAAGGGTGGAAGGCTGCCCTGCCACACCACAATCTATGCCCAGGGCATAAAACCCCTCATGCCTTGGATAGAATCCAGGGCTCAGGGCATAAAACCCCTCGTAGCCTCTGGAATGTGTCTAGACCTGCCGGATCCTTGCTTCTAGCACTCCTAGGCTCATAGATCGATTGTATCTTAAACTAGAAGAACATGTTTCCCATTATCTCAAGTAGCAGAACATGTTCCATATGCGTCAAAGAAAATGCTAAACCATCACAGCTGTAGATCATGTGCTTGATACACCGCTTTCTTTCAACCCCCCACTTCCTCACCACCTGCTTCTTTGTTTGATCACCAATAAATAGTGTCGGCTTCCAGAGCTTCGGGCCTTTGCAGCCTCCATACTAGTATTGGCCTCCTGGTCCCACTTTATGCACTCTTTTCTTGTCTCATTCCTTTGACTCTGCTGGACTTCGTAGCCCCCACTGCCTGGTGTTGGGTCTGATCACCCAACACAGCTGAACTAAAATAGCTAATTAGCATGTTGTAACAACCCTTCTGGGGATTCAGGGTTGTGGGCACCCCTACCTGTGCACCACTGCATTTCCCTCAGGGTGACATGCCTGGTCCAGCCACAAACCCTGCACAGAGCCCATCCCTGTGCTGGCGTTTTGAATGGCCGGCTGACCCTATACTCATTTACTCATACACCCTCTCCTGCCAGGATCTGAGCATGCAGTCATGGCAGCCACAGGCCAAAGTGCAAGCCAGACACAGCCTGACAGGCTGAGTAGATGTGGCACTTCCTGCTGCAAGCCTGGCAAAGGGGCCTAGAAAAATCCTGTGTAATCTCCACAGATAGTTACTCCATGTTCACCTTATCTTATGTAAAATGTTGATTCACTGAACACTATATGAATACATAATTCACTATTCCCCTACCTGCTCCTTTTATCTTGCAACATGTGGATTCAGCAATGTGATTATATCCTTATTTGTTCCCCTTTAGCCTGCTTTTCCCCTTCAAATATTGAAACCTTCAAAGTTGTCTTTGGAGAAAGGCACAAACCATGGACTGCTTCTGTAATTCTCTGTTTTTTCTTGTGGGCATTGTTCTTAACCTCAGCAAAATAAACTTCTAAGTTGATTGAGACCTGTCTCAGATACGTTTTGGTTTATGACTTAACTTTATTGTGATAATTACTTAAATTATCTCCATAGTTCAAATAAATCATTTACTAAGCACTTTCTAAATGCCAGATAATATGCTAAATGCTAAAAATGAGGAAATTAATTAGACACAGTTTCCTTTCTTAAGAGTCTTATAGTGTAGTTCCGGAGAAATATCCATGAACAAAAACTTCTAATGTAAGGTGTGTAGTGTTGTCGAAGAGGTAAGCACACAGTACTGTAAAAGCACAAATGAAAGACCTCTAGGCTATCTAGGGATACCTAATGACTTCCTGAAAAATATGAGCAAGTCTTATCAGATATGAATAAGAATTAGCCAGAAGAAAAAAGGTAGAAAAAACATTCCAAGCATAAGGAACAACTTTAGCAAAGTCATAGAGGTGCGAAAAAGTATGTCATGTGCTAGAAACTATAATCATTTTTTTAACTGTTGGAGTCAGGAGAGGAAGGATATTTTAATTCTAAAATCTAAATCAATTTTATTTAAAGTTTCTATGCAATCTAAGTAATGCATGGACCAATTTTCCAATATGGATATCTCTAATATAATGATTTTATTTTACACGTAATTTCTCTGTTTAACCTCAAGTTAAATCATGGAATTAAAAGGTGGACTTTTTCAAAAAGGAAGTGTGAATGTTGTCATGGCCATGTCTCTCTGAACTTTAAACCTCTTCTCTCTCAGTCAAATTGCCAAATAGAATTCTGAGGTATGGTGTTAGAAATGATGTGGTTTGGGGTGAGAGTATTCTTGCCTGTAAGGAATGAAAAGCCAGATTCAACAATAAAGATATTTTTATTTTCTCACATAAAAAATCTTTAGGCAGTTCAATTATACCATTGGTTATTTCAGTAAATAAATTACTTCACTAAAGACTCCTTTTGTTACCACGTTCAAACTGTCTTTGCCATTCAAGCAACTCCCTTCATGGTCACCAAATGGCTTTAGCAACATCAAGCAAGGAAGTGAGCTAAAAGATTGTTCCTACAAAACAGTGTGAAATCTTTCTCTCTCATAAGTCACACACTTTAAGAGTATTTAAATAAATCAAAAACAAGAATGTAGGCAATATTGTTATATAATACTTAGAACATAAATTATTTTGGACTCTCTGATTACAAGATCTCATCACCTATAGTTAGTCAAACATTTCTTTTTATAGTAGGGAAATCCTTCCCAGTAGCACTACCTGTCCCTACACCAATCACATTTGCTCTGATTAGGTCATATGCACATCCTATACCAATTACTGGCAAGAGGAATGTAATAACCATCATTAAATAAAATAGTTCAAATCTATTTTATTGCAGTTCTTTGGTTGGAGAAAAATAAAGTTTCCTTTAAAGCATATTCCTGCTACAAAATCTGAAAAAAAAATCCCGAAGTTCTGTTAGCAAGGACGAAGCTGAACAGTGGCTTCTGGATTGGCAAACAGTAGTATCCACCACAAGCCTTTCTGAGTTGATGTTAGGCAAATGACCCCAAATTCTGACATGGCACAAATAACGTTTCTCCCCATCTTGGAATGTGAGTTTTTAGATTGGGAAAAGTAAAAATAAAAATTCCTGTCAGTCCTCCAAGGCTGGCATATATATATATATATATATATATATATATATATATATATATATATATATATATATATATAATTTCTATCTTTCTATCTATCTATCTATCTATCTATCTATCTATCTATCTATCATCTATCTATATATAGACTTTATAGCAGGAATATGCTTTAAAGGAAACTGCATTTTTTCCAGCCCAAGAAATACAACACACACACACACACACCCACACACACACGTATACACATATATATGCCATTTTAACTATTTTTAGTATGCTATTCAGTGGAATTAATTACCTGTGTAACAAACCTGCACATCCTGCACATGTACCCTGGAACTTAAAAGTTAAAGGAAAAAAAAAAAAAAAACCCAGCCTTAGGCAGGTCTTTCAGGAGGTGTTCCAGAAGACGGCATTGTTTATCATAGGAGATGTCAGCTCCATGCCTGTTATTGCCCCTGAAGACCTTCCACTGATACAAGATGTGGAAGTGGAAGACAGTGAATTGATGATCCTAACCATGTATAGACCTATGCTAATGTGTGTGATTCTGTTTTTGTTTGTAATAAAAACTTTTAAAAAGTAACACAAAATTAAAAATGTAAAAATGCTTATAGAATAAGGATATAAAAAATAAAATATTTCTGTAGAGCAGCATAACCGGTTTGTGTTTTAAGCTGTTATTACAAAAGAGAAAAAAAAATTTAAAAACAAAAATTTTACAAAGTAAAAAGTTTACAGTAATCTAAGGTTAATTTACTATTGAATAAAGAATAGTATTCTTATAAATTTAATGTACAGTGTTTGTAAAGTCTACAATAGTGTTCAGCAATGTCTTAGGCCTTAACATTCATTCACCACTCATTGATTCACCCAGAGCAACTTCTACTCCTACAAGCTTCATTCATGGTAAGTGCCCTGTATGGTTATGTACCATTTCTTATCTTTTATACTATAAATGTATTGTATTCTTCTTATATTTAGATATGTTTGGATACACAAATGCTTATCATTGTGTTACAGTTGCCTGCAATATTCAGTACAGTAATGTGCTGTATAGGTTTGTAGCCTAGCAGAAATAAGCTACACCATATAACTAAGGTATCTAGTAGCCAATACCAACTAGGTTATTGTAAGTAAACTATATGATGTTCTCATGATGATAAAATAACCTAACAACATGTTCATCAGAGCATATCCCAAACCTTAAGTGATGCATGACTGTATTTATTACAATCAGTAAATCTACAATGACCCATGATTATCACTTACGATGCATAGTTTACATTAGGGTTTGCTCTTGGTGTCATGCATCTTGTGGGTTTGGACAAATTTATAATGACATATACCCATTACTACAGGGACAAACAAAACAGCTTCACTGCCCTAGAAAACATGTGTTATGTCTATTTATATTTTTCTCTCTCCTAACCCCTGGCAACCATTAATCTTTTTACTTTCAGCATAATTTTGCCTTTTCCAGAAAGTCATAGAATTATCGAGTATGTGCCCTTTTCAGATTGACTTTTTTCACTTAATATGCAGGTAAGTTTCCTTCCTGTCATTTCTTTTTTTTTCTTGCTTTCTTTTCTTTTTTCTTTCTTTTTTTTTTTTTTTGAGATGGAGTCTCACCCAGTCGCCCAGACTAGAGTACAATGGGAGTGCAATGGCAAGATCTCGGCTCACTGCAACCTCCGCCTCAAGGATTCAAGTGGAGTAGCTGGGTTTACAGGTGCGTGCCACCATACCCGGCTAATTTTCTGTATCTTTAGTAGAGACGGGGTTTCACCATGTTGGCCAGGATGCTCTCAAACTCCTGACCTCTTGATCTGCCTGCCTTGGCCTCCCAAAGTGCTGGGATTACAGGCATGAGCCACCACACCAGGCCCATGGCTTTTCTTATAGCTTGATCGCTCATTGCTTTTTAAACAATAAATAACAATTTATTGTTGGAATATACAACTGTTCATTCCTTCAACTACTGATGGACATCTTAGTTGCGCCCAAGTTTTTGACAATTATGAATAAAGCTGCTATAAACATCCATTTGCAGACTTGTGTGTGAACATACATTTTCAACTTTTTTGGGTAAATATCAAGAAGCACAATCGGTGGATTCTATTATAGGACTGTGCTTTGTTCTGTAAGACGCTGAAAAGCTATCATTTAAAGTAAAGTTTCTGTAGCTCCATAAATTTCACCAGCATTGGCTGTTGTTCAATTTTCTGATTTGGGCTATTCTAGTAGGTAGGTAGTGTTACCTCACTGTTGTTTTAATTTGCATTTTCCTGATAACATATGATTGAAAATATCTTTTTCTGTGTTATTTGCCATCTATATATCTTCATTGGTGAGGTGTCCACTGAGGTCTTTGGCCACTTTTTAAAACAAGGTCATTTGTTTTTTAAATTATTGACTTTCTTATTAATACATTAGATTTCTACATACTTATTGGGTACAAGTGATGTATTGTCACATAGTAATTATCAAGTTAGGTTATGTAGGTTATTCGTCACTTTGTGCATTTATTTTTTCTCAGTTAGTAGCATTTTAAGTCTTCTAGCTAATTTGAAGTGTAGGATACATTGTTAACTATAGTCACACTATTCTGCTATCAAATATTGGATCTTATTCTTTCTACATAACTGTATTTTTGTACCCATTAACCAACTTCTCTCATCTATCCTTGAGAAACACACACCCTTCCTCACCTCTGGTAACTATCATTCTACTCTCTACCTCTCTTAAATAATTTTAGCACCCACATATGAATAAGAATATGTGATGTTTATCTTTCTGTGCCTGACATCTCATTTAACATAATTTTCTTCAGCTCCAATCATGTTGCTGCAAATGACAGAATTTCATGATTTTTTATGACCGAATAGTATTCTATTGCATTTTCTTCATCCATTGCTTAACACTTAGGTTGATTCCATACCTTTGTTATTGTGAATAACAGTGCAATAATCATGGGGGAGCAGGTATCCCTTTGATATACTGATTTTCATTCCTTGGAATAAATACTCAGTAATGGGATTGCTGGATTATATGGTAGTTTTATTTTTAGTTTTAAAATAAATATCCATATTGTTTTCCATAATGGTTGTGCTAATTTACATTCCCAGAAACAATGTATAAGATTGTCCTTTTCTCCACATTATTGCCAATGTTTGTTTTCTTGATGATAATTCTTTTTTTCTTGATGATAATCATCCTAACTTAGTTAAGATGATATCTCCTGTAGGTTTGCATTTCCTTGACAATTAGTAATGTTGAGCATCATTTCATATACTTGTTGACCATTTGTAAGTCTTGGTTGAAAAAATGTTTATTCAAGTTTTTTAACTCCTGATATGGTTTGGCTCTATGTCTCTACCCAAATCTCATGTTAAATTTTAATTCCCAATGTTGGGGGTGGGACCTGTTGGGGGGTGATTGAATCATGGGGATAGATTTTCCCCATGCTGTTCTTGTGATAGTGAGTTCTCATGAGATCTGATGATTTAAAAGCTCGTGGCACTTCTCCCCTACCATCTCCTGCTGCCATGAGAAAAAGGTGCTTTCTACCCCTTTATGCTTCTGCCATAATTGTAAATGTCCTAAGGCCTCCCAGCCATGCTTCCTGTTAAGCCTGTGGAACTGTGAGTCAATTAAACATATTTTCTCCATAAATTACCCAGTAACAGGTAGATCTTTATAAGAGTATGAGAATTAACTAATACAGAAAATTGATACCAAGAGCGGGGTATTGCTGTAAAGATACCTGAAAATGTGGAAGCAACTTTGGACCTGGGTAATGGGCAGAGGTTGGAAGAGTTTGGAGGGTTCAGAAGAAAACAGAAAGATGTGGGAAAATTTGGAAATTCCTGGAGACTTGTTGAATGGTTTTTGCTGAAATGCTGACAGTGATATGGACAATGAAGTCCAGGCTGAGGTGGTCTCAGATGGAGACTAGGAAGTTATTGGGAACTGGAGCAAAGGTCACTCTTGCTATGCTTTAGCAAAAAGACTGGCAGCATTTTGCCCTTGCTGTAGATATCTGTGGAACTTTGGACTTGATAGAGATGATTTAAGGTATCTGGTGGAAGAAATTTGTAAGCAGTAAAACATTCAAGATGTAACCTGGCTGTTTCTGAAAGTGTACACTCATATGTGTGAACAAAGAGATTATTAAAAACTAGACACTATATATAACAGCAAAGCAGACCATGAAAGTTTGAAAACTTTGCAGCCCAGTCATGCGGTAGAGAAGAAAAACTCACTTTCTGGGAAAAAATTCAAGCCTGATGCATAAAATTTTCAGAAGTAAAGAGAAGCTGTGCATTAATAGCCAAGACAATGGGAAAAATGTCTCCAGGGCATGTCAGAGACCTTTATGGTAGCCCCTCCCATCACAGGCCCAGAGGCCCAGGATAGAAAAATGGTTTATTTGGCCAGGACTAGGGCTCAGCTGCTCTGTGCAGCCTTGAGACATGGTGCCCTGCTTACCAGCCACTCCAGCTTCAGCTGTGGCTAAAAGGGGCCAAGGTACAGCTCAGGCTATGGCCTTAGAGGGTGTAAGGCCCAAGCCCTGGCAGCTTCCACATGGTGTTGGGCCTGCAGGTGCACAGAAGGCAAGAGTTGACGTTTGGGAACCGTGTCACTCAGGATTCTGTAGAAAAACAGAACTAATAAAATAGATGTTTACAGGAAAAGGAATTTATTAAAGAGTATTGACTCACACAATCACAAGGTGAAATCCCACAATAGGATGTCTGCAAGCTGAGGAGCAAGAAAGCCAGTTGAGTCCCAAAACCTCAAAAGTAGGGAAGCTGACAGCAAACTTCAGTCTGTGGCTGAAGGCCAAAGAGCTCCTGGCAAACCACTGGTGTAAGCCCAAGTCCAAAAGCTGAAAAACGTGAATTCCATTGTTTGGGGGAAGATAGCATGCAGCAAGGGAGAAAGATTAAGGTCAGAACACTCATCAAGTCTAGTCCTTACAAATTCTGCTTGCTTCATTCTAGCTGTGCTGGTAGCTGATTAGAAGGTACCAACCCAGATTCAGAATGGGTCTGCCTTTCCTAGTCCATTGACTCAAACACTAATCTCCCTCGGCAACACTCTCACAGTCACACCCAGGAACAATATTTTGCGTCCTTCAATTCAAATATGTTATCCCTGAATACTAACCATCATAGGAACCTCCACCTAGATTTCAGAGGATGATGGAAATGCCTGGATGTCCAGGCAGAAATCTGCTGCAAGGGTGGAGCCCTCATGGAGAACCTCTACTGGGGCAGTACAGAAGGGAAGTGTGGGGTTGGAGCCCCCACACAGAGTCCCCACTGGGGCACTGCTTAGTGGAGCTGTGAGAAGAGGGCCACCATCCTCCAGACCCCAGAATGGTAGATTCACTGACAGATTGCCCCATGCACCTGAAAAAGCTGCAGGCTCTCAATGCCAGCTCATGAAAACAACAACAGAAGATGTACCCTCACAGCCACAGGGGCAGAGGAGCTGCCCAGAGTGATGAGAGACCATTCCTTGCATCAGTGTGGCCTGGATGTAAGACATGGAGTAAAAGATTATTTTGGAGATTTAAGATTTAATAATTGCCCTGTTGGATACTGGACTTCCATGGGGCCTGTAGCCCCTTTGTTTTGGCAAATTTCCCCCTTTTCAAATGGGAGTATTTACCCAATGCCTGTACCCACATTGTATCTTGGAAGTAACGAACTTGTCTTTGATTTTACTGGCTCCTAGGAAGAAAAGACTTGCCTTGCCTCAGATGAGACTTTGGACTTGGAATTTTGAGTTAATGCCAGAATAAGTTAAGACTTTGGGGACTATTGGGAAGGCATAACTGGTTTTGAAATGTGAGAAGAACATAAGGTTTTGGAGGGGCCAGGAGCAGAATTGTATGATTTCAAATCTCATGTCAAATATTCTCAATTTTGGGGGAGGAACTTGGTGGGAGGTGATTGAATAAAGGGGGTGGATTTCCCCCATGGTCTTCTTGTGATAGTAGTGAGTTCTTACAAGATCTGATAGTTTAAAAGTGTGTGGCACTTTCCACCTCACCATCTCTCTCTCCTGCTGCCATGAGAAGAAGTTGCTTTCTACCCCTCTCCCATTCTGCTATAAATGGAAACATCCTGAGGCCTCCCAGCCATACTTTCTGTGAAGCCTGTGGAACCGTGAGTTAATTATATATATGTTCTTCATAAATCACACGGTCTCAGGTAGTTCTTTATAGCAGTGTGATAATAAACTAATACAACTCCTCTTCAATTGAATTATTGCTGTTGAGTTGTTTGAGTTTCTCGTATATTCTGTATATTAGTCCCTTGTTAAATGAATCGTTTTTGAGTGTATTCTTCTATTCAAAAGTTTGTCTCTTCACTTGGTTGTGTCCTTTCCTATGCATAAGGTTTTAATTTAATATACTTCGGTTCATCTATTTTTGTTTTCATTGCCTGCACGTTTGAGGTCTCAGCCATAAAATCTTTGCCTAAATCAATGTCTGGAGTGATTCCTTTATGTATTCCTGTAATAGTTTTATAGTTTTGAATCTTATACTTAAGCAGATTCAGGAGCATGGGTTTTCTATCCATTTGCTTATGTTCTGTTCAATTTCTTTCTTCAGTGATTTATAAGTTTCCAAATGGATGTCCTTTACTTTCTTACTTTTACATGTATTCTTATATCTTTTTGTAGGTATTGTAAACGAGGTTTCCTTCCTGATTTCTCTTTAAACTAGATCATTGTTTTATAGAAACACTACTGATTTGTGTATCTTAATTTAATGTTCTGCAACATCACTGAATTTGTTTATCAGTTCTGAAACTTTATTGGTACAGTCTTCTTTATTTTTTGTGGGGTATTTAGGTTTTTCTAAATGTAAGATTATGCTGTCTGCAAAGAGAAATAGTTTGACTTTCTCTTTTCAAATTCGGATGCCTATTATTTCTCTCTTGACTAATTGCTCTGGATAAACACTAAGTGCAATGTTCAACAGCAGTGGTGTAAGTGGGCATACATATCTTGCTCCAGTCGTGAGAAAAAAGACCTTCAGAATTAGGCTAGGAGGCACAATGGCTGACTACATGCAGCAAGCAGGAATATATGCCACTGAGGTACCAGGACATTGGAAAGGCTGGCACACTCCAAGCAGAGCTTTGGAGGGAAGACATGGAGAGTGGACAAAGGGAAGACAAAAATAGTGGCTGAAGTTGGAGGAAGATGGAAATTCAGCATGGGGTACCACACACTGGGACTCATTTCTGGCCACCAGTGACTTCTGGGGAAGGAGTAAGTTGAGCAGTTAAGAAGCAACCCACTCTCACCACAAACCTTTCGAATCCTGGCAGCAGGAAAACCCATGACCCTCACAGACAATTGAGTTGTGTGGGAGAGCTGCTTAGAGAGGTGGTAGAAGCAGAACTCCAGCCAGTCTGAAGCCCAGAGGGTTTGGTGTGGGAGTATCTGTAGTGGAGCACAACCAGAGATTCCCATCCTACAAGGCTTTAATTAGCACCCACACCCAACTGTGCCACACCACAATGGCTACAACTGTGAAATCCTGAATATAGGAACAACACTAAGGTTGCTTCCAAAATTTGGCTATTGTGAACAGTGTTGTAAAAAACATGCAGATATCTCTTCAATGTACTGATTTCCTTTCTATTGGGTATGTACCCAAGAGTGTGATTGCTGGATTATATGGTAGCTCTGTATTTAGTTTTGTGAGAAACTCTAAACTGTTCTTCATAATTGTGCTAGCTTAAAAAAAAGTGTACAAGGTTTCCCTTTTCTTCACATCCTCACCAGTATTATTGATTGTCTTTTGGATTTAAATCATTTTAAATAGGGTGAGATGATATCACATTGTAGTTTTGATTTGCATCTCTCTGATGATCAATGATGTTGAACACCTTTTCATATGCCTGTTTGCCACTTGTGTGTCTTCTTTAAAGAAATGTCTATTAAGATCTATTAAGATCTTTTGCTCATTTTAAAATCTGATTATCAATTGTTTTGTAGAATTGCTTGAGCTTTTTATATAGTCTGGTTATTAATCCTTTGTTAAAGGAGCAGTTCGCAAATATTTTCTTCTATTCTGTGGGTTGTCTCTTCACTTTGTTGATTGTTTCCTTTGCTCTACAGAAGCTTTTTCACTTGATATGATACCATTTGACCATTTTTTTGCTTTGTCTGTACTTGTGAGATATTACTCATGAAGTTCTTGCTGAGACCAATGTCCTGAAGATTTACCCCAATGTTTACTTGTAGTAGTTTCATAGTTTGAGGTCCTTGATTTAAGTCTTTAATCCGTTTTTATTTCACTGTAGTATGTGGCAAGAGATAGGGGTTTAGTTTAATTTCTTTGTGTATGGATATCCAGTTTTCCCCCCACCATATTTTGAAGAGAGTGTCTATTCCTTAGTGTATGTTTGTGGCACTTTTGTCAAAAATGAGTTCAATGTAGGTATGTGGATTTATGTCTGGGATCTGAATTCTGTTTTATTAATCTATGTTTTTGTATTTATGCCAGTAACATCTTGTTTTGATTACCATCGCTATATAGTTTAATCTGAGTCAGGTAATGTAATTATTCTGGGTTTGTTCTTTTTGCTTTGGATAGCTTTGCTTATTCTGAGTCTTCCATGGTTCCATCTAAATTTTAAGATTTCTATTTCTGTTAATAATATTTTTTGGGATTTTGCTTATACTTTATACTGTAGCTAAATGTGTATTAAAATGTTGTAATAAAGTAGTAACTAAAGCAACCAATATAATGATAGTTCAACACCATGATGTCATGCCCAGGACTCATATTTCAAGCTCCATGCTAGGAGCTTTCTCTTCTTATATCCCAGTCCCCAATCTTCCAAATTCTACAGTAAGTAACCAAAGCGATATGCATTCCTGTATTCTTCAGTATTGAGAAATGACAAAAGACAGAGGGGACTGAGATAGAATAGACACCCCTTTTAGGGGCCTGCCAGCCCACACTCCAAGCATGAAAATAAAATTTTGAATTCCTTCAAGGGAAATTCCAGACACCTGATAGTCTTGAGAACCAAATGAACGACCTGATAAGCAAAAAGGTAATAATAGATTAAAGCAATAGCCAAGGAAATTAGAGCCACAAGATTGTTGGTTTCCTATAGAAACTAAAAATAACATCTCAACATATGTCCGTGATTGCTTTTCAGAAACCCAGACTCTCACCAACTGAAAAATGTCATCTGCTGGCAGACCCCAGAAAAGAACTAATTCTGACTTCCATTCTTTGTTCTAAATTTCTTCCTGAGGGTCTTGGAGACAGCCACACCCACAGGCCAGATCTTAACATTTATCCCTGCTGACCCTAAGATTTTAGATGATGCTTCACTTCCTTAACCAATCACAAGTCAAAGAATCTGTGAATTCACCTATAACCTGTAAGCCTCTGCTTCCAGATATGTTACCCTTCTCAGCCAGGACAATGCATAATCTCCATGTGTTGATTTACAATTTTGCCTGTTTTTTGTTTGTTTGTTTTTGATGGAGTTTTGCTCTTGTTGCCCAGGTTGGAGTGCAATGGCATGATCTCGGCTCACTGCAACCTCTGCCTCCCAGGTTCAAACAATTCTCCTACCTCAGCCTCCCAAATAGCTGGGATTACAGGCATGTGCCACCCTGCCTGGCTAATTTTTGTATTTTTAGTAGAAATGGGATATCACCATGTTGGCCAGTCTGGTCTCAAACTCCTGACCAGATGTGATCTGCCCGCCTCAGCCTCCCAAAGTTCTGGGATTACAGGGCTGAGCCACTGCGCCTGGCCTAAAAACTCTAGTTTGTAAGTCATCGTGTAGGTCAGGTCTCAATGTGAGTTTCCCAATTATACTTGATTGATGCCTTGCAAATAAACACCCTCTTTTCTCTGACTGTAAAACCTCAGCGTATGATAGGGTTTGGCTGTGTCCCCATGCAAATCTCAACTTGAATTGTATCTCCCAGAATTCTCACATGTGGGAGGGACCCAGGGGGAAGTAATTGAATCATGGGGGCCAGTCTTTCTGGTGCTATTTTCATGATAGTGAATAAGTCTCACGAGATCTGATGGGTTTATCGGGGGTTTCTGCTTTTGCTGCTTTCTCATTTTCTCTTGCCGCTGCCATGTAAGAAGTGCCTTTCACCTCCCGACATAATTCTGAGGCCTTCTTAGCCATGTGGAACTTTAAGTCCAATGACACCTCTTTTTCTTCCCAGTCTTGGGTATGTCTTTATCAGCAGCATGAAAACAGACTGATACAGTAAATTGGTACGAGTAGAGTGGGGTGTCGCTGAAAAGATACCAGAAAATGTAGAAGTGACTTGGGAACTGGGTAACAGGCAGAGGTTGGAACAGTTTGGAGGGCTCAGAGGAAGACAGGAAAATGTGGGAAAGTTTCGAACTTCCTAAGACTTGTTGAATGGCTTTGCCCAAAATGCTGACAGCGATATGGATAATAAGGTCCAGGCTGAGGTGGTCTCAGATGGAGATGAACAACTTGTTGGGAACTGGAGTAAAGGTGACTCTTGTTATGTTTTAGCAAAGAAACTGGCAGCACTTTGCCCCTGCTCTAGAGATCTGTGGAAGTTTCAACTTGAGAAAGATGATTTAGGGCATCTGGTGGAAGAAATTTCCAAGCAGCAAAGCATTCAAGAGGTGGCTTAGGTACTGTTAAAGGCATTCAGTTTTATAAGGGAAGTGGAGCATAAAGGTTTGAAAAATCTGCAGCCTGACTATGCAATAGAAAAGAAAAACCCATTTTCTGGGGAGAAATTCAAGCTGGCTACAGAAATTTGCATAAGTAGCAAGGAGCTTAATGTTAATCCCCAAGATTATGGGGAAAATGTCTCCATTCAATGTCAGAGACCTTCACGGCAGCCCCTTTCATCACAGGCACAGAGTCCCAGGAGGAAAAAGTGGTTTTGTGGGTTGGGCCCAAGCCTCCATTGCTGTGTGCAGCCTAGGGACTTGGTGCCCTGTGTCCCAGCAGCTCTAGCCATTGCTGAAAGGGGCCAATTTTACAGCTCAGGCTGTGGCTTCAGAGGGTGGAAGCCCCAAGCCTTGGCAGCTTCACATGGTATTGAGCCTGCGGGTGCACAGAAGTCAAGAATTGAGGTTTGGGAACCTCCAACTAGATTTCAGAAGATGTATGAAAACATCTGGATGCCTAGGCAGAAGATTGCTGCAGAAGTGGGGCCCTCTTGGAGAACCTCTGCTAGAGCAGTGTAGAAGGGAAATGTGGGGTCAGAGCCCCTACACTGAGTCCATACTGAGGCACTGCCTAGTGGAGCTGTGAGAAGAGAGCCACCATCCTCCAGACCCCAGAATGGTAGATCCACTGACAGCTTGCACTGTGCACCTGGAAAAGCCAGACACCCAATGCCAGCCTGTGAAAGCAGCTGGGAAGGAGGCTATACCCTGAAAAGCCACAGGGATGGAGCTTTCTAGGACCATGGGAACCAACCTCTTGCATCGCCTGAACTGGATGTGAGACCTAGGGTCAAAGGAGATCATTTTGGAGCTTTAAAATTTGACTGCCTCACCGGGTTTTGGACTTGCATGGGCCCTGTAACTGCTTTGTTTTGTCCAATTCCTCCCATTTGGAATTCCAATACCTGTACCCCCATTATATCTAGGAAGTAACTAGCTTGTTTTTTATTTTACAGGCTCATAGGTGAAAGGGACTTGCCTTGTCTCAGATGAGATTTTGGACTGTGGACTTTTGGGTTAATGCTGAAATAAGTTAACACTTTGAGTGGCTGTTGGGAAGGCATGATTGGTTTTGTAATGTGAAGACAAGAGATTTGGAGAAGCCAGGCGTGGAATAACATGGTTTGACTCTGTCTCCACCCAAATCTCAACTTGAATTTTATCTCCCAGAATTCTCACTTGTAGTGGGAGGGACCCGGGGGAGGTAATTCAATCATGAGGGATGGTCTTTCCTGTGCTTTTCTCATGATAGTGAATAAGTCTCACAAGATCTGATTGATTTTTCAGAGGTTTCCACTTTTGCTTCTTCCTGATTTTCTCTTGATGCCACCATGTAAGAAGTGTCTTTCACCTCCTGCCATAATTCTGAGGCCTCCCCAGCCATTTGGAACTGTAAATCCAATTAAATCTCTTTTTTTTTCCCAGTCTCGGGTATGTCTTTATCAGCAGTGTAAAAACACACAGATATAGTGTAGAAGTTTGACTTTACTGTGCCAGGAAAGTAAACCAAAGTTTGGTTGAGTAACAAAATCAGAGTCCTGTGTACAGAATGGTTCAGCTGGGGTCCTCTGTTAAAAGTCTCAGAATGCTGAAATCAGAGTGTTGTCAGAAAAGCTGTGCCATTCCTAGAGGCTCTGGAGAAGAATCTGCTTCCAAGTTCATTTTGGTCGTTGGCTAAATTCAGTTCCTTGCAGTTGTAGGATGGAGGTCCCAATTTCCTCGCTTTTAATTGCTCTCAGATGCTAGAGACTGCTCTCATTTCTTCTCATGCTTTTCATGTGGTATGTTTTCCTGGAACAATTGAGTCCCTTTCATGCTTCGAATCTCTCTAATTTCTCTTCTGCCATCTCTCCTATGTCTTCCACTATATCTCTCCTACTTAGAGATTGAGCAAGTTCTCTGTTTTTATGGGCTCACATGGTAGATGAGACTCAGGGGATAATCTAGGATAATCTCCCTGTTTCAAGGTCTGAAACCTTAGCTTTATCTGAAAAGTCTCTTCTGCCATTTGTAAACCTAAAATAATAAAAATAATTAGAATCTAATTTAAACAGAGTTCATTCAAGTGCAAAGTGTGAGGGTAAATGTTCAGGGGGCAAAGCTATACCAAAAAATGGTGTTCAGTGCTCCCGGTATGGGAAAAAATAAGAACCATTTATACAGACAAAATGGAGGTGTCAAACAGAATTACAACATTTTCTATACAAAGGCTAAAATAGAGATATAAGATTTGATTCGCTACTATTGATTACATTCTAATGTAGTTGCTTAACATTGTATTGTAAAGCGGTAAATGTCACAAGGGTCTCTACCTTCATGTCATTTATAGGTTTGAATGAAAAATAGGGAGTCTTGTTAATGCAGGAAATTGCAACACAAAGGTCATGCACTAGATAAGAAAAATAGTTGTGCAATGTGAGTCAGCTTTCAGGGCTAACCTTTTCCTTTTAGCATAATACATTTGAAAGTTCCTGAAATTTTATCTTCTTCTTATACATTTAAGGTAACAGTCACAGATTCTTGGGATTCATGTGTAGACATGATTTGGGACCATTATTCACCTGCCACAATAAATAGTGGAATTTATTCCATTTTCTATTTAAAAATATAAAAGATTGACATATCTGTATTTTGTAGACTTCCTGATTATGCTAACTTTGCTTGATTGGATATATATTGACACTCAAGGAGATTGAGGTGCTACACATTCAGAGGATATTAAATCACAATGTGATCCTTTGGTATCTGATCCAAGTACCACAAAATTCTAAATTCAATTTCTAATAATTATTTCTAACTCTATACACACACACACACACACACACACACACACACACACACACGATATAATCATTCATATTAATGTGAGAAGCCTCTACTCATAACTACTTTGATATTATTTACTAGCTAAATAAATTTGAGCAGGTTGACTAATCTCTTTGTGCCTTGATTTTCCAACATATTTTACATAGGAAATAGTGGTAAATCTGCCTCATAGTGTTGTTAAGATTAATGGATTAATAATATATGTAAAGCACTTACAAAAGTACCTGGAGTATGACACATACTAAATGAATATTATTGTTTTATGTAAATCCAGTTTTGACAGACCTTAAAAATATTTAATTGCTCTAACATTAACAGTAATACATACAAAAATTCAAACAACACATAAATTAATAAAGACCCCCCCTATAATCTTCTGTTGAAGATATATGTGAATTTTAAAGTGATTTTACAGTTTTAGTGGGCCATTTTGGCATAGCTGCATAAAAATATTCTACATTGATCCAATGTAAGGTTATATGGCATGATTTGTAAATAAGGTCTGAGATATGCAGTTCTTTCCATTGCATCTCCCTATCAATATACACAAGCACTTTTGATGTAATGGTAAATTGGAGGTGGGTGGGGACTACATTCTATAGTCCTATATTTAGATCTCAGTCTTTTAGTGAGCCTGTATCCCTAGTTTGTGACCCTGACATGTACTTCTTGGTCATTTTTTTTCTCTCCTCTTTGGTGAGACAAAAAGATTATTAGGGGTATCCCCTTTTTCCCAAGTTGGTTAGACTCGGGTAAATAGTTTCTCTCGAGGACAGTCCTTATTAAGTAGAACAGAATAGTCTGAGCGCATTTCTTTTTATAATTGGAAAATGTTTATTTTTTTCCAATTTTATTTTACATTCAGTGGGTACATACGCAAGGGGGATGGGGAAAATAGCGATTTGAAATATGCTATTGTGAACGATGCTGCAATGAACAAAAGGGTGTATGTGTCTTTTTGGTAGAACACTTCATTTTTCTTTTGGTAGGTAAACCAAAAAGTATCTGAGAAGAGCGTCAATCAATTTAGAGGTTTACTTTGCCAAAGTTAAAAATTATAACCCACAGGAGGGCCTGAGAACATGTGCCCACAATGGTTGTGGGTAATAGCATGATGCTGAGGTTGAAAGTATGAAGAATCCATCAACCAGGTAGTGAGTATAGTATCCAATAGTTAGTCTTCTTACAACCCTTAACCCCTGCCATGTCCCCTTGGATTCCCCAGAGTGTATTGTTTCTATTTTTAAAACCATGTATACTGAGTGTTTAGTTCCCACTTATAAGTGAGAACACGTGGTACTTGGTTTTCTTTTTCTTCATTAATTTGCTTAGAAGAATAGTTTCCAGCTGCATCCATGTTGCTGCAAAGGACATAATTTTGAGCAGTTTAAAGATTTTTCAAAAAATGGGACGCGAATTACCATTAGACCCAGCAATCCCCCTACTGGGTATATACGTGCTGAACAAAATTAAAATTCTAAGTCCCCCAACTGACCGAATGGACCTTCTCTCAGCCAAGGGAACACAAAGAAACATAAAAAACTAGTTCAGAGCATGATAAGAAGTGGGAGTCAGACATACCTCACTATACTCTCATTTCTTTGGAGTTCAGGCACAACTAACTAGAATTAACATTAAAATAGAGATCCTAAGACTAACAGAAAAAAAAAACTCTTTGAAGCAATTAAATACCAACTCCAACCTGACTCTGTTATAACATCACAAGACAGATAACAGGCCTTAAAAGGAAATAAAATTATTTTAATTAGGTGGCTGGCAAGATAGCTCAATAGGAACAGCTCCAGTCTGCAGCTCCCAGCGAGATCAATGCAGAAGGCAGGTGATTTCTGCATTTCAAACTGAGGTACCTGGGTCATCTCATTGGGACTGGTTAGGCAGTGGGTGCAGTCCACGGAGGGTGAGTCAAAGCAGGGTGGGACGTCGCCTCACCCAGGAAGCACAAGGGGTTGGGGAACTCCCTCCCCTAGCCTACAGAAGCCATAAGGGACTGTGCCTTGAGGGACAGTGCATTCTGGCCCCCATACTACGCTTTTTCCACAGTCTTCACAACCCACAGACCAGGAGATTCCCTCAGATGCTTAGGCCACTAGGGCCCTGGGTTTCAAGCAAAAAACTGGGCGGCCATTTGGGCAGAAACCGACCTAGCTGCAGGATTTTTTTTTTTTTTTTAATATCCCAGTGGCACCTGGAATGCCAGCAAGACAGAACCATTCACTCCCCTGGAAAAAGGACTGAAGCCAAGGAGCTAAATGGTCTAGCTCAGAGGATCCTACCCCCACAGAGCCCAGCAAGAGAGGATCCATTTGCTTGAAATTCTTCCTGCCAGCACAGCAGTCTGAAGTTGACCTGAGATGCTCCAGCTTGGTGGGCGGAGGGGCATCTGCCAATACTGAGGCTTGAGTAGGCAGTTTTCCCCTCACAGTATAAACAAAGCTGCCGGGAAGTAGGAACTGGGCAAAGCCTACCACAGCTCTGCAAAGCTGATGTAGCCAGACAGCCTCTCTAGATTCCTCCTCTCTGGGCAGGGCATCACTGGAAGAAAGGCAGCAGCCACAGTCACGGGCTTATAGATAAAACTCCCATCTCCCTGTGACAGAGCACCTCGGGGAAGGGGCAGCTGTGGGCGCAGCTTCAGCAGACTTAAACGTTCCTGCCTGCTGGCTCTGAAAAGAGCAGCAGATCTCCCAGCATAGTGCTCGACCTCTGCTAAGGAACAGACAGCCTCCTCAAGTGTGTTCGTGAACCCTGTACCTCCTGTCTGGGAGACACTTCCCAGCAGGGGTCGACAGACACCTCATACAGGAGAGCTCTGGCTGGCATCTGGCGGGTGTCCCTCTGGGAAGAAGCTTCCAGAGGAAGAAACAGGCAGCAATCTTTGCTGGTCTGCAGCCTCCGCTGGTGATACCCAGGCAAACACGGTCTGGAGTGGACGTCCAGCAAACTCCAGCAGACCTGCAGCAGAGGGGCCTTTCAGAAGGAAAACCAACAAACAGAAAGGAATAACATCAACATAAACAACAAGAACGTCCACACAGAAACCCCATCCAAAGGTCACCAACATCAAAGACCAAAGGTAAATAAATCCACAAAGATGAAGAAGAAACAGTGCAGAAAGGCTGACAATTCCAAAAACCAGTACTCCTCTTCTCCAAAGATCACAACTCCTTGCCAGCAATGGAACAAAACTAGATGGAGAATGAGCTTGATAAATTGAAAGAAGTAGGCTTCAGAAGGTGGGTAATAACAAACACCTACAACCTAAAGAAGCAGGTTCTAACCCAATGCAAAAAAGCTAAGAACCTTGAAAAAAGGTTAGAGGAATTGCTAACTGGAATAACCAGTTTAGAGAAGAACATAAACGACCTGATGGAGCTGAAAACCACAGTATGAGAACTTCGTGAAACGTACACAAGTATCAATAGCTGAATCGATCAAGCGAAAGAAAGGATATCAGAGATTAAAGATAAACTTACTGAAATAAAGTGTAAAGACAAGATTAGAGAAAAAAATGAAAAGGAACAAAGCCTCCAAGAAATATGGGACTTTGTGAAAAAACCAAATCTATGTTTGATTGGTGTACATGAAAGTGACAGGGAGAATGGAAACAAGCTGGAAAACACTCTTCAGGATATTGTCCAGGAAAACTTCTGCAATCTAGCAAGACATGCCAAAATTCAAATTCAGGAAATACAAAGTACATCACAAAGATACTCCTCGAGAAGAGGAACCCAAAGACAAATATTCATCAGATTCACCAAGGTTGAAATGAAAGAAAAAATGTTAAGGGCAGCCAGAGAGAAAGGTTGGCTTACCCACAAAGGGAAGCCCATTGGACTAAGTGGATCTCTCTGCAGAAACCCTACAAGCCAGAAGAGAGTGGGGGCCACTATACAACATTCTTGAAGAAAAGAATTTTCCACCCAGAATTTCATATCCAGCCAAACTAAACTTCATAAGAAAAGAAGAAAAAAAAAATCCTTTACAGACAAGCAAATGCTGAGTGATTTTGTCACCACCAGGCCTGCCTTACAAGAGCTCTAGAAGGAAGTACTAAATATGGAAATGAAAAACCAGTACTAGCCACTGCAAAAACATACCAAATTTTAAATATCATTGACACCATGAAGAAACTGTATCAACTAATGGGCAAAATAACCAGCTAGCATCATAATGACAGGATCAAATTCACACATAACAATGGTACCCTTAAATGTAAACAGGATAAATGCCCCAACTAAGAGACACAGACTGGCAAATTGGATACAGAGTCAAGACCCATCAGTGTGGTGTATTCAGGAGACCCATCTCACATGCAAAGAAACTCATAGGCTCAAAATAAAGGGATGGAGAAATATTTACCAAGCAAATGGAAAATAAAACACAAGCAGAGGTTGTGATCCTAGTCTCTGATAAAACAGACTTTAAATAAACAAAGACCAACAAAGACAAAGAAGGGCATTACATAATAGTAAAAAATCAATGCAACAAAAAGAGCTAATATATATATATATATATATATATATAGACACACACCCACACACAAACACCCAATCACCCAATACAGGAGCACCCAGATTTATAAAGGAAGTTCTTAGAGACCTACAAAGAGACTTAGACTCCCACACAATAATAGTGAGAGACTTTAACACCCCACTGTCAATATCAGACAGATCAACAAGACAGAAAATTAACAATGATATTCAGGACTTGAACCCAGATCTGGACCAAGCAGACCTAAGAGACATCTACAGAACTCTCCACCTCAAATCAACAGCATAAACATTCTTCTCTGCACCACATCACACATATTCTAAAATTGACCACATAACTGGAAGTAAAATACTCCTCAGCAAATGTAAAAAAATGGAAATCATAAAAAGTCTCTCAAACCACAGTGCAATCAAATTAGCACTCAGGATTAAGAAAGTCACTCAAAACCCCGCATCTACATAAAAACTGAACAACCTGTTCCTGAATAACTACTGGGTAAACAACAACATTAAGGAAGAAATAAATAATTTCTTAGAAAACAATGACAACAAAGACACAACGTACCACACTCTCTGGGACACAGCTAAAGCAGTGTTTAGAGAGAAATTTATAGCACTAAATTCCTACAGGAGAAAGCAGGAAAGATCTAAAATTGACATCCTAACATCACGATTAAAAGAATTAGAGAAGTAAGAGCAAACAAATTCAAAACCTAGCAGAAGACAAGAAATAACTAAGATGAGAGCAGAACTGAAGGAGATAGAGACATGAAAAACCCTTAAAAATCAATGAATCCAGGAGGTGGCTTTTTGAAAAGATTAACAAAATAGATGGACCACTAGCCAGACTAATAAAAAAGAAAAGAGAGAAGAATCAAATAGACACAATAAAAATGAAAAAGGGGATATCACCACTGATCCCACAGAAATACAAACTACCATCAGAGAATACACTACACACCAGGAAGAAATCGAATCCCTGAGTTCACCAATAACAAGTTCTGAAATCGAGGCAGTAATTAATAGCCTACCAACCAAAATGAGCCCAGGACAAGATGGATTCACAGCCAAATTCGACCAGAGGTACAAAGAGGAGCTGGTACCATTCCTTCTGAAACCATTCCAAACAATAGAGAAAGAGGGACTCTTCCCTGACTTATTTTATGAGGCCAACGTCATAGTGACACCAAAACCTGGGAGAGACACAACAAAAAAAGAAAATTTCAGGCCAATATCCCTGATGAACATCGAGGCGAAAATCCTCAATAAAATACTGGCAAACTGAATCCAGCAGCACATCAAAAAGCTTATGTACCACGATCAATTTGGCTTCATCCCTGGGATGCAAGGCTGGTTCAACATATGCAAATCAATAAACATAATTCATCATATAAATATAAACAATGACAAAAACCACATGATTACCTCAATAGATGCAGAAGAGGCCTTTGATAAAATTCAACACCCCCTCAAGCTAGAAACTCTGAATAAACTAGGTATTGATGCAACATATCTCAAAATAATA
Source organism: Homo sapiens (assembly GCF_000001405.40). Classification (NCBI taxonomy): domain Eukaryota; kingdom Metazoa; phylum Chordata; class Mammalia; order Primates; family Hominidae; genus Homo; species Homo sapiens. The sequence continues at coordinate 56,593,868 of NC_000023.11, read as the reverse complement.
AGAGCTATTTTTGACAAACCCACCGCCAATATCATACTGAATAGGCAAAAGCTGGAAGCATTCCCTTTGAAAACCAGCACAAGACAAGGATGCTGTCTCTCACCACTCCTACTAAACATAGTATAGGAAGTTCTGGACAGGGCAATCAGGCAAGAAAAAGAAATAAAGGGTATTCAAATAGGAAGAGAGAAGTCAAATTGTCTCTGTTTGCAGATGACATGACTGTATATTTAGAAAACCCCATCATTTCAGCCCAAAATCTCCTTAAGCTGAGAAGCAACTTCAGCAAAGTCTCAGGATACAAAATAAATGTGCAAAAATCACAAGCATTCCTATGCACCAATAACAGACAGAGAGCCAAATCATGAGTGAACTCCCATTCACAATTGCTACTAAGAGAGTAAAATACCTAGGAATACAACTTACAAGGGATATGAAGGACCTCTTGAAGTAGAACTACAAACAACTGCTCAAGGAATTAAGAGAGGACACAAACAAATGAAAAAGCATTCCATGCTCATGGATAAGAAGAATCAATGTCGTGAAAATGGCCATAATCCCCAAAGTAACTTATAGATTCAATGCTATCGCCATCAAGCTACTATTGACTTTCTTCACAGAATTAGAAAAAAAAAATTACTTTAAATTTCATATGGAACCAAAAAAGAACCCATATAGCCAACACAACCCTAAGCAGAAAGAACAAAGCTGGAGGCATCACACTACCTGACTTCAAGCAATACTACAACACTGCAATAACCAAAAGAGCATGGTACGGGTACCAAATCAGATATATAGACCGATGGAACAGAATAGAGGCCTCAGAAATAATGCCACACATCTACAACCATCTGATCTTTGACAAAACTGACAAAAACAAGCAATGGAGAAATGATTCTATATTTAATAAATGGTGTTGGGAAAACTGGCTAGCTATATGCAGAAAACTGAAACTGGACCCTTTCCTTACAGCTTATACAAAAATTAAGTCAAGATGGACCCTTTCCTTACAGCTTATACAAAAATTAAGTCAAGATGTATTAAAGACTTAAACCTAAGTCCTAAAACCATAAAAACCCTAGAATAAAACCTAGGCAATACCATTCAGGACATAGGCATAAGCAATCACTTCATGGCTAAAACACCAAAAGCAATTTCAACCAAAGCCAAAATTGACAAATGGGATCTAATTAAACTAAAGAGCTTCTGCAGAGCAAAATAAATTATCATCAGAATGAACAGGCAATCTACAGAATGGGAGAAAATTTTTGCCATCTATCCATCTGACAAAGGGCTAATATCCAGAATCTACAAAGAACTTAAACAAATTTACAAGAAATAAACAACCCCATCAAAAAGTGGGTGAAGAATATGAACAGATACTTCTCAAAAGAAGACATTTATGTGGCCAACAAACATACGAAAAAATGCTCATCATCACTGGTCATTAGAGAAATGAACATCAAATCCTCAAGGAGATACCATCTCACGCCAGTCAGAATGGTGATCATTAAAAAGTCAAGAAACAACAGATGCTGGAGAGGATGTAGAGAAATAGGAATTCTTTTACACTGTTGGTGGGAGTGTCAATTAGTTCAACCACTGTGGAAGACAGTGTGGCGATTCCTCAAGGATCTAGAACCAGAAATACCATTTGACCCAGCAATCCCATTACTGGGTATATACCCAAAGGATTATAAGTCATTATACTATAAAGACACATGCACATGTATGTTTATCGCAGCAGTGTTCATAATAGCAAAGACCTAAATGCCCATCAATGATAGATTGGATAAAGAAAATGTGGCACATATACAATGTGGAATACTATGCAGCCATAAAAAAGGATGAGTTCATATCCTTTGCAGGAACATGGATTAAACCATAATTATCAGCAAACTAACACAGGAACAGAGAACCAAACACCGCATGTTCTCACTCATAAGTGGGAGGTGAACAATGAGAACACATGGACACAGGTAGGGGAACATCACACACTGGGGCCTGTCAGGGGGTGGGGTCCTAGGGGAGGGATAGCATTAGGAGAAATACCTAATATAGATGATGGGTTGATGGGTGCAGCAAACCACCATGGCATGTGTATACCTATGTAACAAACCTGCATGTTCTGCACATGTATCCCAGAACTTAAAGTATAATTAAAAAAATTGAAAAATGGGATCTAATTAACTAAGGATCTTCTTTATAGCAAAAAAACCTATCAACAGAGTAATCAGACCACCTACATAATCAGAGAAAATGTTTGAAAACTATGCATCTGAGAAAGGTTTAATATCCAGAATCTATAAGGAAATCAAACCAATCAACAAGCAATAATCAAAAACCTCCATTAAAAATGGGCAAAGGACATGAAGAGACCCTTTTAAAAGAAAGACATACATGCAGCCAACAAGCATATGAAACAAATGCACAACATCACTAACAATTAGACAAAATGCAACTGAAAACCACAATAAGATATCATCTCACACCATTCAGAATGGCTACTTTTAAACCACCAAAAAATAACAAATGCTACCAAGGTTGTAGAGAAACGTGAAGGCTTATGCACTGCTGGTGCAAATACATATCAATTTATCCATTGTGGAAAGCAGTTTGGTGTTTTTTCAACGAACATAAAAACAACTACCATTCTACCCAGCAATCCCATTATTGAATATATATCCAGAATATAAATTGTTCTACCATAAAGATAAAGGCACACATATGTTCATTTGCAGCACTATTCACAATAGCGAAGACATGGAATTTACCTAAGTTCTCATTAATGGTAGACTAGGTAAAGACAATGTGGTACATAATGCATCGTGGAATACTACACAGCCATAAAAAAGAGAATGAGACCATGTCCTTTCCAACAACATTTATGGAGCTGGAGGCCATTATCCTAAGCAAACTAATGTTGCAACAGAAAAACCAAATACTTCATATTCCCATTTATAAATGGGAGCTGAACATTGAGTAAAAACAGAAGCCAACAAAAGACACCAGGGCCCATTTGAGGGTAGAAGGTGGGAGGAGGGTAATGATCCAAAAGCTACCTATCATATACTATGCTTATTACCTGGGTAACAAAATTTGTATATCAAACCCCTGTGACATGCAATTTACCTGTATAACAAACCTGTACTTCTACCCCTGTAGGTAAAATAATAGTTAAAAAGAGAAAAGAAAAAGTTAGAGATAACAAAAATCTCAAGACTTGAGGAATAAAGTCATTTAAACTTTAAAAGTTTAAAAGTCATTAAAATGTCATTCAGAGTAGGAGAACATGGTATCCTCCCCTTGGGTCTCAAATATTTAAGTGGGGTTTATTGCCTGCGAGTCTCCTGCATAGATTAATTACTGGACTTCGGGGAAAAAGGGAGAAGGATACTGAACACTGACCTTCATGAATTCTGAGTTCCCCATACCAGCTATATACTGATCAACCTTGATGTATGAATGTAAGCAATTGATAAAAATCTTAGTACCCACAGGAGGATAATTAACAAAGCAAAAAAAATTTAAATGCACAAATTCCAAATGAAATATAGCAAATCAAATATAGGAATATACTTCAAGAATAAGACCCCATGATGAAGTTTAGGCCAAGAGCAAAAGGATAAGTCAACATACAAATAAAGTAATTTAACACATTAATATGTCAAAAAGGAATTTTTATATATATATGTTTATTCTGATAGATGACAAAAAAAATTTAATAAAATTGAGTATCTCCCTGACTTGAAAAAAATGGTAACTGTGGAATTCCAAAAAGTAAATTTTCTTTATTTTATAAATAGCATTTATGTGAACTCAAGTACAAATATATTTAAAGTTAAAACACAAAATTCATTTCTAATAAAAGCAAGAGCAAGAGAAACATGTTTCCTTTTCACTCTATTAGCCAACAGTATTCTGAAAGCTGTAAGTAATACAATACAAAAAGGGAAAATAAAGAGAGATAAATTCAATCAATGAACATCAACATTTCTACATACTAGCAATAACCAAGTAGGAAATGTAATAAGGAGAAAAGTTGCCATTATCAATAACAGCTATAAAATATCTAGAAATAATCCTGAGAATCTCTAACAACATAAAGGTACAAAAAATACATAAAGAACACTATGAAACTTAAGTGAAGGACATAAAATAAAGACAAATGTAGAAACTTATCATATCCCTTGATGAGAAAATGTAATTCTGCCAGAATCTTAATTTTTCCTATATAATTCTACGTATTTAACACAACTTCTCTCAGAATCCAGTGTTGAGAAAGAAATAGGAATTCTACATTTTTTTTGGCAGGGTCTAAATGAGTACAGCCATTCTGAAGGGTAATTTGGTATTATCTATTTTTTAAATCTGCAAACATTTTTATCCAGAATTCCATTTCTAGAAATTCATCTAACAAAAATAACTAAAGAAATGACTTACGTTGAATGTAGAATTATAATAACTGGAGTCATGTTTATCAGCAAATATATAGAATAGCCTAAAGTTCATTAATAGAGATTAATAAGTGATGGTATATTCATGCATTGAAATATTTCTTACATTTTAGTATTATGTAACTACTGGAAAGAATGAAGCAAATCTCTGTTTACTGACTTGGAAAAAATTATACATATATGTTAACTAGTGTTAACATGTTCCCCCCACTCTCCCTTTGCTCCAGGAACTGAAATCTAGGAATCGAATGTGGGTGAGGAAAAAGCTTGGAGACACTGTGAGGGAAAGACACTTGGAAAAGCTGCAGACATTTTCCCAGACCCAGAATTGAGAGCAGGATGCCACTTTTAACACCAGTGCATACAAACTCAGCCATTCCTTGGTGACGCAGCAGCGTGTCTGCACAGGCATTTCAGTCTCGGGCCAGAGACTAGAGTACCTGCTCTGGAGCAGGATAGGGGCCTCCACAGCCAGTACTGTGGAAAGTGCCTTAGCAGTAGGCACTGGAATTGTGCTTTCCCCGTTACTAGTCTGGATGGGAGGAGAATTATTACAGCTGTAGTTTCTCCTGGACAGTGACATGCAGCCAGGGCCTGCTTGACAACTTGAAACTGATCTGTGTGTGTCATTTCTGGGTCCACCACCCTGTTCCCCTGAGATCGTGGTGCAGGGAGGCCTCTCTGCTCCACAACCAGGCAGAATTGCAGGCATATGGAACACCTGTGTACCTGGTTCAGCGGCCTGAACCACCCCACCCTTCCTGGACATAGATCTTGGTGCAGTGTGGCTCTGCTCCGTGATCATGCGGACCTCCAGGCATTCAGAGCAATTGTTCACCTGGTCCAGCAGCCTGAACTGTCCCACCCTTCCTGAACATAGACATGGTTTAGCAGGGCTCTCTCTGCTCCACACCCAGGCAGATTTCTAGGTATCTGAAGTACCCATTTGCCTGGTTCGGCAGCCTGAGCCACGCCACCCTTCATGGACATAGATCTTGATGCAGTAGGGCTCTGTCTGCTCCATGCCCAGGCAGATCTCCAGACATCTAGAACACTCACTCTCCTGGAATAGGAGCTTAGGCTACCTCTTATCTCCATGCAGAGAGTATTTGGAGCCAAAGAGGTTTCCTAGCTCCATGCCCAGGCAAACCTCTGGAGGCCTGCTGGCCACCCACTGGACTTTCCCCTGGCACTGGTGCTTGTGTCTGCCATCAGGGGACCAGCAGGTGGAATTGCCCAGTCTGGCCCCACCATTCATGGCTCCCATCCCACCAGGGCTAAGCAGGGATCTCAGATCTCTGCGCAGTCTACCAATCAGCCCAATGCCTGAGGCAACAGAGAGCTGATAGTAAACAAGGATTAAGTATATACCTAGCCTCCTTGGCTATAGCTAACTGTTACATATAAGTGCCATCTATAGGCTTATAGGACAAACTGTACAGCCCAATATAAAGCCTGCTGAAAGAAGTGCACAGGGCTATAGAAGCAAAGCCAAAAGAACTTACCCAGCATTCTCTACAGTAAGGGAAAGAAAAAAACATTTCTTTAAAAACTTTTAAAAAAACACAGTGAAAGAAAAAAATCTTACCCCCAAATTAGAAGTGCTAGCAAATCCAAATGAAGAGAAACCAGCATAAGAATCCTGGCACTATGAAAAATCTGAATGTAGTGAAACCACCAAAAGATTGCACTAGCCTTTCAGCAATGATCCTTAACCAAAATGGAAACTCACAGATTCGGGAGCCAAGATGGCCGAATAGGAACAGCTCCAGTCTACAGCTCCCAGCATGAGCGATGCAGAAGATGCGTGATTTCTGCATTTCCATCTGAGGTACCGGGTTCATCTCACTAGGGAGTGCCAGACAGTGGGCGCAAGACAGTGGGTGCAGCACACCGTGCACCAGCCAAAGCAGGGCGAGGCATTGCCTCACTCGGGAAGCGCAAGGGGACAGGGAGTTCCCTTTCCTAGTCAAAGAAAGGGGTGACAGACGGCACTTGGAAAATGGGGTCACTCCCACCCTAATACTTCGCTTTTCAGACGGGCTTAAAAAATGGTGCACCAGGAGATTATATCCCGCACCTGGCTCAGACGGTCCTACGCCCATGGAGTCTCACTGATTGCTAGCACAGCAGTCTGAGATCAAACTGCAAGGTGGCAGCAAGGCTGGGGGAGGGGCACCCGCCATTGCCCAGGCTCGCTTAGGTAAACAAAACAGCCAGGAAGCTCGAACTGGGTGGAGCCCACCACAGCTCAAGGAGGCCTGCCTGCCTCTGTAGGCTCCACCTCTGTGGGAAGGGCACAGACAAACAAAAAGACAGCAGTAACGTCTGCAGACTTAGATGTCCCTGTCTGACAGCTTTGAAGAGAGCAGTGGTTCTCTCAGCATGAAGCTGGTGATCTGAGAATGGGCAGACTGCCTCCTCAAGTGGGTCCCTGATCCCTGAACCACGAGCAGCCTACCTGGGAGGCATCCCCCAAGTAGGGGCAGACTGACACTGCACATGGCCGGGTACTCCTCTGAGACAAAACTTCCAGAGGAACGATCAGACAGCAGCATTTTTGGTTCACAAAAATCCCCTGTTCTGCAGCCACCGTTGCTGGTACCCAGGCAAATAGGGTCTGGAGTGGGCCTCTAGCAAACTCCAACAGACCTGCAGCTGAAGGTCCTGTCTGTTAGAAGGAAAACTAACAAACAGAAAGGACATCCACACCAAAAACCCATCTGTACATCACCATCATCAAAGACCAAAAGTAGATAAAACGACAAAGATGGGGAAAAAATAGAGCAGAAAAACTGGAAACTCTAAAAAGCAGAGCGCCTCTCCTCCTCCAAAGGAACACAGCTCCTCACCAGGAACGGAACAAAGCTGGACGGAGAATGACTTTGACGAGTTGAGAGAAGAAGGCCTCAGACAATCAAACTAATCTGAGCTACAGGAGGAAATTCAAACCAAAGGCAAGGAAGTTGAAAATTTGAAAAAAATTTAGATAAATGTATAACTAGAATAACCAATACAGAGAAGTGCTTAAAGGAGCTAATGGAGCTGAAAGCCAAGGCTCAAGAACTACGTGAAGAATGCAGAAGCCTCAGGAGCCAATGCGATCAACTGGAAGAAAGGGTATCAGTGATGGAAGATGAAATGAATGAAATGAAGTGAGAAGGAAAGTTTAGAGAAAAAAGAATAAAAAGAAACGAAAAAAGCCTCCAAGAAATATGGGACTATGTGAAAAGACCAAATCTACGTCTGATTGGTGTACCTGAAAGTGACAGGGAGAATGGAACCAAGATGGAAAACACTCTGCAGGATATTATCCAGGAGAACTTCCCCAATCTAGCAAGGCAGGCCAACATTCAGATTCAGGAAATACAGAGAATGCCACAAAGATACTTATTGAGAAGAGCAACTCCAAGACACATAATTATCAGATTCACCAAAGTAGAAATGAAGGAAAAAATGTTAAAGGCAGCCAGAGAGAAAGGTCGGGTTACCCACAAAGGGAAGCCCATCAGACTAACAGCAGATGTCTCGGCAGAAACTCTACAAGCCAGAAGAGACTGGGGGCCAATATTCAGCATTCTTAAAGAAAAGAATTTTCAACCCAGAATTTCATATCCAGCCAAACTAAGCTTCATAAGTGAAGGAGAAATAAAATCCTTTACAGACAAGCAAATGCTGAGAGATTTTTTCACCACCAGGCCTGCCCTAAAAGAACTCCTGAAAGAAGCACTAAACATGGAAAGGAACAACCAGTACCAGTCACTGTAAAATCATGCCAAATTGTAAAGACCATCGAGGCTAGGAAGAAACTGCATCAACTAACGAGCAAAATAGCCAGCTAACATCATAATGACAGGATCAAATTCACACATAACAATATTAACTTTAAATGTAAATGGACTAAATGCTCCAATTAAAAGATATAGACTGGCAAATTGGATAAAGAGTCAAGACCCATCAGTGTGCTGTATTCAGGAAACCCACCTCACATGCAGAGACACACATAGGCTCAAAACAAAAGGATGGAGGAAGATCTACCAAGCAAATGGAAAACAAAAAAGGGCAGGGGTTGCAATCCTAGTCTCGGATAAAACAGACTTTAAACCAACAAAGATCAAAAGAGACAAAGAGGGACATTACATAATGGTAAAGGGATCAATTCAACAAGAAGAGCTAACTATCCTAAATATATATGCACCCAATACAGGAGCACCCAGATTCATAAAGCAACTCCTGAGTGACCTACAAAGAGACTTAGACTCCCACACATTAATAATGGGAGACTTTAACACCCCACTGTCAACATTAGACAGATCAACGAGACAGAAAGTCAACAAGGATACTCAGGAATTGAACTCAGCTCTGCACCAAGAGGACCTAACAGACATCTACAGAACTCTCCACCCCAAATCAACAGAATATACATTTTTTCCAGCACCACACCACACCTATCCCAAAATTGACCACATAGTTGGAAGCAAAGCTCTCCTCAGCAACTGTAAAGAACAGAAATTATAACAAACTATCTCTCAGACCACAGTGCAATCAATCTAGAACTCAGGATTACAAAACTCAGTCAAAACCGCTCAACTACATGGAAACTGAACAACCTGCTCCTGAATGACTACTGGGTACATAATGAAATGAAGGCAGAAATAAGGATGGTCTTTCAAACCGATGAGAACAAAGACACAACATACCAGAATCTCTGGGACACATTCAAAGCAGTGTGTAGAGGGAAACTTATAGCACTAAATGCCCACAAGAGAAAGCAGGAAAGATCTAAAATTGACACCCTAACATCACAATTAAAAGAACTAGAAAAGCAAGAGCAAACACATTCAAAAGCTAGCAGAAGGCAAGAAATAACTAAAATCAGAGCAGAACTGAAGGAAATAGAGACACAAAAAACCCTTCAAAAAATTAATGAATCGAGGAGCTGGTTTTTTGAAAGGATCAACAAAATTGATAGACCACTAGCAAGACTAATAAAGAAGAAAAGAGAGAAGAATCAAATAGATGCAATAAAAAATGATAAAGGGGATATCACCACTGATTCCACAGAAATACAAACTACCATCAGAGAATACTACAAACACCTCTACACAAATAAACTAGAAAATCTAGAAGAAATGGATAAATTCCTTGACACATGCACCCTCCCAAGACTAAACCAGGAAGAAGTTGAATCTCTGAATAGACCAATAACAGGCTCTGAAATTGTGGCAATAATCAATACCTTACCAACCAAAAAGAGTCCAGGACCAGATGGATTCACAGCCAAATTCTACCAGAGGTATAAGGAGGAACTGGTACCATTGCTTCTGAAACTATTCCAATCAACAGAAAAAGAGGATTCCCTACCTCATTTTAGGAGGCCAGCATCATCCTGATACCAAAGCCAGGCAGAGACACAACCAAAAAAGAGAATTTTAGACCAATATCCTTGATGAACATTGATGCAAAAATCCTCAATAAAATACTGGCAAACCGAATCCAGCAGCACATCAAAAAGCTTATCCACCATGATCAAGTGGGCTTCATCCATGGGATGAAAGGCTGGTTCAATATATGTAAATCAATAAATGTAATCCAGCATATAAACAGAACCAAAGACAAAAACCACATGATTATCTCAATAGATGCAGAAAAGGCCTTTGACAAAATTCAACAACGCTTCATGCTAAAAACTCTCAATAAATTAGGTATTGATGGGACATATCTCAAAAGAATAAGAGCTATCTATGACAAACCCACAGCCAATATCATACTGAATGGGCAAAAACTGGAAGCATTCCCTTTGAAAACTGGCACAAGACAGGGATGCCCTCTCTCACCACTCCTATTCAACATAGTGTTGGATGTTCTGGCCAGGGCAATTAGGCAGGAGAAGGAAATAAAGGGTATTGGATTAGGAAAAGAGGAAGTCAAATTGTCCCTGTTTGCAGATGACATGATTGTATATCTAGAAAACCCCATTGTCTCAGCCCAAAATCTCCTTAGGCTGATAAGCAACTTCAGCAAAGTCTCAGGATACAAAATCAATGTACAAAAATCACAAGCATTCTTATACACCAATAACAGACAAACAGAGAGCCAAATCATGAGGGAACTCCCATTCACAATTGCTTCAAAGAGAATAAAATACCTAGGAATCCACCTTACAAGGGATGTGAAGGACCTCTTCAAGGAGAACTACAAACCACTCCTCAAGGAAATAAAAGAGGATACAAACAAATGGAAGAACATTCCATGCTCATGGGTAGGAAGAATCAATATCGTGAAAATGGCCATACTGCCCAAGGTAATTTATAGATTCAATGCCATCCCCATCAAGCTACCAATGACTTTCTTCACAGAATTGGAAAAAACAACTTTAAAGTTCATATGAAACCAAAAAAGAGCCCGCATCGCAAAGTCAATCCTAAGCCAAAAGAACAAAGCTGGAGGCATCATGCTACCTGACTTCAAACTATACTACAAGGATACAGTAACCAAAACAGCATGGTACTGGTACCAAAACAGAGATATAGATCAATGGAGCAGAACAGAGCCCTCAGAAATAACACCGCTTATCTACAACTATCTGATCTTTGACAAACCTGAGAAAAACAAGCAATGGGGAAAGGATTCCCTATTTAATAAATGGTGCTGGGAAAACTGGCTAGACATATGTAGAAAGCTGAAACTGGATCCCTTCCTTACACCTTATACAAAAATTAATTCAAGATGGATTAAAGACTTAAACGTTAGACCTAAAATCATAAAAATCCTAGAAGAAAACCTAGGCATTACCATTCACGACATAGGCATGGGCAAATACTTCATGTCTAAAACACCAAAAGCAATGGCAACAAAAGCCAAAATTGATAAATGGGATCTAATTAAACTCAAGCGCTTCTGCACAGCAAAAGAAACTACCATCAGAGTGAACAGGCAACCTACAAAATGGGAGAAAATTTTCGCAACCTACTCATCTGACAAAGGGCTAATATCCAGAATCTACAATGGACTCAAACAAATTTACAAGAAAAAAACAAACAACCTCATCAAAAAGTGGGCGAAGGACATGAACAGACACTTCTCAAAAGAAGACATTTATGCAGCCAAAAAACACATGAAAAAATGCTCACCATCACTGGCCATCAGAGAAATGCAAATCAAAACCACAATGAGATATCATATCACACCAGTTACAATGGCAATCATTAAAAAGTCAGGAAACAACAGGTTCTGGAGAGGATGTGGAGAAATGGGAACACTTTTACACTGTTGGTGGGACTGTAAACTAGCTCAACCATTGTGGAAGTCAGTGTGACGATTCCTCAGGGATCTAGAACTAGAAATACCATTTGACCCAGCCATCCCATTACTCGGTATATACCCAAAGGACTATAAATCATGCTGCTATAAAGACACATGCACACGTATGTTTATTGCGGCACTATTCACAATAGCAAAGACTTGTAACCAACCCAAATGTCCAACAATGATAGACTGGATTAAGAAAATGTGGCACATATACAGCATGGAATACTATGCAGCCATAAAAAATGATGAGTTCATGTCCTTTGTAGGGACATGGATGAAATTGGAAATCATCATTCTCAGTAAACTATTATCGCAAGAAGAAAAAACCAAACACCGCATATTCTCACTCATAGGTGGGAATTGAACAATGAGAACACATGAACACAGGAAGGGGAACATCACACTCTGGGGACTGTTGTGGTGTGGGGGGAGGGGGAAGGATAGCTTTAGGAAATATACCTAATGCTAAATGACGAGTTAATGGGTGCAGCACACCAGCATGGCACATGTATAAATATGTAACTAAACTGCACATTGTGCACATGTACCCTAAAACTTAAAGTATAATAATAATAAAAAAAGGAAACTCAGAAGTGACAGATGAAGAATTCAAAACATGGATGGCAAGAAAGCTCAGTGAGATGCAAGACAAGGCTGAAAATCAATAAAAATAAACTTCTAAAGCAATTCAGGAAAGGAAGAGACAAACATCTTAGAAATAAATCAGAGTTTCTCAAATTGAAAAACTCACTTAAGGAATTTCAAAATACAACTGAAAACTTCATTAATAAACTGGACCAAGCAGAAGAAATGATTTTGGAGCTTGAAGATGAGTCTTTTGAGCTAACCCAGTCTGATAAAAATGAAAAAGTAATTTTTTAGAATGAGCAAAGCCTTTGAGAGCTATGGGATTATGCAACATGACCAAATCTACAAATTATTGTAATTCCTGAGAAGAGAAGAGAAAAAGCAAACAAGTTGGAAAATATATTTGAGGGAATAATTCAAGAAAACTTCCATTATCTTGCTAGAGAGGTAGACATCCAGGTACAAGAAATACAGAGAACACCTGTGAGATAGTGAACACCACAAAGGCATAAAGTAACCAGAATGTTCAAGGTATACAATAAAGAAAAAACCTTGAAAGCAGTTAGAGAAGGGCACATCACATAAAAAGGGAATCCCATCAGTCTAACAGTGGACTTATCAGCAGAAACCTTACATGCCAGAAGATATGGGGGGCCCATTTTCATCATTTTTAAAGAAAAGAAAGTCCAATGAAGAATTTCATATTCTAGCAAACTAAGCTTCGTAACCTAAGGAGAAATAAAATATTTTCCAGACAAGCAAGCACAAAGAAAATTTGTTACTACTGGACCATACTTACAAGAGATCCTTAAGGGAGTTCTAATCATGGAAAGAAAAGTATGATACCCACTACCACAAAAACATACTTAACATACTTAAACATACTTAAGTACATAGCCCGCAGGCCCTACAAAACCCAATATAAATTAAAAAGTAACCAGCTGACAGTCTCACAATAGGATCAAACCTCACATATCAACATTAGCCTTGAATGTAAATGGTCTAAATACCCCACTTAAGAGGCATGGAGTGACAAGTTGGATAAAATACAAGAGGCAACCGTCTGCTGTCTCGAAGAGACCCATCTCACATGTAATGATACCCAAAGGCTCAAAGTAAAAAGGTGAAAAAGTACAACATAAATGGAAAAAAAATAGAGCAGACATCATTATTATTGTATCACGTAAGGTAGACTTTAAGAACAGGAAAAAGGACAAAGAAGGACATTACATAATGATAAAGTGTTCGATTCAATAAGAAGACTGAACTATCCTAAATATATATGCACTCAACATCAGAAAATCCCAATTCATAAAAGAAGGACTTCTAAGACCTACATGTAGACTTACAAAGCCACACAATAATAGTGGTGAACTTCAACACTCCACAAACAGCATTAGACAGATCATTGAGACAGAAAACTAACAGAGAGATTCTGAACTTAAACTAGTCGCTTGACCAATTGGACCTAATAGATATCTACAAAATATTCCACCCATCAACCATAGAACATGCATTCTCATCTGCACACAGAACATAGTCCACGATTATTACACAGAACATGCTCAGCCATAAATCAAACATCATTAAGTTCAAAAAAATCAAAATTATATCAACCATACTCTTGTACCGCAATGGAATAAATATAGAAATTAATACCAAGAAGCTCTCTCAAAACCACTCAATTACATAAAAATTAAACAATTTGCTCCTGAATGACTTTTGGGTAAACAATAAAATCAAGGCAAAAAATCAAAAAATTAGTTGAAATAAATGAAAACAGAGACAGAACATTCGAAAATCTCTAGATGCAGCAAAAGCGGTGTTAAGAGGAAAGTTTATAGCATTAAATGCCTACCTCAAAAGTTGGAAAGATCTCAAATTAACAATCTAACATCACACCTAGAAGAACTAGAAAAACAAGGAAAAAATGAAGCCCAAAGCTAGCAGAAGAAAAGAAAGAACTAAAACCACAGTGGAGCTGAATGAAATTGAAACAAAAAAATTCATACAAAGAATCAACAAAACCAAAAGTTGGTTCTTTGAAAGGACAGGCTGCTAGCTAGATTAAGAAGGAAAACAAGAGAATATCCAAAGAAGCACAATCAGAAACAACAAAAGTGACATTATAACTGATCCCACAGAAATACAAAAAATCCTCAGAGACTATTAAAAACCCCACTGGCCGGGCACGGTGGCTCATGCCTGTAATCCCAGCACTTTGGGAGGCCGAGGTAGGCGGATCACAAGGTCAGGAGTTCGAGACCAGCCTGGCCAACATGGTGAAACCCCATCTCTAGTAAGAATGCAAAAATTAGCTGGGCGTGGTGGTGGGTGCCTGTAATCCCAGCTACTTGGGAGGCTGAGACAGCAGCATCGCTTGAACCCTGAAGACGGAGGTTGTAGTGAGCTGAGATCATGCCACTACAATCCAGTCTGGGTGACAGAGCAAGACTCTGTCTCCAAAAACAAAAAACAAAAACAAAAAAACAGCCCTCTACACATACAAGCTACAAGCTAGAAAATGTAGGAAAAAAAAAAGGTTAATTATGGAAACACAGTCTCCCAAGATTGAATTAGGAAGAAATTGAAACACTGAACAGACCAATATCAAGTTCCAAAATTTAATCAGTAATAGAAAACCTACAAACATAATAAAGCACTGCATGAGAAGGATTCATATCTGAATTCAAAAGACACACAAAGAAGAGCTGGAAACAATTCCATTAAACTATTTCCAAAACCAAGGAAGAGAAACTCCTCCCCAACTTATTCCACAAAGCCAGCATCGCCCTGGTACCAAATCTAGCAAAGACACAACAAAAACAATACTACAGGCCAATATCGCTGATGAATGTAGACCAAAAAGATCCTCAGCAAAATATCAGCAAACAGCTCATCAAAAAGTTAATTCACCATGAACAAGTAGGCTACATTCCTGGGATGCAAGTTTGGTTCAACATATACAAATCAATAAGCATGATCCACAACATAAACAGAATCAAAAACAAAAACCATATGATCATCTCTATAGACAGGGAAAAAGCTTTTGATAAAATCTAATATCCCTTCACGCTAAAAACAAAACAAAACAAAAACCTCTCCAAGAAACCAGGCATTACAGAAACATACCTGAAAATAATGACAGCCATCCATGACAAACCCACAGTTAACATCATACTAAATAGACAAAAACTGGAAGCATTCTCCTTGAGAACTGGAACAAGATTAGGATGCCTACTCTCACCACTGCTATGCAACATAGTACTGGAAGTCCTAGCCAAGCAATCAGGCAAGAGAAAGAAATAAAAGGCATCCAAATAGAAAAAGAAGAAACAAAACTATCTCTCTTGACAGGCAATATGACTCTCTATCTAGAAAACCCTAAAGACTCTGCCAAAAGACTCCCAGTACTGATAAATAACTTCTGAAAAGTTTCAGGATACAAAATCAATATACAGAAACAAGCAGCATTTCCATACACCAATAAAGCTCAAGCCGACAGCCAAATCAAAAATGTAATCCCATTTATAATAAACACAACAAAAAGAAAATATCTAAGAATACATCTAACCAAGGAGATGAAGAATCTCTATAGGAGAACTATACAACCACTAAGTCATAGATGAAACAAACAAACGAAAAAACATTCTATGATTATGGATTGGGAGAACCAATATTAAAATGGCCATTGTGTCCAAAGCAATCTACAGAGTTAATGCTTTCCTATCAAACTACCAATATTATTTTTTTTTTCATAAAATTGGACAAAACCATTCTAAAATTCCTATGGAACCCAAAAAGAGCCCGAATAGCCAAAGCAATCTTAGGCAAAAAGAACAAGGCCAGAGGCATCATGTTAACCCTCTTCAAACTATAAGGTTACAGTAACCAAAGCAGCATGAAACTGATACAAAAACATACACATACACCAATTGAATAGGTTAGAAAGCCCAGAAATAAGGCCTCACACCCAGAGCTATCTAATCTTTGGCAGACAAAGTCAACAAATATAATCAATGGAGAACGGATTCCCTATACAATAAATGATGCTGAAATAGCTGGCTAACCATAAGAAGAAGGATGAGACTGGACCACACTACCTTTCACCATATAAAAAAATAACTCATGGTGGATTAAAGATTTAAATGTACAACCTCAAACTATAAGAGTCCCAGAAGAAAGCCTGGGAAACATGATTCTGGACATGGGCCTTGGGAAAGAATTCATGTCTACATTTTCAAAAGCAATTCCAACAAAACAAAAATTGGCAAGTGGGGCCTAATTCAACTAAAGAGCTTCTGCATAGTAAAATAAACTATCAACAGAGTAAACAGACAACCTACAGAATGGGAGAAAATATTTGCAAACTACGCATCCAACAAAGGTCTCATAGCCAGAATCTATAAGGAACTTAAACAATCGAACAACCAAAAAATAAAATAAAACAAACCCATTAAAAAGGGGTAAAAGACATAAACAGACACTTCTCAAAAGAAGATATACAAATGGCTAACAAAGACATGAAAAAATGCTCATCATCATGTCAGATAAATGCAAACCAAAACCACAATGAGATGCCATCTGACACCAGTCAGATTGGCTATTAATAAAAAGTCAAAAAACGACAGATGCTAGTGAGGCTGCAAAGAAAAGGGAATGCTTATACACTGTTGTTGGGAATGTAAATTAGTTTAGCCAGTGTGGAAAGCTGTTGGGAGATTTATCAAAGAACTTAAAACTGAACTACCATTCTATCCAGCAATCCCATTACTGGCTATATATCCAAAAGAAAACCAATTGTTCTACCAAAAAGATGCATGCACTCACATGTTCATTGCAGCACTATTCACAATACCAAAGACATAGAATCAACCTAGGTGCCCATCCTCAGTGGATTGGAAAAAGAAAATATGGCACATATGCAAAATGGAATTGTACACAGCAAGAAAAAAGAATGAAATCATGTACTTTGGTGCAACATATATGTGGCTGGAGGCCATTATTTTAAGTGAATCAGGAACAGAAAATCAAATACTATGTATTCTCACCTATAAGTGGGAGCTAAACATCAGGTACTCATGGACATAAAGATGGCAACAATAGACACTGGGGTCCATTAGTGTGGAAGGGAGGGAGAAAAAGGTTGGAAAACTAACTGTTGAGTACTATTCTTAGTACCTGGTGGATGGGATCATTCATACCCCAAACCTCAGCATCACACACTATATTCAGATAACAAACTTGCACATGTACCAACTGAATCTAAAATAAAAGTTGAAAAAATATATACAAATGAAATAGTAGTTATCTCTGGCCTGGCACAGTTGCTCATGCCAGCACTTTGGAAGGCGAAGCACTTTGGAAGGCCAAGGTGGGTGCATCGCTTGAGGCCAGGAGTTCAAGACCAGCCTAGCTGGGATTTCACATGGTGAAATCCCGTCTCTACTAAAAATACAAAACTTAACCGGGATTAGCTGGGCATGGTGGCGTGAGCCTGTAATGTCAGCTACTTGGAGAATCTGAGGCAGGAGAATCGCTTGAACCCAGAAGGCGGAGGCTGCAGTGAGCTGAGATCGCGCCACTGCACTCCAGCCTGGGCGACAGAAAGAGACTTCCGTCTGGAAAAAAAAAAAAAATAGTGGTTATTTCTGATTATGTGTGTTTTTTCTTATTTTCTTCATTATATTTCACATTTAAAATTTATTTTATAATGAGTATATATTCCATTTTATTAAAAGGTAATCATGTTTTAAAATCTAAAAAGTAAGCATAAATTTCAAAAATCCCAGACCAAATTAAAGGGGTTTCATGCATGTGAATATTTATGGCAGATTTACTCATAATCCCCAAAACTGTATGCAACCAAGATGTCTTTCAATGAGTGAATAAATAAACATACTGTGGTATGCCAATGAAGCGGAATGTTATTCACATTAAAAGAAATGAGGTATCAAGCCACAAAAGGACTTCAATGAATCTTAACTGCAAATTGTTAAGTGAAAGAAGCCACTCTGAAAAGGCTGCATGCTGTATTATTCTAATTATATGAATTCCTGAAAAAGATAAAACTATAGTGATGATAAAAAGTTCAGTGATTGCCAGGGGTTCAGAGGGTTGAATAGTGGAACCGCCAGGGACTTCGTAGGACAGTGAAACTATTCTCTATGATAGTGGTAGATATAGGATACTACATGTTTGTCAAAAACCATAGAATTTTACAGCACAAAGAGTGGATCTTAATATATACACATTTTTAAAAAATTTAAGAGGTTGAGGGATCCCAGGGATGAAATGTACAATGTGACAAAACAATTTAACTGTAATAAAATATACAAAACAACCTCATTGAAGGGTGTGGGAAGAAAGATCTTGACGTAAGTCACTATAGAAATGAGTCGAGTCTGTAAGACTAAAGGCAAAAGAAACTTTACATAAGCTCTTGATTTTATTTAACAAAGTTATTTCCCATGAGGCATAGGTTAACAGTTCTGATACTGCTGTACATGTGTACTGAAATTGAACAATAAGTAAATGGATGGCAGATAACTGAAGCCAGGTTTCTCACTGTTGCAGTTGAGAGGTTACAGATAAGTAGAGAAAGGAAGTTTGAACGATCCATATGGATTATTAATGATCCTTTGGCAATGGATTAGAATTGGAGACATCAGAAAGATCTCATGTTTAGCTTAATATAGATCCAGATAATTACACATAAAAGAAACATTTATAGAAATGTGTATATACAAAGGTCTTGATGCACATATATTTCCTTGCTCAGTCAGCTAACAGGGCCTAGAATCAATAACACTCCAATAGCAACAAGAACACCTAGCACCCAGATTTTGGGCTCCAGTGCAATTCTCCAATAAATGAAACCAGGGGTCCTAGAAGAAGTGGGCCAAGAAATATACAAGATAATCCTGGAGAAACTTGCAGTGCCAGAAAGTAAGGAAGTGCTAAAAACAGGAAAAAAAAGACAGAGTGTACCAAAAGGCCTTGTGAGTCAGCCAGAAAAACACTCAATGGCCACAGATGGAGCAATTTGAGCAACAAAATAAAATAGTATTGGATTATAACCTGAAGTATAAAATATCCATGAGTTTATACTGATATAAATATGCTTTTAAATAAATGGCAGCAGAGAGATAAATTTCCCATGCAGAAGATTTCCAAATAAATTATGTAGATACTCCATCCTCAAAAATGTGGAGCATAACTCTCCAATTAAGTGTGGGGTGCACACGGTAACTTCCTTAAAAAGAGTACAGTATTGAAAGGTGAAGGACATAACTTCATAGTGGATGAAACTGACACACACTAACGCAAACGAAGTGATTAAGTTTAATCAACATCAACAGTAATAAGTCATGTTGATAGTATGCATGCTTGGTATGTAATAAAAATGTCACTTCACCTCTGTGGTCTTCCTCAAATTTGTTAAAGTAATGAGAAACAAAGAATGACTGAGAAGCTGTCACAGTCAAGAGAGCCTAAGAAGATGTGATGACTAAATACAATGTGGTATCTTGGATGGGATGCTAGAACAGGAAAAGGACATTAGGTAAAAACTAAGGAAATCTGGCCAGGCGCAGTGCCTGTAATCCCAGCACTTTGGGAGGCCAAGGCGGACAAATTGCTTGAGTCCAGGAGTTCAAAACCAGCCTGGGCAACATGGCGAGATCTCATCTCTTCAAAAAGATACAAAAATTAGCCACTGTGGTGGCATGCATCTATAGTCCCAGCTACTTGGGAGGCTGAGGTAGGAGAATCGCTTGAGCCTGGGAGGTGGAGGTTGCAGTGAGCCAAGATCGCACCATTGCACTCCAGCCTGGGCCACAGGGCGAGACCCTGTCTCTATAAATAATAATAATGATAATAAAAAAAGGAAATCTGAATAAAGTATGGACTTAATAACAAGGTATCAACATTGCTTCATTCATTGTAACAAACACACTATACTAATGTAAAGATCTGAATAATAGGGAAAAGTTTGGTGGGGGTATATGGGAACTCTGTACTGTCTGAATATTTTTTCTATAAATCTGGAATCATTTTAGGATGAAAAGTTTATTTTAAAATAAGCCAAACAAGGCTGGGCATAGTGGTTCACACTCATAATCCCAGAACTTTGGGAGACCAAGGCAAGAGATCACTTGAGACCTGGAGTTCAAAACCAGCCTGAGCAACATATCAAGAACCCATCTCTAAAAGAAAAACTTTAAAAAATATTAGCTGGGCATGTTGACACATGCGTGTAGTTCTAACTACTCAGGAGGCTGACGCAGGATAGCTTGAGCCCAGTTCAAGGCTGCAGTGTGCTGTGATTTTGCCTCTGGTCACATGATTTGTGGTTCAACCACGTCAAGGCCTATGCAGAAGGCAAATATCTAATGTAGAATAGTATGAAGGTGGTTCATCATTATGAGTATGTGGAGAGAACGCTGATTTAGCTGGCAAAGCAAAAATTACAAACACACAGAAACATATACATGCACTGTCTCCTACACATATTTGATGTTCAATTTATATCCACAAATAAGGAATGTGATGTGTGTTGTGTTTCAGCCTGTCACTAACACCAGGATGTTCTTTTCCAGACTCTTTGGAATTCTAGTGCAACTTATAAAGAATATAAACTATAGTGACTCAGAATCTTAAGGTAATTTATTTAATATAAGGACACCCACTTGGGTGTCACATAATGGAAAACACAAACATTTTTTTTCCTGCTCCAAAACGATCACTGTGACTAAAGAAATATACATGGAATTAAAAAAATACCCTCTGCCATCACATTTCACATTCCACTCTGTTTCAGCTTACTTCCACCACTTTAACCACCACTGTGAATGACAAGGGGTAGGGGAATATTATCAAGAGAAACAGGAGGTCAGAGTACTCCTGTAGCCTTCACCCTCTAACCAGAGTCCTTTGACCTCAGACATCCCTTCCTATTTTCTCCTCCCAAGCTCTGAGTACTTTGTGACATTCATTTTAACATTATATGATTTGGGTCCTTTTACCATATGTAGCATTAAAGATTAAAATGATGAATTTACCTAGATCTTATATGTAAAAAAATGTATTCGGTCTACTCATGAGTGTTTACTAAACTAGGAAATGCAGGATAGAAGTCTGTAACATGACTTCATTCTAGATCAACTTTGATCCCAGAATTTACATCTTCATAAGAAGCTGTAAAGTCCACTGGGAGAACATTAGCTTTGCAAAGAACGTTGTTGGTCTTCTAATCCAAAGTTCTACCTGATACATAAAACCATTCTTAAACATTTCTGCCAAGTGGGCTTCTGCTGAAGCAGCTCCAGAAAGCAAAGCATCTACAATTAAATGATAGAAAGTTACTAACAGTAGGCAACAACTTTGACTTATTTGAACATTTGAATTGATCTGCCCTCTGGAGGTACTCAGGTAAATGCTACCTCTCTTCTGTGTGACAGGACTTCAATTATTTGCAGAAAATATCCACAAACTTGTCTTTAGAGTAAAGCATTCCTGATTATTTCAAAAACTGTCTTGTCTGCTTGTAAACCAGTCACCTTCTTGGTCACTTTCCAGGTTGTCTGTGTCCATCTTGATTGTGCCACTCTGATATGACCCAAATCTCCCAACATAAACTATCAAGTACAGAATAAACATGATTTTTAAGGCCTTCCTTGTTCTGGAAACCATGACTCTATTAATGGAGCTTAATATTTCATTATATGTGGTACACTGTAACCTCACACGGCTGGCTCATGAACTTAGAGTAAATTAAAACTAGAGTCTTCTTGGCCAGGAGCGGTGGCTCACGCCTGTAATCCCAGCACTTTGGGAGGCTGAGGTGGGTGGATCACGAGGTCAGGAGTTCAAGACCAGCCTGGCCAAAATGGTAAAACCCTGTCTCTACTAAAAATACAAAAATTAGCCAGGCGTGGTGGCGGGTGCCTGTAATCCCAGCTACTTGGGAGGCTGAGGCAGGGAATTGCTTGAACCCGGGACGCGGAGGTTGCAGTGAGCCGAGATCGCGCACTGCACTCCAGCCTGGGTGACAGAGCAAGACTCCGTCTCAAAAAAATGAAAAAAGAAAAAAAACTAGAGTCTTCTTCATATATGCAATTGTTAGGCCACATAACCACCTCCCCTTGGTAACTGAATTTTTGATATGAGTACAGGACTTCATATTTGATCCTATTCAATTTAATCCTGCTAGATTTGGCTATTTTTTTTTCTCAGCCCCTAAGGACTTTCCGGATCATGCTAGTGATATCAAGTACATTTATTCTGCCATCTAATTCTATATTATTTGCAATGGGATGGGCATGCTATTTTATATTTTCTTGCTAGTCATTATAAAACAACTTTGATGGGACAGGGCTAAGGTTGGAAACCTTTGATCACTTTGATATCTATATTGTTGAACACTGTCAATTCAAATTATTAACCCATCTACTGTCCTGTCATTATCATCTTGTTACTCCATTTTAATCTCAAGGATATTATGAGAAACTGCCAAACGGCTTGATGAGGTACATAATGTTTGCCTTTTGAGATCTCTGGAAGGCGGTTCAGCAAAAAGGTAGGCATCCTCCAGAGCACCTGAAGTACAAGTGGCCCATGTGATTGCTTTTTTGGAGACATACTGTTATGTATTAGGCCACTATAAACGGATGTATTTAAGGGCAGTTTCAAATATTAGCCACATCTTGAAAGTAAGAAAGGCAAAGCTCTTAAGTTGCAGTTACTGATTTATGACAGAGCTGACTCTCACATGTGCATTTTTGTGTAGACTGCTCCAATGTGAACAGTAGCAGAGATGTATTTATTTAACAAGAGCCAATGTTCTCCCGAACAACACCCAGGAGGCCAGCTAGTATACAACTTATAGTAAAATCTCTGATTAACAGACCAGTATAGTTTAATAGACTTAAGGGGAGGCAGTATAATGTACTGCTTAAGAGCATAGTCTAGAATCTCAGAACTGGGTTCAAACCTTGACTCTGTCACTTAATAGTAAGTAGTGTGACCTTGCTCAAGTTACTTAGTCTCATTCAGCTTATTTCCTTATCTGTAAGCTGGGGAAGCTTGTAATTGTGCTACCTTACAGAGCTACTACGAGATTGAACATAGCAATGAGTATGTTAGCTATTATTGTTATTCTAACCTAACAAAATTCAGTTTGGCAATCTTGTGAAATACATGCTAGGGCCGAGTAATCATCTTTCTTCTTTCTTTCAAGCTCATCAACCATGCTTTTAATAATGAATTACAGAATCTTTCTTGAAATTATCTTAAGTTTGCTAATCTACACAGTTCTAAATATGGATTCCAAAAGTGCTGTTTTAGGGAGCTCAAATCTGTGCTCAGATACCTCAATACAGCTGGAGCTATATGCCTCGATTCATACCCACTGGACAAATAAATGTTGTCCTTGTATGCTGGGACAAACAACTCCTTTTTAAAATGACATTACCCAAACTTTTGAACTTGTTGGTTTACAGCAGCTTTTGCCAAGGGTTTTTACCCATGGTCAAAGTGTGTAAAGCCTATGCAAGCATGTGCACCACCTGATGACGCCTGCTCTTTGAGGTGGCTTCAGTCTGATATCTGCTGAATCATGCTTCTCCTTTCTATTTACAGAAAACTGCTTTTCCCCTAAGTCTTCTAACAGAATTCTGGGAAAATGGTGGCATGAGAATAGGTCCTTAATTCTATGAGGCATTGTCTCATTCTGTCACCCAGGCTGGAGTGCAATGGTGTGATCTCAGCTCACTGCAATCTCTGCCTCATGGGTGCAAGTGATTCTCGTGCCTCAGCCTTCTGAGTAGCTGGAATTACAGGCGTGCAACACCACGCCTGGTTAATTTTTTTTGTATTTTTAGTAGAGATGGGGTTTCACCACATTGGCCAAGCTGGTCTCAAACTCCTGACCTCACGTGATCTGCCCACCTTGGCCTCCCAAAGTACTGAGATTACAGGCATGAGCGAGCCCCTGTGCCTGGCCTCAGTATATTTTTTTAATAATACTCAATTAGGAATATCAAATTTGCCAAATAATTTAATTTCTTTACATATACTAAATTAAGCTGTATGACAAACATTTACATCAGGTCAGTCTGGCTTTGTGGCTAGAGTTATCAGTTCATTTAGGATAGTGTCAAAAGTCTGAATTTGAATCCCTTTTTGAATTATAAGACACAGGCCAAATGGCTTTCCTGACATCTCAACCCTGATCACTAGGCTTGGCCCTAACAGGAATTAGTCAATTTGGTCCTATTTTGACACTGCAGATTAACATAATTTGGAGCAGGCTGTCCTCTCTCAGAGGGCAAGCTTGTCCACACCCAAATACAGGTGTCTCCTGATCCTAGTTTCTCAACTAGCATGGAGATCTCAACTTGATGCAAAAGTCCCCTTTAATGAACCAACAGGTTTTGTTTCCAAGTTGTGTATATGCCCCCTGCCCCTCCCCTCCCACACGAGTAGAGAAAGTATGTATGATATCACGTACCTGAAACAGAGGACAAAAGCAAATGAGGAAAGCTGTCTTGAGGGTGAAGTCATCCTGCTGGGTTTGCCCCTGGCATTAGCTCCCTCCCTACTACCACATCTTGCTGGATCGCAGAGCCATTGGGAGGGGGTGACAACCCAGTAAACAGGGAATGGAT
This sequence comes from Homo sapiens, assembly GCF_000001405.40. Lineage (NCBI taxonomy): Eukaryota > Metazoa > Chordata > Mammalia > Primates > Hominidae > Homo > Homo sapiens. Next base: position 56,568,844 of record NC_000023.11, on the reverse strand, counting down.
ACAAAAACACTGTTCCACTCTTGTTGGATGGGGTGACAACCCAGTAAACAGTGAATGGATACAAAATAATTGTTCCACTCTTGTTGGAGGGGGAGGGATAGCAGGTCAGGATATACCCTTCTTGATTCAATGATGAATAAATGGATAAATCTTGGATCAATAGTAGATGAAGAAAACCCAAAACAAAAACAGAGCCTTTAAAAAGAACCTGCAACATAATAGGAGGAAATTACATCATGTAAGAGATGGAGGAAGAACAGTTAAAAGTAATTTTTAAAAGGCCAAAATAAATGAAGTTATAAGCAAAATAATAGTAGACTTAATAAAGTAAAGACGTGGATCTTTTCCAAGAGAAAACAAAATACACTTAAAAATAAACATTTGGCAAAGCTAATAAAATAATTTCCTGTTCCTTGAGTGTTTGAAAGAAACTGATCTGCTAAACTGCCTGAGCCAGGCCTCAGCCAATATCCAGTTTCTACTATGCTATTGATTTCTTGTTATTTTCTATGCCTACAATTTTATATTTATTTCCATATAAAATCATCTGTCATTAAAATTACTGAATTTATTATGACAGACTTTGTGATTATGTCAAATACCTGGCATGATATAGTAATGAAATAATAAATCACCATTTCCTAAGTTGGTGTTCTGAGGAACACTGACAGGCCAAATGGTATTAGGTGTGTTTAAAAGAAAAAAAAAAAGGTGGTTCTGTGCTCAAATAAGTTCGGAAAATGCTGAGTTACACAAAGTTAAATAGTTTTTTTTTTTTTTAATTGAAGAAGCTACCCATTAAAAAAAAATACTAGCCAACATTTATTGCACAATGAGTCTCCAAGAGAGATTAAAGTATACAGCATTTTGCAAATGTATTTCCTTGTCTCCCAGAAGAATATTTTTTTTTCACAAAACACAATTTGGAATTGCTGTAGCAAACACATTCTGGCTAAAATGAGAAACAAGACAAAAATGCCACTGCCACCTTTATTATTTAGCACTGTTATGAAAATGTTTAACCCATGCAGTCAGAAATTATGTTATAAATTTTGAAAAGGAAAACATATAATTATAACATAATTGATAGGATTTCTCACCTGGAAAAACTCAAAAGGATCAAATGAATATCTCTAAAATTAATAGATTTCAATAAATTGCCAATTTAAAATAATCGATGCAAATAAATTCTTCTCCTATATAGCAAAAATGACCACATAGGTAACATATTAAAAGCTCCAATAAGCAGTATCAACGTGTTCCCTGTATGTCTGTATTACCTAGGAACATATTTATTACAAATTATATAGGATTTAAGTAAAACTCTCTTGAAGGATATATAAAGTTTTTCAGAAACAAGGCAACATGTTTCTGGAAAGCAATGCAATTCTGTAGTCCTCACAGTCATATCAATTTAAGAGAATCCCAACCAAATTCTCAATATATTTTTGGGGGAAGAATCTATTAACTGTAAAATTCATCTGGTAAAATAAACATGTCAGAATCGTCAGAATATTGTAAAAAATAAAAAAGATCAAGAGGAGGTCTCACATTAAAAGATACAAAGTCCCATTTCTAACTCATCTACAGGCTGGTGTACTGGTGCCACAATGTTCAATGGAACTAAAGGGAATCCAAACACAGAATAAAGTATATACATGTATGACATTTCATATGTTGGGGGAAAAGGTAAATATGTTAACAACTGGCTAACCCTTTGGGGCAAAAAAGTTAGAATACCTAAATCCATACATCAAGATAATTCCAGACAGGACAAAACATTTTCTAAATAAAACCATATAAGTTAGAGAAATATAGGATAAGATTTATATAATCTCGGGGTGGGATAATCCTCCTAAACACGATCCTAGGGCCAAAAGGCAAAAAGAAAAGATTTATCCATTTTTTAATTTTTTATTTTTTTTAGTCATTTTTAATGCATTTTTCTCTGTGCACAAGAGAAATAACTGATGAAGTCAAAAGACACACTTTCCTTTATACATAGCAGTTAAAAGTAATGCAAACATCACATGACACTTTCAGTGAAAGTTACATTTCCAATTACAAATCAAAATGCATATTAGGGTCTCTTTATGGGAGAAGCTGAGAAGGAAGTCTTAGGTAAAAAGCACTTTCCTGGCATTACTACACTGATCCTTCAGGCTGCACAAAGATTAAGGTCATATACAGTCAATCTGCAAATGTTGACACAATGTTACACTGTAAATTTTCTGTACAATTAAATGTATACTTAGAGATACCAGGATAAACATTTCTACTATATTTTAACTGAACTTGCCTAGCCAACATTTTCACTGAGAAGTTTATCAAAGATGCTGTAAGATTCTACAAAATTGTGAGACATAACTAGCTCCAGAAACATTTCTTGTATTCTTTCTCATTTTGGTTACACATATTACACTCAGATTCTACTGTAATATTTTTAGATGTACAGTGCCAATTGTGCTTACTGTACTGTATACAAATATAGCAAAAAAGATCAATGGTATAAATCTTACAGCATTTTGCTAGCAAAAATACATGCCAAAGTCACAATAAGCAATATCGTACCACAAATTAGAGAGCTTCAAATAATTTGCTTCTGTTTTTAATATCTTCATTCTACATTAAATTACTATCATAGGCTAATGTTTAAAAATGCAAATAAATTGGACATCTGTAGGACAACACTTGTTCACCCAACTGTGAAGGTTGATACCTGTTTCCAAAAATCACAATAAATGCAGAATAAAGAGAAGTGTTTGCATGCAACACTTTTGAGTGAAACAGCATTGATTCCCACCACTCAAAACGGCTAAGGAAGGAAACTAAAGGAAATAAGGAAGGAAGGAAACAAAGAGGGAGGGAGTGGGGAGACAAGAGGAAGGGAAGGTAGGAAAAATAAGCAAAGGAGAAAGGGAGTGAGGGAAGTAGGAGGGAGGGACTCCATCTTAAAATGCATCATATTAGACTTACAACTAGACAGATTTAAAAGAATCAAAATGAAAGTAAAGAACGATTTTGTGTGTGTGTTTAAAGATTTAAGAGCCATTATCAAAAATAAGATACATTTTTTTTCCAGGTACAGAAATGTGATTACGATGGCTGGGAGCCCAGCAGCCTTTCAATGGCTGCATTGATGTCGCCTCCTGTTGCTATTAGGGCCTGCAAGTTTGCTTCACGGTTTAAGAACCCCATTGCGTTGAGCTGTTCCAGTTGTTGCTGAAATCTGACTTCTGGATTCGGCAGCTGTGGAGCATTTGCTCCAGCCAGGGCCTGCACCATTTGCTGAATGAACTGCTGGTTGGGTCCAGATTCTGATGTAGGACTCGTGGTTTCACTAGGTGCAGCGCTGGACACAGTAGGCCCCGTGGGGCCACCAGAGCCGGTGGAGCCAGGGGGGGCTGCAGGGCCAGTGGGTCCTATGGGCCCAATGGGGCCTATGGGGGTAAAAGGGACTATAGGGCCTATGGGGCCTATGGGGGTGACTGGGCCTACAGGGCCTATAGCGGTTCCCAGCACCCCCACCCCCACACCTGGAGTGAAGCTCGGAATCAGGCCAGGTGCTTCAGTGGCTAATGTCTGTAGCCCCTGCTGGATCTGCATTAAAGCCTGCATTGCTCTTGGGTTTGACATGGCTGATAGTGTGTCTGGATTCTGCATCTGCTGCAGGAAGGCTGGGAGCTGTGGCCGCATCTGCTCCTGCAGCTGAGGATTTGCAGTAAACAGCGGGCTATTCAGCATCATCTGTGCAGCCAAATCTGGATTCTGGCTCAGCGACTGCATCATGCTTCTCATGTAGGGCGCCGACAGCATATTCTGAATCAGCTGGGGGTTTTCAGTTATCTGTTGCAGCAGGCTCTGCATGCCTGGGGTACTAAAGATGCTGGCGACATAATTAGCGGCAGCAACGGTGTTCCCAGTAGCATTGCTGGAACTATTGCCAGACCCACTACCAGTGCTTGTGGTCGTGCTGGTAGTTGCAGAACTCTGGGTAGCTGGCGGTGGTGCCCATGGATTGGGTAGTGGATCGCGATTTTCTGTGCGGGAAGGCTGCGTACCTTCCCCAGAGGAGGAACTACTCCCCACGGAGGCAAATGGATTACCCCCAAACTGCTCTTGTGCGGCATTCAGCATCGGCTCTTGAATGTCAGTGTACATGCGCCGTAAAGCATTATAGCCACCTGGGATGCTTTCTAGATTGCTAAGAGCCAGGTCTTGATTTCTCATCATCTCTTGCATCATGGCTGGATTCCTGGCAATTTCGAGTGTCTGCCTCATTATGTCTGGGTTGTTGAGCAGGTGACTGATTTCTGGGTTTCTCTGAATCAATTGCTGCATCTGTGGATTAGCCATAATGAGCTGCCTCATCAGATCGGGATTCGAAAGCATGCTCTGAACAAAGGGATTTTCCATTATTTGGATCATCATCTCAGGGCTGGCCATAAGCTGCTGCTGCATCTGGCTCTGGAGCTCAGAGAAGTTGGTCGAGCTCAAGCCCAGGCTGCTAAGGCCTGCAAGTCCTCCCAGGCTCCCCAACCCAAACGGGTTGCTATTTGTGGAAATAGGTGTGGAGTTACTCCTGGGAGTCGACGCCGAGGTAGTGTTAGTTCCCGCGGCATTGCTAGGCTGCGTGGACTGGCCCTGAGGTCGGTTCTGGCTTTTGATGACAAGGTGAACAGTCAGCCCATCATGGATGCCATGCTGGATCAAGGTATCTTGATCTTTTAAGATTTTTCCGGCAAAAATCAGCACTAGCTGATCGGTTTGGGATTTGAAGCGTTTCGAAATCGCTTCCTTAAACTGCTGAACCGAGCTGTTCTCGGGCACCGCGAACTCCTCTTTCTCTTTGGGAGTCTTCACCGTGACTTTGATGATTTTAGGCTCAGCCGGGGCAGCAGCCGAGCCTTGGGCCGCAGCAGGGCCGCGGGAGGGGCGCGGGGGGCCGCTGCTCTCGCCATTCTCAGCCATGGCGGCCGCGGTGACGCAGGCGGGCAGGGAAGGCGCGGGCGGGCGAAAGAGAGAGCGCGAGGGAAGGAGGAAGGAAGGAGGCACCGCCGCAGCGGGCTGGGCCGGGTCAGGCGGGGAGCGCGGAGCACGGTACCTCTGTGATGAAGACTGCGGTTCCCTGGTCCTCCGGTGGAGAAAGGCCTGGGCGTAGGCCGCTGGCTGAGGTCTCCGCGCTCCGGTCTCTGGGCCTCCTCCGCCGCCGCCTTGTGATCCGACCGCGCGCACTCCCAGCAACTCTGGCAGCCGCTCCGCCTGCTGATCCCCGCCCCTTCCCCTCCCCCAGTTCCGCGCTCGCCTCCCCGCCCCCTCTGCTGACGCGGCGCCAGGCCTAGATTGATAGATTTGGCTCGGTCAAAATTAAAAACTTCTGCACTGAAAAGAAAAAAGGGAGAGAGAGAAACAAAGGGAGAGAGAGAAGAGAACAGAACAGTACAGAGCAGGCGAGGCAGAGAGGGTGAGACGGAGAGAAGGAGGCGGTAGAGAGTCAGCTTCTGTAAACGACATTAAAAGACCAATGGAGAATGTATATTAGCAATCTGTAAGGCAGTAAAAGGGTGAAAGCCTGAATCGAACAGATCCCACGTATAAGACGAAAAATGAATAATAAAGAACTCTGACAAAGCAAAAAGAAAAGAGGAACACCTCCAGTAGGGGAAGGGAAGAAGACAGAGCAGGAGCGTGCATTTTACAAAAGGAGTGCAAATGGCCAATAGACATTAAAAAAGGATGATTAATTTCACTACTAATAAAAAGAAATCAAGTTAAAACAATAAAATTCTACTTTTGGCTTATCATATTGGCAGGGAAAAAAATAATGGTAAACCTTCTTGTTGACAGGGACCCTAAAAAATGCCCTCTCAGGCTAGCTGAAGTGTGAATTGTTACAACCATAGGGCAATTTGAAAATATATATCAGCATTTTGAATGTTTCCACCTTTATTTAGAAATGCCTAACCTAGACACTTCGCCTAATAATCGGATGAGGATGCAAAAATATTTATGTATAAAATGTATATACATTGTAGCATTTTAAAATGTTATTTAAATATATTAACTATCTGTTTACATGAGATTAGTTGAGCACATTATCATATTACCATACAAGAAAATATAGAGTGTCTTTAAAGGTATACATGAAATAAACTGTAGTTATAGGGAAATCACAGAGTATTTTCAATTATGCCTTTGTATATTTCTGTACAGTTACAAACTATATAAGAATATATGTTCCAATATCAAAAATACAATAAATATATTTTTATTTTAAAAGCAATTTTTGAACAGTTTGTTGTATATGTAAACCGTATGTGTAAAAAAATCTGGAAGGCTATGCACAAATAAGTTAATGGCTGTTAGTACTGTTTGCTGAAATTATGAATAATTCTTATTTTCTATTTTCATAAGATTTTGAATTTTCTGATGATTTTTGTAAGTATGCACTACAGAAAGGTATTTTGGGGAAGAGTATGGGTAGAAATTGACAGGCACATAATAGTAGTGGCAAACATTGACATATTTACCTAATTTAATTACAGATTAAGTAAGAGCAATAAAGATGTAGCAATGCTGAGAAAGAGAACTTGAAAAATAGAAGAAATAATTTCAAATTTATCTATATATTTCTAACTCTAGGTTAAACCACACAGAAAATTCTTCCCCAACCCCCACCCTCTACCAAGCATCCACCAAAGCACCACTGCTTTCAACATTTAACAGCATTTCAAAGTCATTAGGTCACAAATACTTTAATAAATCTGAAGATAAGAAAAATATATATATACAGGTATGTTATATCCATCGATGGAGAAATGGAAGAATTAATATTATTTTACCTCTCTATTTTATTAATATAATTAATAAAATACAGAGGTAAAAAGATGACTAGCTTTAAATATGTTAATATGTATAGATCTAAAAAGCCAAATTAATTAGTATTAGGTTGATGCAAAAGTAATTGCGGTTTTTGCCATTGAAAGTAACGAATTGTTACTATTATACAATGGTTTTTGCCATTGAAAGTAATAGCAAAAACCGCAATTACTTTTGCACCAACCTAATACATGCCAAACAGCACTCTAATACATTCTTATGTATATTTGAAATATTCTTTTAGAAATATACCAAACTTGCACCCATGAGGAAGAGGAAATGGAATAGGATACAGGATAGTGAGTAAAGGGAACTTAAATATGTAAAAATGCTTTTTATCTTTAAAATGAAAGCAAATATGATAAAATATCAGCAATAGTTAATTATGGGTGGTGAGAATATGAAAATATTATAGGTAATCTTTAATTTCCATAGAATAAAGCTAGATATTAATAATCAAAGTATGAACAAAAAACCAACCATTTGATTATTAAAACATAACTGAATACTTTTGGGGCAAAGTGCAATGTTCTTATTAGAATAAATTTACAAAAATAATGATAATGAGAGCATATACAGCAATACTAATGCTAGGATTTTTCTACGTGTGATCTGAGAACATTGTTAAGAATGCATGTTTCTAGGCCCCACGCCAAACCTACTGAAATAAGTGGTGCACTGGAAGCTGCATTTGTATCAAGGTCCAGTTTAATATTATTTCATTTATTAAGTACTATGTGGATGAACTCAGAGTCAAATTTATACATTCAAAGACTTAAAATATCAAACAACAGATTGAAAATAAGGGAAGTAGGCATTCGAATAAAGAAGGCAACGGAAAATAAAAGGAGGGAAGTGAGGTGACAGCTATAGAATGATAAAAGCAAATATTAATGAATTAACAAACAGAAAAAATAAAATTTGTTAAGTAAATCTAAGAAAGTATTTGAAGAATCAAGTCAAATACACAAATCTTTATTAATTGGCGATTGTCTTGGCTGACAATTCCCTCACCAAAATACACATCAGAGGGGCAAAACCATACTCACCCTCTTGAGGAAACCTTCCAGAAACACACTTCTTTGCATTATCTTTCTTTACCTTAAAAATTATGTGATTGTGATTTTTTGACATTTTACTTCAAAATATATTACTTTTAATGTTTTAAGTTACAATGAAATAAAATTAACATTTTAGTAGTAGAACATACGTATCCTCATTAGGGAAAAGGACAGCATTAATTAGCTGAAACAAAGAAAGCACCAAGAAAAATATACGAACTAGTATTGTGTGAATACATTTAGTCACAGATGAAGGAGATTTTTTTTTTAATAAAAAAGAAATACGTTGTAAAAAGATTGGCTAATGACAAAAAAAAAAAAAAAAAGCCCTGATGACTACATTTCTAGGAAGATAGATATGGCCAAAATATATTCCAGAAGTAGAAGATCTTAACAAACCATGTAAGAGACATGTAAGAAAATGAACAAGGCCAGGTGCAGTGTTTCATGCCTGTAATCCCAACACTTTGGGAGGCCAAGTCAGGCGTATTCCTTGAGCCCAGGTTCAAGAACAGCCTGGGTAACATGGCGGGACCCCATCTCTACAATTTTTTTTTTTTTAAACTAGCTGAGCTTGATGGCTAGTGCCTATAATCCAAGCTACATGGGAGGATGAGGTGGGAGGATCGCTTGGGCCTGGGAGGTGAAAGTTGCAGTAAGCCTTGATCATGCCACCACACTTCAGCCTGGGTTACAAGAAAGTAAATAACTAGTTATTCTAAAAATCACCTTTCTTGTTCGTAGTGGCTGCTGAGCTTACGTTTTTTACCCTCTCTCTTTACCAAATCCCACTGAAGTGACAGAAATGAGAAAAATAATAACCCCCGAACAGTAAGCCTTGATCATGCCACCACACTCCAGCCTGGGTTACAAGAAAGTAAATAACTAGTTATTTTAAAAATCAGCTTTCTTGTTCATAGTGGCTGCTGAGCTTACGTTTTTTACCCTCTCTCTTTACCAAATCCCACTGCAGTGACAGGAATGAGAAAAATAACAACCTCATAACAGTTTTGAAAAGGTGGAAAGAGTGCCATCAATGAACTTTTAAGTTAAATATCAAAATAAATTCTAGATTAAAAAATGAAATCATAAAATTTGCAGAAATATATTAGGGCAAATATTTACATAAGCTAGGCATGATGGTAACCTGATGAAAATGACAAAGAAAAATCATGGATGGAAAAAATTAATAGATTTCATTAAATAAGAATTTTAAACTATATATCAACAATGTAATAAAAATTAAGCAGTTAAAGACAAACAAAAAAATTGCAACATATATAACGCATGAGATCTATCCATGACATACAGACACTTCTTACAAATTTTTAAAAAATGAACGCTCCAAGGGAAAAATAGGCAAAGGATGTTAACCAGTATCTTACAAAAGAAAAAAAAAGTCAGAATGAAAAGAAAAAGGAAAGAAGGAAGAAAGGGAGAAAAGGAAGAAAAAATATGTTATCTCCTTTAAATAAAAAAATACAAATTAAAGTAACTGTGAAATACTTTTTGTCTATAAAATTTAAAAGACCAATATAATATCCAATCTAGACATAGTCAATAAAGACTGCCTAAGTTCAAATCCTGGTTCTATTACCTCTGATTGTAAACTGCATGACTTTGGCAAATAACTTAACTTTTCTGTACTTCAGTATTCTTCATTTATAAAATGATGGACTATTTTGATAATCAAATAAATTAACGTATTTTAAGCACCTACAAGTTTCCTGCTCATAGTATCCACTATAGAAGTATTATTATCATTAGTAGTAGTAGTACAGGAAAGAGGTAACTCATAATCTGCTGGGAATTAAGTTACTTAGTAAGTACAGCTTATTTAAAGGGCAATTTGCTGATAAACACTAAAAGTTTAAGAAAATGTGCAGACAAGTTCACTGAGTAATTCTACGTTTAGGAATTTATCTGGAGGCAGTAATTCTTGCTCTTGGCGTCTTGAGATGATTATACTAAATGTGTTTTCTTCCTGCAGTGTAACTACAGAACCTAAGAGAAATCCCATGATTATTCCCTACTCCTGTTGATGCATTTGGGGGCAAATAATAAAGTCAGAACCAGAGAAACAGTATTGTGGTATTGTAGCAAGAGATTAAACTGGAGCCAAACAGACCAGTATTTCAACTCCAACTTGGTCACTTACAGTTTTGTGACTGAGTAGTTCATTCATTTCTTTGAACCTCAGTTTCTTCATCAGCAAAAGTGGGATTAATACACATACCCTTCAGGGTTGTAGTCACAGGCAGTAAGTACATGAGCCAGACAATAATTGCTCTGACACACACCCCTCTCTGAAAATAAAGCAAATGAAATAAGTTTACCATTGGTAGGTTAAATTAGGAAATGAAAAAATGAACAACAAAACAACACAAAAAACCTAGAAAGGATCAGAGCAGAGATACAGTCTAGCTGACAGATATGTACTCTGTTCTGGAGATACACATTCAAATTACATATCATTTTTGTTCTGACCCTATGTTCCCTATAATCTGCTAATAATTTTGCTTTTTCATTTAGTTTGCCTGTTAAGCAAGAATGTACAAATCAGGCTATCTTGAATGCCCAGAAATTCTAGTGTTAGATATCCACTTTAACTTCCAGGACACAAATTACAAACTGGCAATTCCTGGGCTGGCTTTGGCCTGCCGACACCTAAAACTCGGAAAATCTCCCCTACAAATCCAGATTTCAAAATTCTCTTTCAAAATTAAATGATCTGGCTACATTGGGCTCATACACTTGAGGGCTGTAATTTGACTAGAGGTGAATATTGGCTGCCTTCTTCAGATAAGGGTTGTATTCTGATTTGCCAGTCTCCTCCAGGTCCACTTCATGTATTTCCTTATTTAGTTGCCCCATAAACATTGGAAATTTTTATCTTTGAAGAAGGAGCTCAGTAAGCTTTCTCTTCCTTCACTATGTCTCCTGAAGAGTAGAAACACTGAAGCACTGAGGTGAATTGGAAAAGATCAAGAACATAATTGGGTCACTTTCTTAAAGAGTGGAATATTAGGCTGGGCATAGTGGCTCGCTCATTCTTGTAATACCAGCACTTTGGGAGGCAGAGGCAGGAAGATGGCTTGAGGCCAGAGTTCAAGACCAGCCTGGCCAACATAGCCAGATTCTGTCTCTATAAATAAATAAATAAATAAATAAATAAATAAATAAATAAATAAATAATTTTAAACTTCAATAAGCAGAAGGTGGTCAGAAAAAAAGAGTGGAATATTCACCCCAGGGGGCTATAAATATGTTTGTATTGTGGAAAACACTTTCTTCAAATGAAGATGATGATGATGATGATGATGATGATGATGATGATGATGGCAGCTAATACTTTTCCTTCAGTTTAATCTTTCCATGACTCTTACCACCAGAATTATATGACTGAGTGATTTCCAGTTGAAAACTGGGAACTGAGAAAATGTGAGATGGCAGTGAAAGTCTGCCTCACTGTGCTGTGTAGAATCGGGTTTTATATTATAAACTGTGGCATAAGTTGCATTTCATGAGTGCCTTTCAAAAGAATGTAGAAGTACTAAATTCCTTTGAGATTTAAAAAATCAATAGAGGGAAAATTAAAATGAAAATAAAAGGTAAGAGAAAAAATGCTCAGGGATAATTAAAAATGAGTACTATAGAGGACCAGGTATAGAAAAAGCAGAATCGATGTTTTATCAGAAGGTAGAAATGAGTAGAATGTCTGCTACTGTCAATCAACCTCATTCAGACCAATAAGGTAGAAATAATAGACAAAGTGGAAGTGTCAGAAGGTGAGTATGAAGTCATTAAGGCCTAATCCCTCTAATAATAGAATAGTAGCCATAGGTGATTTTGTGGCCATGAAAAATGCTCTGGGACTGACACAATTATATAAATATACAAATAATTACCCAGAGCAGAAGTTAAGTTTCCAAGACAGTCCTATGAAGCCTAGTTGACTTATAGCATGATTAAGAGTAGACATTAGCTACATTATAATCAAATGGTAATGTGTTACCATTGAAAACATTTTATGTGAAAATGCATCCCAAGATGCAAATCAGAATACTGACAGAAATAAACCTGGCAGCAGTGGGAGGAGGTGCTTTCTCCACATGCATTGTATGTGAATTCCCAAGACTCTAGAGATGGACTCAAAATCAGAGACGGAGGGAATTATTATGACAAAGTCTTTACATTCCCATCTATTTGTTTATTTATTAAATGATTTCAGTGCTTATATTTATAAAAACAATAAAAAGGAAAATACTTGCTAGCAATGAGTAACATTGATATTTAGGTAAATAAACTAATAGGGAAAAAAACTCCCAAATGAATTTTAAATTAAGTCTTACTTATATGTCTAGTTTTATCAAAACCAATAATATATTTATGCTTTTGATAAATTTTGTACTAACAATAATTATAATGATAATACAAAACAATTTTTTTCAATAAGTTGTTTTATTTCTTTGGGGTTTTTCAACATGTTTATTATTTTAATTGACATAATTTTATATATTATGAGGAGCAGTGTAATGTTTTGATACATGTATATCATGTATAATGATCAAATCAGGGTAATTAGCATATCCATCCCCTCAAACAGGTATCAGTTCTTTGTGTTGAAAACATTCAAAATCTTCTCTTCAAGCTATTTGAAAATACAAAATAAATTATTGTTAGCTATGATCACCCTACAGTACTATGGAATACTAAATCTTATTCCTCCTGTCTTCCTGTAATTTTGTATCCCTTAACCAACTTCTCCTTATCTTCCCCTCTTTTCTACCCTTCTTAGCCTCTAATAACCTCTATTCTACTCTCTACTTTCATTAGATCAACGGTTTTAGCTTCCACATGTGAGTGAGAACACACAGTATTTATCTTTAATACAGAACAGTTTTATCCTTTAAAATTAATTTAGTTTGTATAATTTTTGTGGTAGAGAAGCATGAATAGGGTGATCAATGAAAGGCTTTTTAACATAAAATATATAAAATTAGGACAAAAATTCTGTGGAGAAAACAAATAGAGATATTAAAGAAAAATATTAAATATCTTCTATTTATAAAATAAATAGAAATATTAAAGAAAAAATGTACAACATAAATTTTTCAACTGTTAAAGAAGAATCTGTTATTATATTTTAAAGATGCATGAGGCAGATCTCAAGTTGCTATAGTATTTAGGGTCTGCTGGATACATTTAAGAGGCTGACGTGTTAAAAGAAAACTTTGGAAAATTAAACAGAGTTTAATTAAGCAAGAAAAAAAAATTCACAAATTGGGCAGCCTCCAGAATCACAGCAGATTCAAACAGATTCCTGGGAAGCCTTGTGGTCAGAATAAATTTATAGACAAAACAAGGAAAGTGATGTACAGAAATCGGAGGTGAGGTACAGAAACAGCTGGATTGGTTACAGGTTGGTGTTTGCATTATTTGAACAGAGTGTGAACACTCAGCAGTGTATGAGTGGTTGAAGTATGGCTGCTGGAATTGGCCAAGACTCAGCTATTGTTACAGGCACACACTCCTAATTTAGGTTTTCAATCTTGTCTACCTATTAAGTTAGGTTAGAAATGGTCTACAAAGACTCAAATATAGAAGTACAGAGCCCTTCTCAGGCCATATTTAGTTCGCTTTAATGGACGTAACAGTTTATTTCAAAATGTCAATATTCATAATATCCCAGAAATTGTATTCTTGCAATTATTTAAATATACGGTGACAAACTTTAGATGTCAACTTCAGTATGTCTCAACAGTTATTTAAGTGTTGCCTTGCTGGCTTTTGTTATGTTTTGCAGGTCCAAAGGTCTCACTTTTACCAGCTGCCAGAATAGTGCAGGCCCTGAGTTACTGACTCACACAAATGAAACAGCAGATGAGACTGAGATAGACGGGAGAATGCCAATTTATTATTTTCCAGTGAGAAACAGGACTGTGATGCCTACCTAAACTACTTATGTGTATGCATCCAGCACATTTCCCTTCTCAAAGCTTAAATAGGAAGCCAAATAAAAATCAGAACTAGAAAATTAGAGCTACTTGATTGCCCTTTGAATGTAAATTATAAGCCTACGTCATTAATCAGAGCAGACACAAGCAAAATCATCTGAAAGACATATGATGGGATATAGCAGGATGGTTGTTGGGTAAACCATGATTCATAAGATCATAAACTAACAGTTTAATGACATAAATCAAAGCTAGTGCTGTGCATTCATCTCCCAACAGAGATGATATTGATTATAGGGTTGAAAATACTGGAAGTCAAGTGGCTAAGGCACCTGTATCCATTGGTTGCTGCCAATCCTTACTTCAGGGACCAACTTTTCCCTATGCCTTTGTGGTTCATTCTTTCTTAAGATGCTAATACAGTCAGCCAGGTCACAGTATACTTATACTTTAAGGGCCCAAAATTCATTTTGTCTCCTCAGATAATTTTACATCTGTGTTCCTTGATTAGTGATGTGCTGATCCTACAACATAATCCTCAAAATACACTCAAATAGCTCTCATTTTCTAGTTCTTGAGGTGGGGTGTAGTTGAAAGGTAACTTATAGTCCCTTACTGACAATGTTGCTCGGAAAGAGCAACATTAGTCAAATAAGCAAGTACAGTTTATTTTCAGTTAGAATTAATAACTTAGTAATACATTGTTATGGGAGAAGTTTATAGGGTCATGATACCAGATGGAATACATAGTTACACGTTCACAACATGTAGGTGAAAGTTTAGTGTGTAGTGTAATAATCACTCAAAATACACAGAAATAATCAAGGAGAGAATAGCTGGTAAAACATAACTTGGAAAGAAAGTGACAGGAAATATATCTGACTGGATGGAGAAAAACTAGAAATAACCAAAAAGAGAAGATAGGAAAAATAAGCTTCTGTGAAGAAATGCAGCCAGAGGACATTAGCCAAGGAAAGAACTATACTGCATGATGATGACATAGGCAGAAAAGGATAGAGAGTGAATAACAAGAGTCATGAAACAGAAGATGAGACAAAGAATATTTGAATGGTAGTACAATTTTAAATGGGTTTCTAAATGAAATCCAAATCCTCTTCAGAAGAAAAATAGTGCAGAGCATGGGGCATAATCTGAGGAGAATAAGAATTCCAGACTGAGAGGATTTAGGATAGCTTTAGGATTCCGAGAAAAGAGGCAATGGGAACTTTCCTGACATAGAAAAACCAGGTTAAATACAAATAGGTTACAAAATTTTGTAGCAAGTTTTGGACTGGGGTAACTTCCTATCAGTCATTAGGCAAAAATAACAACTCAATTTTTGTTTGTTGTTGGATTATTAAAATTTTCTGTTGATTTTGCTCAACAGATAAAAAATTAGAATGGAAAGCATAGAAATGAGTGATTTTGATGTGTATAAATTTTTGAATAATGTATAGATTTTCTGAACAATATGCCTCAAAAAATGAAGCAGCCATCGAACCAGAAAAGCTAAGTTAGACATATGAATACAGGGAATTAGTTAATTCATCTGAACACAGAGAAAGCCAAGTTACTTTTGAATAGAAACTTTAATTATGTCTCAGAATAAAAGAATAAGTGCAATAAATGAGAGAAGGCCCTTGGCAAAGTGGACAAGCATATTGGTAGTAGGTCAAAGAGAGTACTTTAGGTACTTCAGGTCAAGAAGAGAAATTCTCCCTAGAGCCTGAACTTTGTAGGTATGAATATGTTCTGTGGAAAAATCACCTTTTACAATTTTCTCTGGAAATTAGGTAAGTAACAATTGTGCAGATGACATTGAGTGGATTCAAAATCTTAGGATTTTCCAGTAGCTGTGCTTCCAGGATTTTAAAAACATTGTGTATTACTTCTTAGAAGACATTTATAATTGTCCATGTAGGGACGTGAAGAATTGTCTGGTCAAGGCAATTGTTCAGTGGAAACAGCAAAGTGATGAGAATAATTATGGAAATAATTATGATGCTTTGGTGATCTTTAGCTAAGGGGTAGCAATTAAATCATTGCATTCTTACAAGTAGATACTAATTATTCTTATTTGATAAATGAGAAAAATAAGGTGCAGAGCTGTTAAGTCATTGCTCAAGGTCACATATCTAGTATGTGGCAAAGCTAGGATTCAAACCTAGTCAGTTTGAATGAAATGAGTAAGGATATATATGTTTGTGACTATTGATTAGAATTGCAGTAGTCCAATAATAGGAGCACTGACTTGAAGAATATGTGAATTCATATCTAGCCATGTAGTTAAATTAAAATGAATAATTTTAAAGTAAATTTATTGAGGTATAGCATATAGACAGAAAACACACAAATCATGCGTGTTGAGCTCTATGAGCACATTTGTGTGACCAGCAGCCAGATGAAGAAACAGAATATTCCTTGCATCCTTCATACTCCTTACCAGTGCCAAAACCCTCTACTAAGATTATCACCATTCTAGTTTCTAGCACACAAAAATTAGTTGTACCTGTTTTTGGACTTTATGTGCATGGAATCAGTTAGTATATATTACCTAGAGTCTGGCATTTTTTGCTCAACTTTATATTTGTAAGATTCATCTCTGTTGTTCTGTGTAGCAGTACTTCATGCATTCTCATTGATGAAAAAGAAATACGTTTAAAGTTTCTTCTTAAAAAAAATCACACAGTTAACCTCTTTCTTCTGAACTATACATGTTCTCCAAAATTGCAGGACAATTTAAGTAATCAGTAAATTAGATGAAGAGCATTGATATGATTTTGATCTCTGTCCCACCAAATCTCATGTTGAATTGTAATTCTCAATATTGGAGGTGAGGCCTGGTGGGAGGTGATTGGGTCACAGGGGCAGAGTTCTCATGAATGGTTCAGCACTATCCCCCTTGGTACTGTCCTTGCAATAGTGAGTGATTTCTTGTGAGATCTAGTCCTTTAAAAGTGTGTAGCATGCCCCCCTTTCTTGCTCTTGGCTCTTGCCATGTAAGACAACTGCTCCCTCTTTGCTTTCCACCATGATTGGAAGCTTCCTGAGGCCTTCCTAAAACCAGAAGCCATTATGCTTCCTGTATAGCTTGCAGAACCATGAGCCAATTAAACCTCTTTTCTTTATAAATTACCCAGTCTCAGGCATTTCTTTATAGCAATGTGAGAATGGCCTATACAAGCATAGCACTAAAAAGCCAGTTTTGAAATCAGTTAAATCCTAGTCAACCTGGAATTTAAACACAGCTTCTTCATAAACTGACTCTATAGTCTTCAACTATCAATTTAATGCCTCTGTGCTTCAGTTTCTTCAAATGAAAAAATGGTGATGGTATTATCTATATCTCAGGATTGTGTGAAGGTAGGATGAGATGCTATATGTAAAGCACCTGATACAGAGCCTAGACCATTGTAGGTTATCACTAAATTGGTAGTAGTTGTTGTTGTAATTATTATAGATAAGGCCCAAATGCTGAAGCCATTATCGAGGCTGACCAGTTTGATAGTAAAAACAATCTATTTTCAAAAATATATGTTGAGCTATTAGTATGTTATGTATAGATTGTGGAGTTTCTGCACTTTATATGTTCTATATGGCCAGAATTCTCTCATTTCTCTGAGGTGCTCAGAACTCCATGGGGGTCCATGAACATAAAAGAAAGTTCTCTGTGATAATTTCATCTTTGTGTCTTTTCATTGTGATAGTAATAGAATATAAACTAATTTTTTAAAAATCAAATTTTGGATCATCTGATTGACCTACTCACTCTGTAAATGAAAAGAAAGAGAAAGAGAGTAAAGTGGAGGAAAGAGAAGAGAAAGCCCAGGACTGAGTTCTGGGACACTATAAAAGGTCTGGAAGAGGAGGAGCATATAGCAGAGACTGAGTAGTGAAGGCGGCAGAAGACAATCAGGAAAGTATGACAACACAGAAAGCAAGGGAGGAGAGAGCTGAAGAAGGAGGGAGTGGACCACTGTAACAAATGCTTTTAAAGGTTTAAGATGAAGGAAGAAGGTCATCAGTATGTTTGGCAACACAAAGGTCATCAAAGACCTTGCCAAGAGTGGTTAGAGTGAACTGGTTGGGAAGGAGGCCAGACTGGACTGGACTGAAGAGACAAAAAGTGGTAATGAAGTGGATCATGTAGTAGAAACAACTGTCTAAAATTAAATAAAGAGTAGCAGGTAGAATAGAAAAATCCTGGACTTTTTTTGGTTGGTAGGCTATTAATTATTGCCTCAATTTCAGAGACTGTTATTGGTCTATTCAGGGACTCAACTTCTTCCTGGTTTAGTCTCGGGAGGGTGTATGTGTCCAGGAATTTATCCATTTCTTCTAGATTTTCTAGTTTATTTGCATAGAGGTATTGATAGTATTCTCTGATGGTAGTTTGTATTTCTGTGGGATCGTTGGTGATATCCCCTTTATCACTTTTTATTGTGTCTATTTGATTCTTCTCTTTTTTCTTCTTTATTAATCTTGCTAGCAGTCTATCAATTTTGTTAATCTTTTCAGAAAAGCAGCTCCTGGATTCATTGATTTCTTGAAGGGTTTTTTGTGTCTCTATCTCTTTCAGTTCTGTTCTGATCTTAGTTATTTCTTGCCTTCTGCTAGCTTTTGAATGTGTTTGCTCTTGCTTCTCTAGTTCTTTTAATTGTGATGTTAGGGTGTCAATTTTAGATCTTTCCTGCTTTCTCTTGTGGGCATTTAGTGCTACAAATTTCCCTCTACACACTGCTTTAAATGTGTCCCTGAGATTCTGGTATGTTGTGTCTTTGTTCTCATTGATTTCAAAGAACATCTTTATTTCTGCCATCATTTTGTTATTTACTCAGTAGTCATTCAGGAGCAGGTTGTTCAGCTTCAATGTAGTTGTGTGGTTTTGAGTGAGTTTCTTAATCCTAAGTTCTACTTTGATTGCACTGTGGTCGGAGACACAGTTTGTTGTGATTTCTGTTCTTTTAGATTTGCTGAGGAGTGCTTTAGTTCCAATTATGTGGTCAGTTTTAGAATAAGTGTGATGTGGTGCTGAGAAGATGTATGTTCTGTTGATTTGGGGTGGAGAGTTCTGTAGATGTCTATTAGGTCCGCTTGGTTCAGAGCTGAGTTCAAGTCCTGGATATCCTTGTTAACCTTCTGTCTTGTTGATCTGTCTAATATTGACAGTGGGGTGTTAAAGTCTTTCATTATTATTGTGTGGGAGTTTAAGTTTCTTTGTAGGTCACTAAGGACTTGCTTTATGAGTCTGGGTGCTCCTGTATTGGGTGCATATATATTTAGGATAGTTAGCTCTTCTTGTTGAATTGATCCCTTTACCATTATGTAATGGCCCTCTTTGTCTCTTATGATCTTTGTTGGTTTAGTCTGTTTTATCAGAGACTAGGATTGCAACCCCTGCCTTTTTTTTTTTTTTCCATTTGCTTGGTACTTCTTCCTCCATCCCTTTATTTTGAGCCCATGTGTGTCTGTGCACATGATATGGGTCTCCTGAATACAGCACACTGATGGGTCTTGACTCTTTATCCAATTTTCCAGTCTGTGTCTTTTAATTGGGGCATTTAGCCCATTTACATTTAAGGTAAATATTGTTGTGTGTGAATTTGCTCCTGTCATTATGATGTTCCCTGCGTATTTTGCCCATTAATTGATGCAGTTTCTTCATAGCATCAATGGTCTTTACAATTTGGCATGTTTTTGCAGTGGCTGGTATGGGTTGTTTCTTTCCATGTTTAGTGCTTCCTTCAGGAGCTCTTGTAAGGCAGGCCTGATAATGACAAAATCTCTCAGCATTTGCTTGTCTGTAAAGGATTTTATTTCTCCTTCACTTATGAGGGTTAGTTTGTCTGGATATGAAATTCTGGGTTGAAAATTCTTTTCTTTAGGAATATTGAATATTGGCCCACACTCTCTTCTGGCTTGTAGAGTTTCTGATGAAAGATCTGCTGTTTTTCTGATGGGCTTCCCTTTGTGGGTAACTCAGCCTTTCTCTCTGGCTACCCTTAACATTTTTTTCCTCCATTTCAACCTTGGTGAATATGACAATTATGTGTCTTGGGGTTGCTCTTCTCGAGGAGTATCTTTGTGATGTTCTCTGTATTTCCTGAATTTGAATGTTGGCCTGCCTTGCTAGGTTGGGGAAGTTCTCCTGGTCCTAAAGAGTGTTTTCCAACTTGGTTCCATTCTCCCCACCCCTTTCAGGTACACCAATCAAATGTAGATTTGGTCTTTTCACATAGTCCCATATTTCTTGGAGGATTAGTTCATTTCGTTTTACTCTTTTTTTCTCTAACCTTGTCTTCTCGCTTTATTCCATTAATTTGATCTTCAATCACTGATACCCTGTCTTCCACTTGATCGAATCGGCTGTTGAAGCTTATGCATGCGTCATGAAGTTATCATGCCATTGTTTTCAGCTCCATCAGGTCACTTATGGTCTTCTCTACAGTGTTTATTCTAGTTTGGCATTTATTTAACATTTTTTTCAATGTTTTTAGCTTCCTCCCGATGGGTTGAAACATGCTTCTTTGGCTTATAGAAGTTCGTTATTATCAACCTTCTGAAGCCTACTTCTGTCAACTTGTCAAAGTCATTCTCCATCCAGTTTTGTTCCATTGCTGGTGAGGAGCTGCAATCCTTTGGAGGAGAAGAGGTGCTCTGATTTTTAGAATTTTCAGCTTTTCTGCTCTGATTTCTCCCCATTTTGTGGTTATATCTACCTTTGTTGTTTGATGTTGGTGACCTACAGATGGGGTGTAGATGTCCTTTTTGTTGATGTTGATGCTATTCCTTTCTGTTTGTTAGTTTTCCTTCTAATAGTCAGGTCCCTCATTTGCAGGTCTTTTGGAGTTTGCTGGAGTTCCACTCCAGACCCTGTTTTCCTGGGTATCACTAACAGAGGCTGCAGAAGAGCAAATATTGCAGAACAGCAAATATTGCTGCCTGATCCTTCCTCTGAAAGCTTCTTCCCAGAGGGACACCTGCCTATATGAGGTGTCTGTCAGCCCCTACTGGGAGGTTTCTCTCAGTTAGGCTACAAGGGGGTCAGGGACCCAGTTGAGGAGGCAGTCTGTCCATTCTCAGATCTCAAATGCCATGCTGGGAGAACCACTGCTCTCCTCAGAGCTGTCAGACAGGGATGTTTAAGTCTGCAGAAGTTGTCTGCTGCCTTTTGTTCAGCTATGCCCTGCCCATAGAGGTGGAGTCTAGAGGCAGTAGGCCTTGCTGAGCTGTGGTGGGCTCCGCCCTGTTCGAACTTCCCAGCCACTTTGTTTACCTACTCAAGCCTCAGCAATGGTGGATGCTCCTTGCCTAGCCAGGCTTCTGCCTCACAGTTCGATCTCAGACTGCTGTGCTAGCGGTGAGCAAGTCTCCATGGGCATGGGACCCACCAAGCCAGGCACACAAGAGAATCTCCTTCTCTGCTAGTTGCTAAGACCTTGAGGAAAGTGCAGTATTTGGGCGGGAGTGTCCCGTTTTTCCAGGTACACTCTGTTATGACTTCCCTTGGCTAGGAAAGGGAAGTCCCCTAATCCTTTGCACTTTCCTGGTGAGGTGATGGCCTGCCCTGCTTCAGCTCACCCTCCATAGGCTGCATCCACTGTCCAACCAGTCCCAGTGAGATGAATCAGGTACCTCAGTTGGAAATGCAGAAATCACCCTTCTTCAGCGTTGATCACACTGGGAGCTGCAGACTGGAGCTGTTCCTATTCAGCCATCTTCAGTACTCCACTGTTTATGTGTACCACCTCTTCTTTATCCATTTATCTGTTAATGGAAACTTAGGTTGCTTCCAAATATTAACTATTGTTAACAGTGCTGCAACAAACATGGGAGTGCAGCTATCTCTTTGATATACTGATATCCATTCTTTGGGGTATATACCCAGCAGTGGGATTGCTTGATCATATGGTAGCTCATTTTTTTTTTTTTTTGAGGAATCTCCAAACTGTTCTCCATAGTGGTTCTACTAATTTACATTCCCACCAACAGTGTACAAGGGTTTCTGAAATGGTTTAGCGGTGCCCCAGTCAAATCTCATCTTCTACTGTAGTTCCCATAATCCCCATGTGCCAGGGGCATGATGCAGTGGGAGGTAATTGAATCATGGGGCCAGTTACCTCCATGCTGTTCTCATGATAGTGAGTGAGTTCTCACAATATCTGATAGTTTTATAAGGGGCTTTTGCCACTTTTGCTCATTCTTCTCCTTTCTGCCACTATGTCAAGAAGGTCATGTTTGCTTCCACTTCCTCCGTGATTGTAAGTTTCCTGAGGCCTCCTCAGCCATGCTGAACTGTGAGTCAATTAAAGTTCTTTTTTTAATAAATTACCCAGTCTCAGGAATGTCTTTATTAGCAGTGCGAGAACAGACTAATGGAGTAAATTGATACCACATAGAGTGGGGTGCTGCTGTAAAGATACCTCAAAATGTGGAAGTGACTTTGGAACTGGGTAACAGGCAGAGGTTTGAACAGTTTGGATGGAAGGCTCAGAAAAAGACAGGAAGATGTGGGAAAGCTTGGGACTTCCAAGTTGAATGGCTTTGACCAAAATGCTGACAGTAATATTGACAAGGAAATCGAGGCTGATGTGGTTGCAGATGGAGATGAGAAACTTGTTGGGAACTGGAATAAAAGTGACTCTTGCTATGTTTTAGCAAAGAGGTTGGCAGTATTTAGCTCCTGTCCCAGGGATCTATGGAACTTTGGACTTAAGGGAGATGATTTAGGGTATCTGGCAGAAGTAATTTCCAAGCAGCAAACCATTCAAGAGGTGGCTTGGGTGTTGTTAAAAGCATTCATCTTTATGTATTCACAAAGATATGGTTTGGAATTGGAACTTATGTTTAAAAGGGAAGCAGAGCATTAAAGTTGAAAAATTTACAGCCCGATGATGTGTTAGAAAAGAAAACTCATTTTCTAAGAAGAAATTCAAGCCAGATGCAGAAATTTGCATGAGTAACAAACAGCCAAATGTTAATCACCAAGACAATGGGGAAAATGCCTCCAGGGCATGTCAGAGACCTTTGCAGCAGCTCCTCCTGCATTACAGGCCCAGAAGCCTAGGAGGCAAAAATAGTTCTGTGGGCTCGGCCCAGGGCACCCTGTTATGTGCAGCCTCCTTGGAACATGGTGCCTTGCATCCCAGCCACTCCAGAGGTGGCTAAAATGGGCCAAGGTACAGCTTGGGCCATGGCTTCAGAGAATGCAAGCCCCAAGACTTGGTAGCTTACATGTGGTGTTGGGCCTGCAGGTGTGCAGATGATAAGAAATGAGTTTTGGAAACCTCCACATAGATTTCAGAGGATGTATGGAAATGTCTAGATGTCCAGGCAGAAGTATGCTGCAGGGTGGAGCCCTCATGGAGAACCTGTGTTAGGGCAGTGCAGAAGGAAAATGTGGGGTCGGAGCCCGCACATACAGTCTTCACTGGGGCACTGCTTACTGCAGCTGTAAGAAGAGGGCCACCTTCCTCTAGTCCCCAGGATGGTAGATCCTATGACAGCTTGCCCCATGCACCTGGAAAAGCCACAGACACGCAATGCCAGACCATGAAGGAAGCTGAGAAGGGCTATACCCTGCATAGCCACAGATGTGGAGCTGCCCAAGGCCATGGGAGCCCACCTCTTGCATCAGTGTGACCTAGATGTGAGAACGTAGAGTCAAAGGATATCATTTTGGAGCTTTAGGATTTGACTGCCCCACTGGATTTTGGACTTGCATGAGGCCTGTAGCCCCTTCATTTTGGCCAATTTCTCCCATTTGGAATGGGTATATTTACCAAATGCTTGTACCCTCATTGTGTCTAGGAGGTAAGTAACTTGCTTTTGATTTTACAGGCTCAAAGGTGGAAGGGACTTGCCTTGTCTCAAATGAGATGTTAGAATGAGTTAAGACTGAGGGACTGTTGGAAAGGCATGAGATTTTAGAGGGGCTGGGCTTAAATAATATGCTTTGGCTGTTTCTCCATCCAAATATCATCTTCTATTGTAGTTCCTATAACTCTCACATGTCATGGGAGGGACTAAATGGGAGGTAATTGAATCATGGGGACGTTTACCTCCATGCTATTCTCATGACAGTAAGTTAGTTCTCATAAGATCTGATGGTTTTATAAGGGAATATTCCCCCTTTTGCTCATTTTTCTCCTTCTTTCTGCCATGTAAAGAAGGACATGTTTACTTCAGCTTCCACCATGATTGTAAGTTTCCCTGAGGCCTCCTCAGCCATAATGAATTGTGAATCAATTAAGCCTCTTTTCTTTATAAATTACACAATCTCGGTTATGTCTTTAGTGGCATTGTGAGAACGGGCTACAGTTTCATTTTTTCCACCTTCCAACCACCATTTGTTGTTGCCTGTCTTTTGGATATAAGCCATTTTAACTGAGGTGAAATATCTCACTGTAGTTTTGATTTGCATTTTTCTAATTACCAATGATGTTGAGCACCTTTTCATATGCCTTTTTGCCATTGTATGTCTTTTCTGAGAAATGTTTATTCAAATATTTTGCCATTTTTGTATTAGATTATTATTTTTCTCCTATAGAGTTGCTTAAGCTCCTTATATATTCTGCTTATTAATCCTTTGTCAAATGGGTCATTTGCAAATATTTTCTCCCATTCTGGGGTTGTCTATTCACTTTGTTGACTTTATCTTTTGCCATGCAGAAGCTTTTTAACTTGATGCAATCCCACTGGTCCATTTTTGCTTTAGTTACCTATGCTTGTGGGGTATCGCTCAAGAAATGTTTCCCCAAACTAGTGTCCTGGAGATTTTCCCCAAAGTTTTCTTGTAATAGTTTCATAGTTTGCGGTCTTAGATTTAAATATTTAATCAACTTTGACTTCATTTTTGTATATGGTGAGAGACATGTGTCTAGATAGATTCATTCTTCTGCATATGGATATCCAGTTTTCCTAGGACCATTTAATAAAGCAAGTGTCATTTCCCCAGTGTATGTTCTTTGCACTTTTTTTGAAAATGAGTTCACTGTAGGTGTGTGCACTTGTTTCTGAGTTCTTTATTCTGTTCCATTGGTCTATGTGACTGATTTTATATCAGTACTATACCGTTTTAGTTACTGTAGCTCTGTAGTATAATTTGAAGTCAGGTAATGTGATTCCTCCAGTTTTGTTCTTTTTTTCTTAGAATGGCTTTAACTATTCTGGGTCTTTTGTGGTTTTATAAAAATTTAATGATTTTTTCTCTATTTCTGTGAAGAATGTCATTGGTATTTTGATAGGGATTGCATTAAATCTGCATTCCTTTGGGTAGTATGGACATTTTCACAATATTGATTATTCCAATCCATGATCATGGAATCTTTGTCCATTTTTTGATATGCTCTTCAAATTCCTTCATCAGTGTTTTATAGTTTTCATTATGAAATCTTTCACTTCTTTGGTTAATTCCTAGGTATTTAATTTTATGTGTACCTATTGCAAATAAGATTACTTTTTCATTTCTCATTTCAAATTGTTCACTGTTTGTATATAGATATCCTATTAATTTTTGTATGTTGATTTTGTATCCTGAAAATTTTTTTATCAGTTCTAATACTTTTTTGTGAAGGAGTCCAGGTTTTTCCAAATATAAGATTATATCATCTGCAAAGAAGGATAATTTGACTTCTTCCATTCCAATTTGGATGTCCTTTATATACTTCTCTTGTCTGATTGGTCTAACTAGGTCTTCCAGTACTATGTTGAATAACAGTGGTGACAGTGGACATCCTTATTGTTTTCCTGATATTAGAGGAGTAGCTTTTTAGTTTTTTAAAGAAGTAGCTGTGAGTCTGTCATATACGGCTTTTATTATGTTAAGGTGTGTTTCTTGTATCCCCAACCAGTTTTTTGAGGTTTTTTTTTTTTTATCATGAAGGGATGTTTAATTTTATCAAATGCTTTTTCAGCATCAATTGAAATGATCACATATGGTTTTTACTCTTTATTCTGTTGTTATATCACATTGATTGATTTGTGTATTTTCAACTGTTTTGCATCTCAGAGATAAATCACACTTTATCGTAATGAATTCTTTTTTGAATGTATTTTTGAATTCCATTTGCTAGTGTTTTGTTGATAATTTTTGCTTCAATATTCATCAGAGATATTGGCCTGTATTTTTCTTTTTTGTGTGTTTGTCTTGGTCTGGTTTTGCTATCAGGATAATGCTGGCCTTGTAAAATAAGTTTGGATGTATTCATTTCTTTATTTTCAAGAAGAGTTTGAGTAAAATTGGCATTACTTCTTTAAGTGTTTGGTAGAATTCATCAGTGAATCCATCAGATCCCAGGCTTTTCTTTACTGTAAGTCTTTTTGTTATTGTTTCAATCTTATTACTTGATATCCCTTTACTCAGGTTTTGGAGTTCTCTCTTGTTCAATCTCAGTAGGCTGCATATATCTATGAATTTGTCCATTTCTTCTAGATTTTCCAATTTATTGGCATGTAGTTGCTCATAGCAGGCACTAATGATCCTTTGAATTTCTGCAGCATGAGGTGTAACATCTTTTGTATTGCAGATTTTATTTATTTGTTACTTCTCTATTTTATCTTAGTCTGGCTAAAGGTTTGTCAATTTTATTTAACTTTTCAAAACAACTTTTTGTTATATTGATCTTTTGGGTTTTTTCATTTTAATTTCATTTATTTCTGCTCTGATCTTTATTATTTCTCTTTTTTCTACTAATTTTGGATTTGGTTTGCTCTTGCTTTTCTAGTTAAGATGCATCATTAGATTGTTTATTTAAAGTTTTTTCTCTTTTTTTTTTTTGATGTAGGCACTTACAGCTATTGATATAAACTTCCCTCTTAGTACTACTTTTAGTACTACTTTTGCTGTATTCCATAGGTTTTGGTATATCATTTGTTTCAATACATTTTTCAATTTCTTTCTGAATTTCTTCATTGACTCACTGGTCTTTCAAGAGCATATTGTTTAAATCACATGTATTTATACAGTTTCCAAAATTCCTCCTGTTATTAATTTCTATTTTTATTCCATTGTGGTCAGAGAAGTTTCTTGATATTATTTTAATTTTTTTGAATGTTTTAATATCTGTTTTGTGACTTAACATATGGTCTATCCTTCAAAATGATCTATGTACTGAGGAAAAGAATGTGTATTCTGCAGCTCTTGAATGAAATATTCTGTACATATCTACTAGATCCATTTGTTCCATAGTGCAGATTAAATCTAATGTTTGTTGATTTTCTGTCTGGAAGTTCTGTCCAATGCTGAAAATGGGATGTTGAAGTCTCCAGCTATTATTGTATTAGCACCTATCTCTCTTTAGCTCTAATAATATTTTTTTATATATCTGGGTGCTCCAGTTTTGGGTGCATATACATAGTTATTGTTATATCTTCTTGCTGAATTGACCTGCTTATCATAATATAGTGATGTTCTTTGTCTTTTTTTATAGTTTTTGTCCCGTAATCTATTTTTTCTAAGTATAGAAACTCCTGCTTTTTTGTGGTTTCCATTGGCATGGAATATCTTTTTCCATCCCTTTATTTTTAGTCTGTGTGTGTCTTTATAGGTGAAGTGAGTTTCTTGTATGCAACAGATCAATTAATCTTGTTTTTCCATTCATCCAGCCAGTCTATGTCTTTGATTGGAGAGTTTAGTCCATTTACATTCAATGTTATTATTGATAAGTGGGACTTACTTCTGCCATTTTCTTAATTGTTTTCCATTTCCCTTGTGGTCTTCTCTTCCTATTTTCTTTTCTTCCTGTCTTCCTGTAGTGAAGTTTATTTTCTCTGGTGATATAATTTAGTTTATTGCTTTTGGTTTTTGTGTATCCACTGTACGTTTTTTTGATTTGAGATTATCATGAGGCTTGCAAGTAATATCTTATAACCCATTATTTTAACCTGATTATAACAACACTATTTGCATAAACAAACAAGTAAAAATAAAGCTAATAAAAATAGTACACCCTAACTTTATCCCCCCACTTTTTAACTTTTTGTTTATATTTATATTTTATTTTAATGACTATGTCTTGAAAAGTTGTAGTTATCATTTTTGATTGGTTTATCATTTAGTCTTTCTACTTAGGATAACAGTAGATTGCACACCACAGTTACAGTGTTATAATAGTCTGTGTTTTTCTGTGTGCTTACTATTAGCAGTAAGTGTTGTACCTTCAGGTAATTTTTTTAATTGTTCATTAATGTCCTCTTCTTTCTCATTGAAGTACTTCCTTTAGCATTTCTTGCAGGACAGGTCTAATATTGATGAAATCCCTCAGCTTGTGTTTGTCTGGGAAATTATGTATTCTTCATGATTGAAGGGTATTTACTTCAGATATACTATTCTAGGGTAATTTTTTCCCCCTTTCAGTACTTTCTTTTCTTTTTTTAGTATACTTTAAGTTTTAGGGTACATGTGCACAACGTGCAGGTTAGTTACATATGTATACATGTGCCATGCTGGTGGGCTGCACCCATCAACTCATCATTTAACATTAGGTATATCACCTAATGCTATCCCTCCCACCTTCCCTCACCCCCAACAGGCCCCGGTGTGTGATGTTCCCCTTCCTGTGTCCCTGTGTTCTCATTATTCAATTCCCACCTATGAGTGAGAACATGCGGTGTTTGGTTTTTTGTCCTTGCAATAGTTTGCTGAGAATGATGGTTTCCAGCTTCATCTATGTCCCTACAAAGGACATGAACTCATCATTTTTTATGGCTGCATAGTATTCCATGCTGTATATGTGCCACATTTTCTTAATCCAGTCTATCATTATTGGACATTTGGCTTGGTTCCAAGTCTTTGCTATTGTGAATAGTGCCGCAATAAACATATGTGTGCATGTGTCTTTATAGCAGCATGATTTATAATCCTTTGGGTATATACCCAGTAATGGGATTGCTGGGTCAAATGGTTCAATATGACATGCCACTCTCTCCTAGCCTGTATGGTTTCTGCTGAAAAGTCTGCTGCCAGAGATATTGGAGTTCCATTGTATATTGTTTGTTTCTTTCATCTTGCTGCTTTTAGGATCCCTTCTTTATTTTTGACTTTTGCAAGTTTGATTATTAAATGCCTTGAGGTAGTCTTTTTTGGGTTAAATCTGATTGGTGTTTTATAACCTTCTTGTACACGCATATTGATATCTAACCCTGTGTTTGGGAAGTTCATGGTTATTATTTCTTTGAATAAAGCTTCTACTTCTATCTCTTTCTCTACTTCCTCTTTAAAGGCCAATAACAGATTTTCACTTTTGAGGCTAATTTCTAGATCCTATAGGCATGCTTCATTGTTTATTCCTTTTCTTGTCTTCTCTATGTATTTTCAAATAACCTATCTTCCAGATCACTAATTATTTATTCTGTTTGATCAATATTGCTATTACAGGACTCTGATGCATTCTTCAGTATGCCAATTTGCATGTTTTCAGCTCCAGAATTTCTGCTTGATTCTTTTTAATCATTTTAGTCTCTTTGTTAAATTTATCTGAGAGAATTTTGAATTCCTTCTTTTTGTTATCTTAAATTTCTTTGAGTTTCTTCCAAACAGCTATTTTGTTTTGTTTTGTTTTGTTTTGTTTTGTTTTGTTTTGTTTTGTTTTTGAGATGGAGTCTTGCTCTGACACCAGGCTGGAGTGCAGTGGTGCAATCTTGGCTCACTGCAACCTCTGCCGCCCAGGTTCAAGTGACTCCCCTGCCTCAGCCTCCTGAGTAGCTGGGACTAGAGGTGCATGCCACCATTCCCAGCTAATGTTTTGTATTGTAGCAGAGACGGGGTTTCACCATGTTGGCCAGGGTGGTCTTGATCTTCTGACCTTTTTATCCGCCCACCTCAGCCTCCCAAAGTGCACACAGCTATTTTGAATTCTCTATCTGAAAATTCACATAGCTCTGTTTCCCCTGGATTTATCCCCAGTGACTTATTTAGTTTATTTTGTCAGGTCATGTTTTTTTGTATGGTGTTGATGCTAATAGATGTTCTTCAGTCTCTAGGCATTGAAGAGTTAGTTATTTATTATAGTCTTCACTGTCTGAGCTTATTTGTAGCTGCTCTTCTTGGGTAGGCTTTACAGATATTCGAAAGGACTTGGGTGTTATGATCTAAGCTGTATCTGCTTTAGAGGGCAACCCATGACCAGTAATACTGTGGTTTTTGCAGACTCATAGAAGTACTACCTTAATGGTCTTGGATAAGATCCGGGAGAATTATCTGGATTATCAGGCAGAGACTCTTTTTTCTATGCTTACTTACTCCCAAACAAACAGAATCTCTCTCCTTTTTTCTGAGCCACATAAAGCTGGGAGTGGATTGACACAAGCACCCTTGTGACCACTTCCACTATGACTGCACTGGATCAGACTTGAAGCCAGCACAGCGCTGGTCTCACCCAAAACCTGTTGTAAGCAATTTCTGGCTACTGTCTATGTGTGCTCAAGGCACTGGGGCGCTGCAATCAGCAGAGCCAGCCAGGGCTGTGTTCATCCCTTTGGGGTGGTGAGGTTCCCCAGGCCCTGCATGGGTCCAGTGGTGCCACCAGGGAGTCAGCGACTAGAGTCGAAACCTTAGAAGTCTATCTTAGTGCTCTGTTTTATTGCTGCTGAGCTGGCGCTGAAACCACAAGATGCAGGCCTTCCCACTCTTTCCTCCTTTTTCCAAAGGCAGAGGAGCCTCACCTCATAGCCACCACCATCCCAGGCCACTAACAGTACTTCCAGACTACCACTGATGTGCCCTTAAGTCCCAATGGTGCCTGGCCTGGGACTCACCTTTCAGGCCAGTGGGATCCCCTCAGGCCCAGGACAGGTCCAAAAATGCCATCCAAGAGTCAAGTCCTAGAACTGGGGACCCTAAGAGCCCACTTGATGCTCTGTTCCCGTTTCCATGCTGGTACATAAGGTACAAGACAAAGTCCCCTTTACTTTTCACTCTGCTTTCCTCAAACAGAAGGAATTTTGCCCCATAGCCACCACAACTGGTAATGATCTGTGTCTCACTTGAAGCCAGCAAGTCTCAGTGGCTTACCCAAGGTCCTTGATGTAGTACCTGGGTATGACTGCTAGTTATTCAGGGTCCAAGGGCTCTTCAGTTAGCAAGTGATGAATGCTGCCAGGACTGGGTCTGTCCTTTTCTTCAAGGCAGTGGGTCTTTTCTGGCCCTGGGTTTGTCTAGAAATGTCATCTGGGAGCTAGGGCTCAGAATTGGGGCCTCACAACTTTGACTGGTACCCTATCCTGCTTTGGCTGAACTGGTATCCTACATGCAAGGCAAAGTCCTCCCCACTCTTCCCTCTCCTCACGTCAAGCAGAAGGAAAGGCCTCTTTTGGAACTGTGAGTTGTGCAGCTTGGGGTTAAGCAAGGGGTGATTCCAGCTCTCTTTTGGCTACCCCAGCTGGTGTCTCAGTATGTCATGTGTGCTGCCCCCCGCACCACCCCCACTGCAAGTCCACTCTCTCTGGGCCTAGTTCAACAGTAGGACTTGCCTAAGAGCTTCAGTCCTTATGGTCTAGACTGCCTTCCAAGTTTATTTGGAGACACAGAAAGCTGTAATCCTCATTAGTGATGTTTTCAGGCACTCAAGTTTAGACCATTTGGATTGCCAATTCCCCTGTTGCTTGAGCTGGTTCAGATGCTCCCTCCATGAGCAAGCATCAGCTGAATTTGGTCAAATTTTCCTTTCTGCTCTAACAGGCCAGCACTGACTTAAATGCCTCACAATTGCAGTGTTTGTTGTCTCCCAATACCCAGAGATGCTCTCCGCACCAGGCCACTGCTGCGGATGGTGGGGCAGGGGGCCATGGGGGAGTGGTGTCTGGGATTGAGAACTGTTTTTTCTATCTCTTCAGTGTCTCTTTCTGTGATATGAAATTAAATCCAGGTACTATGACTGCTCAGCTAATTTTGGGTTCTTATGAAGTGTTTGTTTGCTTTTTTCTGTGTAGATAGTTCTTAACTTGGTGTCCTTGCATAGGGTGGGGGCCAAAATCTGGAGCCTTCTATTATCCCATCTTGCTCTGCCTCCTAATAACCTCTATTCTACTCTCCAGCGCCATGAATTTTTTTTTTTTTAGCTTCCGCATATGAGTGAGAACGTATGATACTTATCTTCCTGTGCCTGACTTATTTCACTTAATATAATGTCCCCTGGGCTGATCCATGTTGCCATAAATTACAGGATTTCATTCTTTGTTATTAGTGAGTGGCCTTCTATTGTATTACATATATAGTTATATATATAATGTTTTATATATATAATATACAATGTATTATATATATAGGTTTTTTCTTCACTCTTTTGTGTCCTTTGCTGTGCAGAAGCTTTTAGTTTGACATAGTCCCATTTGTCTATTTTTTGTTTTTGTTGCCTGTGCTTTTGAAGTTGTACTCATAACATCTTTGTCAAAGCAACATCCTAAATCATTGCTCCTATTTTTTTTCTTCTAGTAGTTTTATAGTTTCAGGTCTTACATTTAGGACTTTAATCCATTTTGAGTTGATTTTTTTTTGTATATGGTAAGAAATAGGGGTCTAGTTTTATTCTTCTTCATAGGGATATGCAGTTTTCCTGGCACTACATATCTAAAAGGTGTCATTTCTTCAATGTATGTTTTTGGTGCCTTTGTTGACAATCAGTTGGCTATAAGTATGTACATTTATTTCTGTGTTTTGTATTCTTTTCTATTGATCTATATGTCTGTTTTTATACCAATACCAAGCTCTTTCAGTTATTATGTTTTTGTAGTATATTTTTAAGTCAGGTGATGTGATGCCTTCAGTTTTATTCTCTTTGATCGAGATTGCTTTGACTATTTGGGGTCTTTTGCAGTTCTATACAAAGTTTTGGATTTTTTTTTATTTCTGTGAAGGAAGTCATTGGTATTTTGATGGGGATTGAATTGAATCTGTAGATTTCTTTCTGCAGTAAATTCATTTTAACAATAATAATTATTCCAATCCATGAACATGAGATATCTTTCCATTTGTATGTGTCCTCTTTAATTTCTTTCATCAGTGTTTGATAGTTTTCATTGTAGAGCTCTTTCACTTCCTTGGTTAGATTTTTTTCCTAGGTATTTTTTTGGTAATTGCTATAAATGGGATTGTTTTCTTGATTTCTTTTTAGTTAGTTTGTCACTGGTGTATAGAAACACTATTGATTATTGTCTGTTAACTTGGTATCCTGCAACCAGTGGACTCTTTAGATTTGTCTGTGTATAAGATTATGTTGACTGCAAAAAAGGACAGTTTAACTTCCTCTTTTCCAACTTGGATCTACTTTATTTCTTTCTCTGGCCTAATTGCTCTGGCTAGGACTTCCAATACTATATTGAATAAGAGTGGTGAACATGGCAGAGCCCACATCATTAATTAACCATGCTATGTTATCTTTCTTTGGCTAATGCTGGGCTCATATTTCTCCATAAAAACATATGGCTATAGATGGGTAAATGTCTGTTGCTTTGAATGAGTTGTGCCCTCTAGTTTGTGTCAGCTTCTCTAGCATTCCCTTTCATAGTGTTATCACCTTTCTCATTTAAATTATCTGTTCGGCCCCTGAAGTCATTAGAATGTGCAACTTCTGATATACAGGGAGAGGGAAGCTGAATACCACCTTTTGTTGTATCAAGACTTCTTTACAAGAGAGATTTTTTATGACTTTGGGACTCCTTCAACACGACAGCTTTTGGCTTCAAGGGCTACACTATCTGGCTGCTAATTCATTTACCCAAAGGACTTGGCACATTTTAGTAGCTTAAGAATTATTTATCTGCCTATCTATTTTTTTTAAAGACAGAGTCTCGCTCTGTTTTTCAGGCTAAAGTGCAGTAGCATGGTCATAGCTCACTGCAGCCTCAAATTTGTGGGCAGAAACAATTCTCATGCCTCAGCCAGCCAAGTATCTGAGACTACAGGCACATCCCAATACCATCATGCCTGTATAATTTTTATTTATTTTTATTTTTATTTTTTGTAGAAATAGGGTCTCGCTATGTTGCCCAGGCTGTTCTCAAACTTCTGGCTTAAAATTATCCTCCCACCTCAGCCTCCCAATGCACTAGGATTAGAGGCATGAGCCCCCAAGCCTGGCCAATAACTATTTATTGAATGAATACAATAATAAATGCATGAGGAAATGGAGCTGTTGTGAGAATTCAAGAATTAGATTGTAAGCAGATTAGATAAACTCTAAGATTTCTGTTGCTCTAAAATTCTGATTTAATGATGTAAAGGAATATAAAGCCATAAATATATCATATGCTTTCAAATTGAATATAATTGCACAATTGAGATTTTAAATCTAAAAGGAAACTTAGAATATCTAGTCACTCTACATCCTACCTTCATTAATTTACAGAGTAGTAGATTGGAGATCCAGAGATCTTTTATGTTTTGTTGCTTCCTCTCAAAATTTTAGGGTTAAATGGGCAGCACCTTTCGTCTTTGCTTTAGTCTTCAAAGCATACACATCAGTTTTCTATTGCTGCTGTAACAAATGGCCACAATGTTAGCATCTTCCAGAAACACAATTTATTATTGCAACGTTTCTGTAGGTCAGAAATTTGGGCACATTGTGGCTTGTCTTCTTTCTCTGTTACAGGTCTCACAGGGCAAAATCAAGCTGTTGGCTGGACTGGGCTCTCATCTGTAGAATCTTAAGGAGAATACTCTTCCAAACTCATTTAGGAAGTTGGTCTAATTCAATTTTATGTAGTCCCCATTTTCTTACTGTATGTTGGCTGAGCATTGTTCTCATCTCCTAGAGGTTGCCCACATTTTTTTTCATCTTCAAAGCCAGAAACAGCAAATTGAGTCCTTCTCCATTCACATCTATCCGAACTCCCCTTCTGCCTTGTCTCTCCTGCCTCTCTTTTCCAAATATTTCTGATAAACTGTCTGGCTTCCTTTTCTGCTTTTAAGGACCCATTATGACAACCTAAATAGTCCAGGATAATCTTTCTATTTTAAGATCAGCTGATTAGTAACCTTAATTACATATACCTACACAGCAGAATCTAGGTTAGCATTTAATTGAATAACTGCGCGATGGGAATCTTCAGAGGATGCGTTTAGAATTCTCCTTACCAGGTTGTCATTTACCTTATTTGACTGTATATGCCTCTTTAGCAAAGACTTAAACATTTAAGTGCCAGGTCTCTCTTTGGGGGATAAACATTCTCACGGTTGAGTGAGTAGACCCTAGAATCCAACTATTTGGATCAAATTTATTTCTGCACCACTTCTTGCTGGGTGACATAGGGCAAATTATTTAACCTGTGATTCAGTTTCTCCAACTATAAGTGGGAATAATAAAATCTATTTCAGAGGTGAAGATTTAATAGCACACAATAAGTTTTAGTCATTGGCATTGTTACCTTTAGCACCTAACACCATGTTTGGCATATAGAAAACAGTCAATAAGTAGTAGCCATAATTTTTATTATTGGGGCATACTGTAATTTCTGCAGTGGCACCCATGACCCTTCATCGTCCTTGTTTGTTGACATAGCCCTCTCCCTCTCCTAGACTGTAAATGTCCTGAATTTTGGTATTATCTAGTTTTACTTTTTGCTCCCATAACCTAGCAAAGAATCCAGCATGCTATAGGTGCAATAGGAACATTGGTTGAATACATAAATAAATGAATAAATTACTGCACCAATGAATTAAGTCTCTGACACCACCACATAGTCTTGCTGTTTAGAATGTATAGTCTCAATAGGTATGTACTTTTCCAACTTGGCTAGAGAGGTTGCGAGGTTTGCTGAAAGTCATGTAGATGGTATTTGTTTTCCTTATGGTATAATTATTATCTTTTCATGTATGCAGTTTAATGTCCCTAGTTAGATTTTAAAGGTCAAAAATATGGAGTAAAAACAAATAGCATTGTGTGTGGTCAGAAAGGTCAGAGATTAAGTCATTATTGAGTTCAAACTAACACCCTGAGAGGTGACACAATTATTTTAATGATTCTATCTTCACATTTGCAGTTGGGAACCGGCAGAAAGCTGAGAGATTTATAAATCAAAGAGGAATTGCCACTTTAAGCATCATTTGTTGACTCACTAGCAGGTCCACTTTATGTAAATTAAATTAGTAAAGAAACTCAAACAGGTGTTTCAGTAAAGCCATTCCACCTGGGTCATGGATCATGGCCTGTAATCATTTTCTTTAATTGAATACATTGTGTAACCAAACAGGCCGGGCACGGTGGCTCATGTCTGTAATCTCAGCACTTGGGAGGCCGAGGCAGGTGGATCACCTTAGGTTAGGAGTTCGAGACCAGCCTGGCCAACATGGCGAAACCCCCACCTCTACTAAAAATACAAAAATTAGCCAGGCGTGGTGATGGGCGCTACTTGGGAGGCTGAGGCAGGAGAATCGCTTGAACCTGAGAGGTGGAGGTTACAGTGAGCTGAGATCACGCTACTGCACTCCAGCCTGGGTGACAGAGTGAGACTCTGTCTCAAAAAAAAAAAAGTTGTCTAAGCCACATTATAGACAGTAATTACAGACCTCATATCACATCCCAGATCTGAGAAAAACAAAGTTATTAATTATTGAATTACAGTGGCGATAGGAGGCTTGAAATGTGGTAGAATCATTTTTCTAACCTTGATGAAATGGATTTTCTAGAAATCACCTTTGAGAACTGAGGATACTAACACCCTGCCTGAGTATTTGTGCATCTCACAGGTGGGAGGATACTGGGAGATATTATGCCAAATATATGGCCACCAAACATCCTGAAAGGCCACTTTCTCTGTCATGAAAGAACCTTGAAGATACACTAGGATGGTGCACTAAAAGGGATCCAGAACTCAAGTTTGGGCTTTCTCTACCAGACTGTGTAGCCAGCTCTTTTATTCGTGCATACCTCCCATCTCTCTGCATTCCTCAATGATTTCTACTTTTTAATACCTTACTCTTTTGGAGAATTAGTGTGATTATAGATCTCATAAAACTTGTTTTTGTACAGTTCTCTGTTTATCCATGCCTGATTGTCTCAACAGCATTTTACAATCTTAGGGCAGCTAAACTGTCCTTGACTATCCCTTCTTATTTGGGTTTATCTGACAAGGCCACTAGTCAGCAATGCTTAAAGCTGCTGGAGGCCAGGCACAGTGTCTCATGCTTGTAATCCTAGCACTTTGGGAGGCCGAGGCGGATGGATTGCCTGTGCTCAGGAGTTCGAGATCAGCCTGGGCAACACGACGAAACCCCGTCTGTACTAAAATAGAAAAGAAATTAGCTGGGTGTGGCAGAGTGCGACTATAGTCCCAGCTACTCCGGAGGCTGAGGCAGGAGAATTGCTTGAACCTGGGAGGCAGAGGTTGCAGTGAGCCGAGAATGCACCACTGCACTCCAGCCTGGGTGACAGAGCAAGACTCTGTCTCACAAGAAGAAAAAAAGCTGCTGGACTAGATTATTAATAGTGATTGGTCTTTGTAACAGTAGGATTTAGAAATAGTCATTGTTGCATTTTTCCTGATGCTAGAGTGACAAGCACTTCAGCAACATTATCAGTGTCAATGCTCTCCACCTCCACCGCTATCATCAACGATGACAAAAATGTGTATGTGGTCCACTTCTCCCAGATCCCTTGGGTACTTGGCATTTCTCTGTTTTCCTCAAAGGCATTCAGGAAAAAAAATGCTGAAAACTCTAGTCAACTGAATATGGTCTACAATCATTTTGTTTTCACTTGCACTATTTATCACAGGACTGGAATAGGTTTGGCCTCTGTTTACCTTTGTTTGGAAAAAATGGAAAAAATCATATCTGTAATATCTGTCATTTTTTATGATCTACACTTTTAAAGTTAAACTCACCTCATTTTCCTCCAGCCTCTTGAAGAAGAAAACCTGCATCCCTTTCTGAGATCACTTATGAATTTCTGGTCACTTGCTGTGGGTGGGGTCAGAACTACATCTCTGCCCCTGTTACCAAACATCTTTTATAATTACTCCTCTGCCTCAGTTCAGCAACTCTTCCCCCCTTCAGCTTTGAAGCTTTGATTGGGCTCCCTTAATGAACTTCCACTTTCAGATCTCCCCTGAAGGCTCTAGGCACCTGCCAGTCACTATGTAGTAGTGGCCTTGGTTGCCAACATATAATTTCTACTTAGATATTATGTCTTAGAGACATTTCTTCTGACCACTGTAGTTAAACCAGAACCCACTCCATCACCCTGTACTCTTATACTACTTTACCTTTTCTTGTTAGTAATTAATGCTTCATGCCATTTTTTTATTTGCTTATTATGTATTGTACCCACTGGAGTGGAAGCTCCACTCATGTGGATGTTCTCTGTTGCATTCTCCACTAGATGACCAATGCTTAGAAGAGAGTCAAGCACACAGTAGGTATTCAGGAAATATCTGTTGAGTGCAGAAATGAATTAGATTGCAGGCGAATCCCATCCCCAGCTCACTGATAATTGGTACTGATAATGTATTTTTCCTCTTTGCCCAACCCCAAATTCTATCAACACTGATGTCAATCTTGAAGTCCCTACAATCGTTTCTTAGTATCTTCTAAGCTTTTATGCTTTTCCAGAGTTTTTCTCAATTTTAAAATTGTTATCTTTTTTTCTCTTCTCTCTGCTAACTTTGAGGAAGAATTTGCAGAAGGTAAAGAAAAAGTAAGTAATAGGAAGGAAAGCTGGTAGACAAAGAAAATTTCCCCATGGGGAGATAGGATAATATACAACAAACAGTGTAGATTTTAGGG
The DNA here is from genome assembly GCF_000001405.40 of Homo sapiens. Lineage (NCBI taxonomy): Eukaryota > Metazoa > Chordata > Mammalia > Primates > Hominidae > Homo > Homo sapiens. The sequence goes on along the minus strand of NC_000023.11, from coordinate 56,530,229 downwards.
GCAGAGTCCTGAACTCAAGTCCTGGCTTGGGCAGGTCATTTCATAACTTTGTGACTCTGGTTAAGTTACTTAATTCCTCTGAACCTCATCCACAAATTCGGGTTAATAGTAGTATCTATCTCAAAGGGCTGTTGTGAGGATTAATTGACTTAATAAATCTAATAGCAATGTTAATTCTCCCATTTCTTATGTCTATCTTATCCCTCACTTGCCTTCCTTACCTTGATTTCCATGAGAAAAAACATCTCCAATGGTGGTATATAGAATATGTTTCTGCCCCTAAAGTTTCCCCATATCTCAATTCGGTTAAAACAAACCAAAAATCAAGTGAAAACCACACATGTATACTAGACTATCCAGACTGGAAAGAATTGAGCAGTATTTTCCCTCAGAAAAAGGTCTCACCTGCTGGTTAAAAATTACATACAAAGGTCACATTAGCAAACACTACAGCTCTTCCACACCTTTTTTTTTTTTTTTTTTTTTTGAGACAGAGTTTTGCTCTTGTTGCCCAGGCTGGAGTGCAATGGCGCAATCTAGGCTCACTGCAACCTCTGGCTCCTTGGTTAAAGTGATTTTCCTGCCTCAGCCTCCTGAGTAGCTGGGATTACAGGCATGCACCACCATGCCCAGCTAAATTTTTTGGTATTTTTAGTAGAGATGGGGTTTCACCATGTTGGCCAGGATGGTCTCAATTCTCAAGATCCACCCACCTCAGCCTCCCAAAGTGCTGGAGTTAGAGACCCACAACTTTTATAGCCTGCCTCTGGAAGAGAGATTTACAGAACTGATAACTAAAAAATATACATTCTACCTAAATGAGCCATCTTATGCAATTATTCTGAATGACAGTGCCTAATAATTATGAAATATTAACAGTAGCTACCATATTTTGAGCACATAGTATGTGCAGACCACTTGGATAAATATTTTATATATATATATCACCTCATGTAACCCTCACAACCCTTTGAAGTAGGTGCCTGTATTATTCCCATTTTACAATTGGAGAAACAAAGTCTGTCCATGCATAGATACTGGGAGATAGTGGGTGGTGGTAATAGTGGCTTTATCAGCTGCCCACTTCCATGATTTTGCCCAAGTCACTGTTATCCCATATTTCAAAGAATCTGGCCCATTTGACTTGGCCCTGACTTGGCCTTCTCATCTATCCTCACCAACTGGCATTTATTTTAGAAGCTGCTTCTCTGGAAAATTGGGTTTTGAATTTTTTGGGCTTTTGACTGCTCCATAGTTTTTCGCTGGCAAAACACAATGGCTTATCCTCCTCAAGGAGCCCAGATAAAAACCTCTGCTCCACTCCGCGGGTGTGTGGGTACCTCAGGTTCTCTCAGAGACAACAAGGTGGCCCAAGCTCTCCCTGACAGCACAGGGCAAGGTGTCTCATACGAAGAGGTCTTGCAATGCCAACCTGTCTCCACCTCTGCACCCCTTCTTTCCCAGAGAGCTTCAAGCCAAACCAACAGCTTTTTCATGTGAAACATCTTCAAGATGGAAAAGGATCCACTTTTAGTTTTGCTAGCAATAACTGACTTTCAGTTTACCCTTCTAAAGGAGTGAGAACTCAGCACAGAATTTACTGTAAATGGGGCCAAAAGAGTGTCCCTTCTCTATGTGAAGAGAAAATAATTTTATTCTTCATTCTGAATTTTTAACTGTTTGGTTCACTTCCAGCTAGTTTGAGTGAAAGTAATAATTTTAGTCAGAAAGGGAATGGACATCAACACTCATCATTGTGATGTATAATAGAGCTGCCTTCTGATTGTATATCATTGCTATCAAGTTTTCTCTGGGCTTCATGGAAATGCTCTTTTGTTGTGTTCTAATGATTCTCAGACTTAAGAAGCCAAGGTGATTATGTAGCCAGTCCACTAATAAGTATGGTAACACCCAGTTCAAATTTTATTTAAATTTTGTCCACAAAGGCAACTTAAGTGGCTGATCACAGTTGTATTACTTCATCCTAAATTAAGATTTAAAAAAATAATGCATGTTTAGTTTCTACTATTTAAAAACTGCAAACTAGGAAAAGGTTGATAATAAAAATCCCTTTCTTCTCCTCAACGTGCATAGTTCAACTCTTTTGTTACATTTAAACTATATCTATGAACATCAGTCTGTTTTGAGCTCCTCTGCTAATGTTAAAAATAAAAATAAAACCATTAATTTGAGTGTGTGTGCGTGTGCATGTGTGTGTAAGAATTCTACACCATGAACAAGTGGGATTTATTCCAGCTATGCACGATGGCTCAAAATTTGAAAATAATTCAACGTAATCCATTATATTAACAGGATAAAGAGGAAAAACTGATCATAGCTGACAACAAAAAACATTTGACAAAATCCGATACTCAGTCATAAGAAAAACTTTCAGTGGCCTAGGACTAGAAGAAAACATCTTTTTTGGTTTCAATCTTTTGTTTGTTTTACAAAGTTGCATTTTTAACTTATTTACATACTGATACTAAGGAATCTATTACTAATTAAAATATATAGATGAGTGCAGTTATGGGGATAGATAGATGATAGGTACACACATACACACACACGTGTGCACACACAAATATAGTAGTTAGGATGGGATAAAATCAGAGGAAAGATTTTATAGTAACTTTTTGCAAGGCTTTAATGGTTTTGAGCATGTACAGTCCATTTTGTTACACTGTGTTTTGTATGTTTTCCTCTTTTTTTCTCAAGTTTGTTTCACTAGGAAACTTCTTCTATCTCATAAAGAGCATCTGCAAAAATCCTACAGATAACACCTACATAATGGCGAAAGACAATGCTTTCCCTTTGAGATCAGGAAAAAACTACTATTTGACACAGCCAGTGAACTAAGGCAAGAAAAAGAAATAAAAGGCATACAGACTGGAAAGGAAGAAATATAATTGTCTCTATTTGCAAAAGATATGATTATTCAAGTAGAAAATCTCAATGGATATACAACAAACTTCCAGAACTAATAAGAGAATTCAGTAAGATCACAGGATACACCATTGACACACAAAAATCAATCACATTTATATACTAACAATGAACACGTGGAAACTGAAATAAAAAGCACAATATAATTTACTTTCACTCCAAAGACAATGAAATATTTAAGTATAAATCTAACAAAACATGCACAGGCTCTGTATGTTAAAAATTATAAAATGATGATGAAAGAAATCAAAGAAGACCTAAATAAATGGGGAGGTATATGTGCTTATTGATTTGAGCACTCAACATACTAAATATGTAAATTCTCCAAAAATTGATCTATAGGTTTAATGCAATTATATCAAAATCCCAGAAAATTCTTTTGTAGATATAAACGATCTTATTCTAAAATTATATGAAAAGGCATTAGCCCTGGAGTAGCTAAAACAATCTTTTTATATCCATGTTTATTATTTAAAAATCAGGAGATTATCAACCTATAATGGAAGGAAGAAATACCTATAATTCCACTACCCAGGATTCCTCACAACCCTATGGGATAGATACTATTAGTAGTCCGATCTCATAAACAAGGAAACTGACTAACAGAGTCATTAAGTAATTTGCCCATGGCTATAGGGACTAGTTAGTGGTGGCCTTGAAGCTAGTAGGTATGGGCATCTGACTCCAGTGCTAACACATTCCTGACTCTCAGTGAGTAATCTCTGGACAGCAATGGAAATTAGCATCTTTCTTCTGAGATCTCAGTTGTGTGGTACAGGAACTAAAAAAAGTATAAGGACAGACCTAGAACTAAGATGGAGAGCATGGCCTTCCTGTGAGTAAAAATAAAAGCCAATGTTTTAAAACAATCTTGAAAAAGAACATCTTTATTTCTGCCTTCATTTCGTTATGTACCCAGTAGTCATTCAGGAGCAGGTTGTTCAGTTTGCATGTAGTTGAGTGGTTTTGACTGAGTTTCTTAATCCTGAGTTCTAGTTTGATTGCACTGTGGTCTGAGAGACAGTTTGTTATAATTTCTGATCTTTTACATTTGCTGAGGAGAGCTTAACTTCCAACTACGTGGTCAATTTTGGAATAGGTGTGGTGTGGTGCTGAAAAAATGTACATTCTGTTGATTTGGGGTGGAGAGTTCTGTAGATGTCTATTAGGTCCGCTTGGTACAGAGCAGAGTTCAATTCCTGGGTATCCTGGTTAACTTTCTGTCTCATTGATCTGTCTGATGTTGACAGTGGGGTGTTAAAGTCTCCCATTATTATTGTGTGGGAGTCTAAGTCTCTTTGTAGGTCACTCAGGACTTGCTTTATGAACCTGGGTGCTCCTGTATTGTGTGCATATATATTTAGGATAGTTAGCTCTTCTTGTTGAATTGATCCTTTTACTATTATGTAATGGCCTTCTTTGTCTCTTTTGATCTTTGTTGGTTTAAAGTCTGTTTTATCAGTGACTAGGATTGCAACCCCTGCCTTTTTTTGTTTTCCATTTGCTTGGTAGATCTTCCTCCATCCCTTTATTTTGAGCCTATGTGTGTCTCTGCACGTGCGATGGGTTTCCTGAATACAGCACACTGATGGGTCTTGACTCTTTATCCAATTTGCCAGTCTGTGTCTTTTAATTGGAGCATTTACCCCATTTACATTTAAAGTTAATATTGTTATGTGTGAATTTGATCGTGTCATTATGATGTTAGCTGGTTATTTTGCTCGTTAGTTGATGCAGTTTCTTCCTAGCCTCAATGGTCTTTACAATTTGGCATGATTTTGCAGTGGCTGGTACCGGTTGTTCCTTTCCATGTTTAGTGCTTCCTTCAGGAGCTCTTTTAGGACAGGCCTGGTGGTGACAAAATCTCTCAGCATTTGCTTGTCTGTAAAGTATTTTATTTCTCCTTCACTTATGAAGCTTAGTTTGGCTAAGAAAATTTTCTTAAGAAAATTCTTTTCTTTAAGAATGTTGAATATTGGCCCCCACTCTCTTCTGGCTTGTAGAGTTTCTGCCGAGACATCAGCTGTTAGTCTGATGGGCTTCGCTTTGTGGGTAACCCAACCTTTCTCTCTGGCTGCCCTTAACATTTTTTCCTTCATTTCAACTTTGGTGAATCTGACAATTATGTGTCTTGGAGTTGCTCTTCTCGAGGAGTATCTTTGTGGCGTTCTCTGTATTTCCTGAATCTGAATGTTGGCCTGCCTTGCTAGATTGGGGAAGTTCTCCTGGATAATATCCTGCAGAGTGTTTTCCAACTTGGTTCCATTCTCCCCATCACTTTCAGGTACACCAATCAGATGTAGATTTGGTCTTTTCACATAGTCCCATATTTCTTGGAGGCTTTGTTCCTTTCTTTTTATTCTTTTTTCTCTAAACTTCCCTTCTCGCTTCATTTCATTCATTTCATCTTCCATCACTGATACCCTTTCTTCCAGTTGATTGCATCAGTTCCTGAGGCCTCTGCATTCTTCACGTTGTTCTCGAGCCTTGGCTTTCAGCTCCATCAACTCCTTTAAACACTTCTCTGTATTGGTTATTCTAGTTATACATTCGTCTAAACTTTATTCAAAGTTTTTAACTTCTTTGCCTTTGGTTTGAATTTCCTCCTGTAGCACAGAGGAGTTTGATCGTCTGAAGCCTTCTTCTCTCAACTCGTCAAAGTCATTCTCCATCTAGCTTTGTTCCGTTGCTGGTGTTCTTTGAAACCAATGAGAACAAAGACACAACATACCAGAATCTCTGGGACACATTCAAAGCATTGTGTAGAGGGAAATTTATAGCACTAAATGCCAACAAGGGAAAGCAGGAAAGATCCAAAATTGACACCCTAACATCACAATTAAAAGAACTAGAAAAGCAAGAGCAAACACATTCAAAAGCTAACAGAAGGCAAGAAATAACTAAAATCAGAGAAGAACTGAAGGAAATAGAGACACAAAAATCCCTTCAAAAAGTAATGAATCCAGGAGCTGGTTTTTTGAAAGGATCAACAAAATTGATAGACTGCTAGCAAGACTAATAAAGAAGAAAAGAGAGAAGAATCAAATAGACTCAATAAAAAAAGATAAAAGGCATATCACCACCGATCCCACAGAAATACAAACTACCATCAGAGAATACTACAAACACCTCTACGCAAATAAACTAGAAAATCTAGAAGAAATGGATAAATTCCTCGACACATACACCCTCCCAAGACGAAACCAGGAAGAAGTTGACTCTCTAAATAGACCAATAACAGCCTCTGAAATTGTGGCAATAATCAATAGCTTACCAACCAAAAAGAGTCCAGGACCAGATGGATTCACAGCCCGATTCTACCAGAGGTACAAGGAGGAGCTAGTAACATTCCTTCTGAAACTATTCCAATCAATAGAAAAAGAGGGAATCCTCCCTAACTCATTTTATGAAGCCAGCATCATCCTGATACCAAAGCTGGGCAGAACCACAACCAAAAAAGAGAATTTTAGACCAATATCCTTGATGAACATTGATGCAGAAATCTTCAATAAAATACTGGCAAACCAAATCCAGCAGCACATCAAAAAGCTTATCCAACATGATCAAGTGGGCTTCATCCCTGGGATGAAAGGCTGGTTCAATATATGCAAGTCAATAAATGTAATCCAGCATATAAGCAGAACCAAAGACAGAAACCACATGATTATCTCAATAGATGCAGAAAACGCCTTTGACAAAATTCAACAACACTTCATGTTAAAAACTCTCAATAAATTAGGTATTGATGGGACATATCTCAAAATAATAAGAGCTATCTATGACAAACCCACAGCCAATATCATACTGAATGGGCAAAAACTGGAAGCATTCCCTTTGAAAACTGGCACAAGACAGGGATGCCCTCTCTCACCACTCCTATTCAACATAGTGTTGGAAGTCCTGGCCAGGGCAATTAGGCAGGAGATGGAAATAAAGGGCATTCAGTTAGGAAAAGAGGAAGTCAAATTGTCCCTGTTTGCAGACGACATGATTGTATATCCAGAAAACCCCATTGTCTCAGCCCAAAATCTCCTTAAGCTGATAAGCAACTTCAGCAAAGTCTCAGGATACAAAATCAATGTATACAAATTACAAGCATTCTTATACACCAATAACAGACAAACAGAGAGCCAAATCCTGAGTGAACTCCCATTCACAATTGCTTCAAAGAGAATAAAATACCTAGGAATCCACCTTACAAGGGACATGAAGGACCTCTTCACGGAGAACTACAAACCACTGCTGAATGAAATAAAGGAGGATACAAACAAATGGAAGAACATTCCATGCTCATGGGTAGGAAGAATCAATATCGTGAAAATGGCCGTACTGCCCCAGGTAATTTACAGATTCAATGCCATCCCCATCAAGCTACCAATGACTTTCTAGACAGAATTGGAAAAAACTACCTTAAAGTTCATATGGAACCAAAAAAGAGCCCGCATTGCCAAGTCAACCCTAACCCAAAAGAACAAAGTTGGAGGCATCATGCAACCTGACTTCAAACTATACTACAAGGATACAGTAACGAAAACAGCATGGTACTGGTACTAAAACAGAGATATAGATCAATGGAACAGAACAGAGCCCTCAGAAATAATGCCGCATATCTACAACTATCTGATCTTTGACAAACCTGAGAAAAATAAGCAATGGGGAAGGATTCCCTATTTAATAAATGGTGCTGGGAAAACTGGCTAGCCATATGTAGAAAACTGAAACTGGATCCCTTCCTTACACCTTATACAAAAATTAATTCAAGATGGATTAAAGACTTAAACGTTAGACCTAAAACCATAAAAACCCCAGAGGAATACCTAGGCATTACCATTCAGGACATAGGCATGGGCAAGGACTTCACGTCTGAAACACCAAAAGCAATGGCAACAAAAGCAAAAATTGACAAATGGGATCTAATTAAACTAAAGAGCTTCTGCACAGCAAAAGAAACTATCATCAGAGTGAACAGGCAACCTACAAAATGGGAGAAAATTTTCGCAACCTACTCATCCGACAAAGGGCTAATATCCAGAATCTACAATGAACTCAAACTAATTTACAAGAAAAAAACAAACAACCCCATCAAAAAGTGGGCGAAGGACATGAACAGACACTTCTGAAAAGAAGACATTTATGCAGCCAAAAAACACATGAAAAAATGCTCACCATCACTGGCCATCAGAGAAATGCAAATCAAAACCACAATGAGATACCATCTCACACCAGTTAGAATGGCAATCATTAAAAAGTCAGGAAACAACAGGTTCTGGAGAGGATGTGGAGAAATGGGAACACTTTTACACTGTTGGTGGGACTGTAAACTAGTTCAACCATTGTGGAAGTCAGTGTGGCGATTCCTCAGGGATCTAGAACTAGAAATACCATTTGACCCAGCCATCCCATTACTGGGTATATACCCAAAGGACTATAAATCATGCTGCTATAAAGACACTTGCACACGTATGTTTATTGTGGCACTATTCACAATAGCAATGACTTGGAACCAACCCAAATGTCCAACAATGATAGACTGGATTAAGAAAATGTGGCACCTATACACCATGGAATACTATGCAGCCATAAAAAATGATGAGTTCATGTCCTTTGTAGGGACATGGATGAAATTGGAAATCATCATTCTCAGTAAACTATCACAAGGACAAAAAACCAAACACCGCATGTTCTCACTCATAGGTGGGAATTGAACAATGAGAACACATGGACAAAGAAAGGAGAACATCACACTCTGGGGACTGTTGTGGGGTGGGGGGAGGAGGGAGGGATAGCATTAGGAGATATACCTAATGCTAAAGGACGAGTTAATGGGTGCAGCACACCAGCATGACCCATGTATACATATGTAACTAACCTGCACATTGTGCACATGTACCCTAAAACTTAAAGTGCAATAATAATAATAATAATAAAAGATTGTGAAAAAGAATAAAGTGTTAGGAATCACTCTACTGTCTGTTAAAGCCTATTATACAGTTGCAGCAGTCCAGACAGGGTAATATTGGTGGAGGGGTAGACATACAGATCGCTGGAGCCAACTAGACGACCCGAAAATAGTCACACAAGTGAGATAAAGGTATTTTTGACAAATGGATACAGAGACTAGAGGACCCAGAAATAATCTCACAGAGGTGAGACAAAGGTATTTTTGACAAAGTTATAAAAGCAATTTTATGGAGGAAATTTTTGACGAACAGAGCTAGAGCAATGGAACAGTCATAGCCAAAAAAAAAAAAAAACCAAAAAACAAAAAAAAAACCCACATAAACAAACAAAAAACTCAACATAAACCTTATACCTTATATAAAAATTAACTCAGAATAGATCTGAAACTTAAATGTAAAACATGAAGCTATAAAACCTTTAGGAAAAAACATAGTAGAACATTTTGGGCACTTAGAAATATGTGAAGAGTTCTTAGAGTTGACATTATAAGTACAACTTATGAGAGGAAAAATTGATATTTTGAACCTCACCAAATTAAAAAATTTTGTTCTGCATAAAAACCTGTGAAAAATATAAAATGTCAAGGAGAAAATATTTGCAAACTACGTATCCAGCAAAGGTCACGTCAATAGAATATATAAAGGATTCCCAAAATTCAGTATTATAAAAATAAACTATCCAATTATGTAATGGGCAAAAAACATAATCAGATATCTCATTGAAGAGGAAGCAGAGATGGAAAATAAACACATAAAATTATTTAACCTTATTATCTGTATTAATCAGGGTTCTACAGAGAAACAGAAACAATAGGATGTACATATGTAGAGAGAGAGAAATAAAGGTTTATTTTAAGAAATTGGCTCATTTGATTGTGGAGGCTGTCAAGTCTAAAATCTTCAGGGTAGATCAGTAGACTGGAGTCCTAAGAAACAACTGATGTTGCAGTTTTAAATCTGAAGGCAGCCTGCTGACAGAATTCCCTCTTCTTTGGGGGAGGTCAGTCTACCTTAAAGCCTTCATCTGATTGGATTAAGCCCATACACGTTATGACACATTTTGGATGGTAATCTGCATTACTCAAAGTCTACTAATTTAAATGTGAATCTCATCTAAAAAAACAGCTTCACAATAACATCCAGACATGTTTGATTGAATATTTGTATATACTATGACCTAGCCAAGTTGACACATAAACTTAACCAATCGTGTTAGCCATTAAGGAAATGCAAATTAGACTCAAAATGAGATATCACTACACATCTTTTACAAGGCTAAATTTTTTTAAAAAATTATATATTACACTAAATGCTGGCAAAAATGGACAGAATCTGGAGAATTTCTACATTGCTGGTGTGAATGAAAATTGACAAACTCACTCTTGCAAAGAGTATAACGGTTATTACAAAATCACACATGCACAGTTTATATAATCCAGTGATTGCACAGTTGTGCATTTATGCCAGATGAATAAAAGCTTATGCTTACACAGTAACTTGTGCATGAGTATTCATAGCAGCTTTGTTCATAATAGCCAGTGACTAAAAACAACCAGATGTTCTTCAGTGAGTTCCTTTTTAAACTGTGTACATTTATACCATGAAATACTACTCAACAATAAAAAATAATTAATTATTGATAGATGCAACACTTGAACAAATCTCCAGAGAATTACGTTAAGTAAAAGAAGCCAATCTCAAAAGGTCACATACTGTGTTATATGAATCCATTTATAAAGCATTCTTTAAATGGCAATATTATAAAAAATGGAGAACAGATTAGTGGTTGCCAGTAATTAGGGACAGGGCAGGAGGGAATGAGTTAAGGATAGTATGAGGAACCTTTGTGGTGATAGTACTTTTCTGTATCTTGGCTGTAGTGATAGCCACATGAATGTACCATGATAAAAATTGTACAGAATTAACACACACACGCACACGCACACACACACACACACACACGAGTCTAAGTTAAACTGGTAAAGTGGAATAAGATTGGTGGATTGTGTGAGTGCCAATTTCATGGTTGTAGTATTGTACTATAGCTATGCAATATGACACCATTGGGTAAAGGGTATATGGGTTATCCTGGTATTATTTCTTACAACTATCAATGAATTTATAATTATTTCAAAGTAAAAGTTTAAAAAAACCCACGGATCACTATTTCCCACTCCCAAAGTTTCAGATTCAGTAGATCTAGCATAGGTTTTAAGGATTTTCATTTTGAAAATGCTTCCAATTGCTGCTGCTGCTGCTGCTGCTGGTGGTTGGGGAGAAGTCTTTGAAAAGTACTTTATTATTTATTCCTTCACGTCCTTCAAGGCCTCCTCATCTATCACAAGGGACCTGATTAGTCCAGTGCTCTTTGGTCAATAAATCCTGTGAACTTGACTATTGAAGAAACACCTAATATGTGTCAGGCAAAGGAATAGGCACTTTACAAATATTATATTATTTAATCCTAAAAATCATCTCTATGAAACAAGTATTATGTACATTTTATACATGAAAGTATAGCTTCAGAGTGCTTATAGAGCTTTACTGTAGTCACACAGTTAAATGAACAAGTCAAAATTCAAAATCCACCAAAAGATCCATGATATTTCAATTACACCACAGCTCCCTTTGGGAAGAAACACATGTTTTTTGAGAAGATATATAATCCTTATAGCCTATGGCTTGAGTGTCTCCTGCATGCCAGGAATTTTACAAATATTGACCTGTCTAATCTTCCCAATAATCCTGAATAATGGATGGGATTTTCAGTATTTTACACATGAGGGCACAGAGGCTTAGAAAGGTTAGGTACATTATCTGATTCTCCCAACTAGGATTTAACCTCTAAAAGGTCAGATAATCTGTTGGTCTTGCTAATTGTTGTATCTCCAAAACCTAGCATAGTACATAACATATAATAAGTGATCGTTAAAGGTTTGTGAAAGAATGAATGACTCCAAAGCATGTGTTCTTAGCCACTATTCTACGTTGTTCCATACCACTTAACAACTATATTATGCTTTGTGTTTTTGTTTCTTTCAGGTATGTGTATCTTGTCTCTCCTGTAAGATTTTTAGACCTCTAAGGGTAAGGTCAGTTTTTATATTTTTTATTCCTCATACAGTGTTGTATATACAGTAAGTGCCCAAGAAAGGTCTATTTATTAATTATTCTTTATTGCCAAATTAGTATTGACACAGAGATAAAAATTAGTTTAATCACAGAGACTATACTCTTTTCTGTCAAACCACCTTATATAAACCTAAAGAATATTTGCAGAGAAAACAGATCATCTAAAAATAATCAAAAGCTCCATGGGATGTTATTACTCAACACTTTTTGATCCAAGAATCAAAGAGATGCTTCTGAAAACTTTCTTTTTTTTAAAAAAAAAAGGACCATACTTAAATTCCAAGTAGATAGAAATTTTTCAATCCACAAGCTCAGGATGCAATAGCATCACAAAGATAAAATATTAAAACATAAATTTCCATAAGCCAGCTCCCACCTGCAGAATTTTAAGAATCCCTTCCCCACCCATAACTCTCATTTTGACAACCTTAATAAGGTGCCAAGGAAGGTCAATTCCAGTACCAAGTTAATTTGGTTTAATGTTATATTTGTACCATGTAAGTTCATTGGTTAATAGAAATGAAACTACATCCAGAGTGGCAAGACCCATGATTTCAAATGCAGTAGCTGATTAAAGATCTTTATCCTACCCTATTTCTTTCTAACTATATTCAAACATGCCTACTGCTAGTACTTTCCTTTTCATGTACAGTTCTGGTATGGTCTGTAGGTTCCCCCATCTCAACCCAGATACTGAATTTTAAAAAATTCATTAATCATTATGGGTACATAATAAATGTATATATTTATAGGGTATGTGTGATGTTTTGATGCAGGCACACAATGTGTAATGATCACCTCAGGATTGCTTTTGGTATCCTTCACAAGTACTTATTCTTTCTTGGAGTTAGAAATATTCAAATTTTACTATTGTAGCTATTTAAAAATATACAATAAATTATTGTTAATGATAGTCATCCTATTGTAATACTGTATACTGGATCTTATTCATTCTATCTAACTGAATTTTGGACACATTAATTATCCCCACTTTATCTTTCCCTCCCTGCTACCTTTCCTTAACTCTGGTAACCATCATTCTACTCTATCTCCATGAGTTCGATTGTTTTAGCTCTCACATATTAGTGAGAACATGCAATATTTGTCTTTCTGTGCCTGGCTTATTTCACTTAGCATAATGTCCTCCAGCTACATCCATGCTGTTATAGATGACAGGATTTCATTACTTTTTATGGCTGAATAACGTTACAGTGTTTATACATATCACATTAATCTTTGTTCATCTTTGTAGACATTTAGGTTGATTCTATATGTTGGCTATCAAGAATAGTGGCTGTGATAAACATGGGTGTTCAGATATCTTTTCAATATACTGCTTTTCTTTCTTTTGGATATATACTCAGGAGTGGGATTGCTGGATCATATGGTAGTTGTATTTTTAGTTTTGCAAGGAACCTCCATACCATTATCCCTAGTGGCTCTTATACATTCCCACAGTGTATAAGAGCTCTCCTTTTTCTGTATCCTTGTCAACATTTGTTATTATCATTTTAACTGAAATGCGATGATATTGTAGTTTTGATTTGCATTTCTCAAATGTTTAGTGATGTTAACATTTTTTCATATACATGTTGGCCATTTGTATGTCTTGTTTTGAAAAATGTCTATTCAGATCTTTTGCCCATCTTTTAGTCAAACTGATTTTTCCCTGTTGAATTTTTTTGAGCTTTTTGTTTATTCTGATTATTAATTTCTGGTCAGATGGGTAGTTTGCAAATACTTTCTTTTATTCTGTGGTTTGTCTCTTCACTTTGATGATTGTTTTCTTTGCTGTGCAGAAGATTTTTAACTTGGTATGATCCCATTTGTCTAGTTTTGCTTTGGTTGCCTGTCTTTTTGAAGTCTTGCTTAAAAAATATTTTCCCAGACCAATGTGCTGGAATGTTTCTCCAGTGTTTTCTTTTAGTAGTTTCATAATTTCAGGTCTTGGAGTTAAATCTTTAATCCACTTTGTTTTGAATTTTGTATATGGCAAGAAATAGAGGTGTAATTTTATTCTTCTGCATATAGATATCCAGTTTTACCATAAATATTTATTGAAGATTGTGTGATTCCCCCAGTGTATGTTCTTGAAACATTTGTTGGAAATTAGCTGACTGTAAATACATAAATTTATTTCTGGGTTCTCTATTTTGTTCCATTTGTCTGTTTCTGTTTTTATACCAGCATCATGCTATTTTGGTTACTATAGTTTTTAGTATAATTTGAAGTCAAGTGATGTGACGCCTCCAGCTTCTTTGTTTTTCTCAGGATGGCTTTGGCTATTTTGGGCCTTTTATGGTTCCAAATAAATTTTAGGACTGTTTTCTATTTAAGAATGTGATAAGTATTTTTATAGAGATTGTACTGCATCTGTAGATTGCTTTGAGTAGTACAGACATTTTAATATTTATTCTTCCAATCCATGAACATGGAGTATCTTTCCACTTTTTTTGTTTCCTCTTCAATTTCTTTCATCAGTGTTTTATAGTTTTCATTATAGAGACCTTTCACTTCTTTGGTTAAGTTTATTCCCAGGTATTTTATTTTATTGGTAGTTTCTGTCAGCGTTGTTACACACAACAAGATCCCTCTTCTTTTTTTTTCTGATTGTTTGCTGTTGGCATATAGAAATGCTACTGATTTTGGTATGTTACTCTTGTATTTAATTCTTTAATAAATTTGTTGTTAGTTCTAACAGTATTTTGGCGGAGTTGCTCTTAACTCTAATATTTGCTTCATATGTCTGGGCGCTCTGGTGTTGGGTCCATATACATTTACAATTCTTATACTCTGTTTCTGAATTGACCCCTTAATTGTTATATAATTACCTTCTTTGTCTCTTTTTATAGTTTTTTTCTCAAAATCTATTTTATTTGATAAAAGTATAGCTACTCCTGCTCCTTTTTGGTTTTCATTTGAGTGAAATATCTTTTCACACTTTTTCAATTTTCAGTCTCTATGTGTCTTTATAGATGAAGTGAGTTTTTTTTTTAAGAAAACATATAGTTGGGCCTTGTCTTTTTATCTATTTAGCCATGCTAAGTCTTTTGATTGGAGAGCTTACTCCCTTTCCATTTAATGTTATTATTGATAGAAACCAACTTACTATTGCCATTTTGTTATTATTTTTTCTGGTTCCTTTGTTGGTTCTCTCTTTTTTCCTTTTCATTTTTCTTCCTTTGCAATGTTCTCTGGTAATAAGTTTTTAATTTCTTGCTTTTTATGTGTTTTAACATTTTCTAATTTTAATTTTTGTGGGTAAATAGGTGTATACAGTTATGGATTACATGCGATATTTTGATAAAGGCATGCAATGCATATTAATTACATCAAGGCAAATGGGGAATGCATCACCTAAAGCCTTTATCCTATGTATTACAAGAAATCCAATTATACTCTTTTAATTATTTTAAAGTGTACAATTAAATTATTTATGACTATCATCACCCTGTTGTGCTAGCAAATAACAGCTCTCAGTTTTCCTTTCTACTACTTTTTGGTAATACATAACCATCCCCAAATTTCCCCCATACCTCACGACCCTTCTCAGCCTCTGGTAACCATCTTTCTACAATCTATCTCCAGGAGTTTAATTGTCTTAATTTTTAGTTCCCACAAATAAGTGAGAACGTGCAAAGTTTGTCCTTCTGTGACTGGCTTATCTCACTTAACATAATGAACTCCAGTTCTATCCATGTTGTTGCACACAACAAGATCTCATTCTTTTTAAGGCTGAATAATACTCGATTGTGCATATGTACCATATTTTCTTTATCCATTCATCTGGTGATAAACATTTAGGTTGCTTCCAAATATTGTCTGTTGTGAATATATATATTTGCAGCCCCACAATCTATTTTATTATATAGGTTATTGAGGAACAGGTGATATTTGGTTACATGAGTAAGTCCTTAAGTGGTATTTTGTGAGATTTTGGTGCACCCATCACCTGAGCAGTATACACTGCACCATATTTGTAGTCTTTTATCCCTTACACCCTTCCCACCCTTTCATCCCGAGTCCCCAAAGTTCATTGTATCATTTTTTTATATTTTAAAATATTTTAATTAAAATAATTTTTTATTATACTTTACATTCTGGGGTACATGTGCAGAAAGTGCAGTTTTGTTAAATAGGTATACATGTGCCATGGTGGTTTGCTGCACCCAGCAATCCGTCACCTACATTAGATACTTCTGCTAATGCTATCCCTCCCCTAGCCACCCAACCCCCGACAGGCCCAGGTGTGTGATGTTCCCCACCCTGTGTCCATGTGTTCTCATTGTTCAACTCCCACTTATGAGTGAGAACATGTGGTGTTTGATTGTCTGTTCTTGTGGTAGTTTGCTGAGAATGACGATTTCCAGCTTCATCCATTTCCCTGCAATGGACAGAAACACATCTTTTTTTATAGCTGCATAGTATTCCATGGTGTATATGTACCATATTTTCTTAATCCAGTCTATCATTGATGGACATTTGGGTTAGTTTCAAGTCTTTGCTATTGTGAATAGTGCTGCAATAAACATATGTGCGCATGTGTCTTTATAGTAGAATGATTTATAATACTTTGGGTATATACCAAATAATGGGATTGCTGAGACAAATTGTATTTCTAGTTCTAGATCCTTGAGGAATCACCACACTATCTACCACAATGGATGAAATAATTTACACTCCCACCAACAGTGTAAAAGTGTTCCTATTTCTCCACAGCCTCTCCAGCATCTGTTGTTTCCTCACTTTTTAATGATCATCATTCTTACTGGCTGGAGATGATATCTCATTATGGTTTTGATTTGCATTTCTCTAATGACCAGTGATGATGAGCATTTTTTGATGTTTGTTGGCTGCATAAATGTCTTCTTTTGAGAAGTGTCTGTTCATATCTTTTGCCCACCTTTTGATGAAGTTGTTTGTTTTTTTCTTATAAATTGGTTTAAGTTCTTTGTAGATTCTGGATATTAGCCCTTTGTCAGATGGATAGATTGCAAAAATTTTCTCCCATTCTGTAGGTTGCTGTTCACTCTGATGATAGTTTGTTTTGCTGTGCAGAAGCTCTTTAGTTTAATTAGATCCCACTTGTCAATTTTGGCTTTTGTTGCCATTGTTTTTGGTGTTTTAGACATGAAGTCCTTGCCCATGCCTATGCCCTGAATGGTATTGCTTAGGTTTTCTTCTAGGATTTTTATGGTTTTAGGTTTTACTTTTAAGTCTTGAATCCATCTTGAATTAATTTTTGTACAAGGTGTAAGGAAGGGATCTAGTTTCAGTTTTCTGTATATGGTTAGCCAGTTTTCCCAACACCATTTATTAAATAAGGAATCATTTCCCCATTTCTTGTTTTTGTCATGTTTGTCAAAGATCAGATGGTTGTAGATGTGCGGTGTTATTTCTGTGGCCTGTGTTCTGTTCCATTGGTCTATATATCTGTTTTGGTACCAGTGCCATGCTGTTTTGGTTACTGTAGACTTGTAGTACAGTTTGAAGTCAGGTAGTGTGATGCCTCCAGCTTTGTTCTTTTTGTTTAGGATTGTCTTAGCTATGTAGGGTCTTTTTTGGTTCCACATGAAGTTTAAAGTAGTTTTTTCCAATTCTGTGAAGAACGTCAATGGTACCTTGATGGGCATAGCATTGAATCTATAAAGTATTTTGGGGAGTATGGCCATTTTCATGATATTGATTCTTCCTATCCATGAGCATGGAATGTTTTTCCATTTGTTTGTGTCACTTCTTATTTCTTTGAGTAGTTGTTTTTAGTTCTCCTTGAAGAAGTCCTTTACATCCCATGTAAGTTGTATTCTTAGGTATTTTATTCTTTTAGTAGCAATTGTGAATGGGAGTTCACTCATGATTTTGTTCTCTGTTTGTCTGTTATTGGTGTATAGGAATGCTTGTGATTTTTGCACATTGATTTTGTATCCAGAGACTTTGCTGAAGTTGCTTATCAGCTTAGCGAGATTTTGGGCTGAGATGATGGGGTTTTCTAAATACACAATAATGTCATCTGCAAACAGGGACAATTTGACGTCCTCTCTTCCTATTTAAATACTCTTTATTTCTTTCTCTTGTCTGATTGCACTGGCCACAACTTCCAATACTGTGTTTAGTAGGAGTGGTGAGAGATGGCATTCTTATCTTGTGCCGGTTTTTAAAGGGAATGCTTCCAGTTTTTGCCCATTCGGTATGATATTGGCTGTGGGTTTGTCATAAATAGCTCTTGTTATTTTGAGATACATTCCTAGTTTATTGAGAGTTTTTAGCATGAAGTGGTGTTGAATTTTGTCTAAGGACTTTTTTGCATCTATTGAGATAATCATGTGGATTTTTAATTGGTTCTGTTTATGTGATGGATTACGTTTATTGATTTGTGTATGTTGAACCAACCTTGCATCCCAGGTATGAAGTCAACTTTGTCGTGGTGGATAAGCTTTTTGATGTGCTGCTGGATTTGTTTTGCCAGTATTTTATTGAGGATTTTTGCATCAATGTTCATCAGAAATACTGGCCTGAAATTTTCTTTTTTGTTGTTGGGTTTCTGCCAGATTTTGGGGTCAGGATGATGCTGGCCTCATAAAATGAATTAGGGAGGCTTCCTTCTTTTTCTATTGTTTGGAATAGTTTCAGAGGGAATGGCACCAACTCCTTTTGTACCTCTGATAGAATTCGGATGTGAATCCATCTGGTCCTGGGCTTTTTTTTTTTTGGTTGGTAGGCTATTAATTACTGCCTCAGTTTCAGAACTTGTTATTATTCTATTCAGGGATTCAACTTCTTCCTGGTTTAGTCTTCGGAGGGTGTATGTGTCCAGGAATTTATCCATCCTTTCTAGATTTTCTAGTTTATTTGCATAGAGGTGTTTATAGTATTTTCTGATGGTAGTTTGTATTTCTGTTTGATCAGTGGTGATATCCCCTATATCATGTTTTATTGCAACTATTTGATTCTTCTCTCTTTTCTTCTTTATTAGCCGAGCTAGCAGTCTATTTTGTTGATCTTTTCAAAAAACAAGCTCCTGGATTTATTGATTTTTTGAAGCATTTTTCGTGTCTCTATCTCCTTTAGTTCAGCTCTGATCTTAGTTATTTCCTGTCTTCTGCTGGCTTTTGAATTTGTTTGCTGTTGCTTCTCTAGTTCTTTAAATTTTGAGGTTAGGGTGTCAATTTTAGATCTTTCCTCCTTTCTCCTGTGGGCATTTAGTGCTATACATTTCCCTCTACACAGTGCTTTAAATGTGTCCCAGAGATTCTGGTACGTTGTGTTTTCATTCTCATTGATTTCAGAGAACACCTTTATTTGTGACTTCGTTTCATTATTTATGCAGTAGTCATTCAGGAGCAGGTTGTTCAGTTTCCATGTATTTGTGTGGTTTTGGGTGGGTTTCTTAATCCTGAGTTCTAATTTGATTGCACTGTGGTCTGAGAGACTGTTATGATTTCCGTTTTTTGCATTTGCTGAGGAGTGTTTTACTTCCAATTATGTGGCAAATTTTAGAATAAGTGAGATGAGGTGCTGAGAAGAATGTATATCCTGTTCATTTGGGGTGAAGAGTTCTGTAGATGTCTATTAAGTCTGCTTGGTCCAGACCTGAGGTAAAGTCCTGAATATCCTTGTTAAGTTTCTATCCCATTGATATGTCTAATATCGACGGTGGGGTGTTAATGTCTCCCATTATTATTGTGTGGGAGTCTAAGGCTCTTTGCAGGTCTCTAAGGACTTGCTTTATGAATTTGGGTGCTCCTGTATTGGGTGCATATAATATTTAGGATAGTGCTTCTTATTGCATTGATCCCTTTACCATTATGTATTGCCCTTCATTGTCTCTTTTGATCTTTGTTGGTTTAAAGTCTTTTTTATCAGAGATTAGGATTGCAACTCCTGATTTTTTTTTGCTTTCCATTTGCTTGGTAAATATTCCTCCATTTCTTTTTTTGAGCCTATGTGTGTCTTTGCATGTGAGATGGGTCTCATGAATATAGCACACCAAGAGGCCTTGACTCTATCCAATGTGCCAGTCTGTGTCTTAACTGGGACATTTCACCTGTTCACATTTAAGGTTAATATTGTTATGTGTGAATTTGATCCTGTCATTATGATGCTAGCTGGTTATTTTGTCCATTAGCTGATGCAGTTTCTTCATAGTGTCGATGGTCTTTACAATTTGGTATGTTTTTGCAGTTGCTGGTACCGGTTTTTCCTTTCCATGTTTAGTGCTTCCTTCAGGTACTCTTGTAAGGCAGGCCTGGTGGTGACAAAATCTCTCAGCATTTGCTTGTCTGTAAAGGATTTTATTTGTCCTTCACTTATGAAGGTTAGTTTGGCTGGATATGAAATTCTGGGTGGAAAATTCTTTTTTTTTTATTATACTTTAAGTTTTAGGGTACATGTGCACCTGCACCTTGAAGAATGTTGAATATTGGCCTTCACTCTCTTCTGGCATATAGGGTTTCTGCCGAGAGATCTGCTGTTAGTATGATTGGCTTCCCTTTGTGGGTAACCCGACCTTTCTCTCTGGCTGCCCTTAACATTTTTCCCTTCATTTCATCCTTGGTGAATCTGTTGATTATGTATCTTTGGGTTGCTCTTCTCGAAGTGTATCTTTGTGGTGTTCTCTGTATTTTCTGAATTTGAATGTTGGCCTGCTTTGCTAGGTTGGGGAAGTTCTCTTGGATAATATCCTGAAGAGTGTTTTCCAACTGAGTTCCATTGTCCCCGTTACTTTCAGGTACACTAATCAAACATAGATTTGGTCTTTTCACATAGTCCCATATTTCTTGGAGGCTCTGTTCCTTTTAATTTTTTTCTCTCTAATCTTGTCTTCTCACTTGATTTCATTAAGTTGATCTTTCATCTCTGATATCCTTTCTTTTGCTTGATCCATTAGGCTATTGATACTTGTGTATGCTTCATGAAGTTCTCATGCTGTGTTTTTCAGCTTCATCAGGTCATTTATGTTCTTCTCTAAACTGGTCATTCTAGATAGCAATTCATCTAACCTTTTTTCAAGGTTCTTAGCTTCCTTGCATTGGGTTAGAACATGCTCCTTTAGCTTGGAGGAGTTTGTTATTACCCACCTTCTGAAGCCTACTTCTGTCAATTCGTCAAACTCATTCCCTGTGCAGTTTTGTTCCCTTTCTGGCGAGGAGTTGTGATCCTTTGGAGAAGAGTCATTCTGGTTTTGGGAATTTTCAGAATTTTTGCACTTGTTTCTTCCCATTTTTGTGGATTTATCTACCTTTGTTCTTTGATGTCTGTGACCTTCGGATGCGGTCTTTGAGTGGATGTGCTATTGCTTTCTGTTTGTTAGTTTTCCTTCTAACAGTCAAGTCCCTCTGCTGCAGGTCTGCTGCAGTCTGCTAGAGGTCCACTCCAGACCTTTTTTGCCTGGGTATCACTAGAGGAGGCTGCAGAATAGCAAAGAGCTGCCTGTTTTTTCCTCTGGAAGTTTCTTCCCAGCAGGGCACCTGCCAGATGCCAGCTGGAGCTCTCCTATATGAGGTGTCTGTCAGCCCCTACTGGGAGGTGTCTCACAGTCAGGATACATGGGGGTCAGGGACCCACTTGAGGAGGCAGTCTGACCCTTAGCAGAGCTCCATCGCTGTGCTGGGAGGTCCGCTGCTCCCTTCAGAGCCATCAGGCAGGGACTTTTAAGTCTGCTGAAGCTGTGCCCACAGCCGCCCCTTCCCCCAAGTGCTCTCTCCCAGGGAGATAGCGGTTTTATCTATAAATCCTTGACTGGGGCTGCTGCCTTTTTTTCAGAGATGCCCTGCCCAGAGAGGAGAAATCTGGCAGTCTGACCACAGCAGCCTTGCTGAGCTGCAGTGAGCTCTGCCCAGTTCGAACTTCCAGGAGGCTTTGTTTACATCATAAGGGTAAAAGTGCCTACTCAAGCCGCAGCAATGGCGGATGCTCCTCCCCCAGCCGAGCTTGAGCATCCCAGGTCCATTTCAGGCTGCTGCTGTGTTGGCAGCGATAATTTCATGCCAGTGGATCTTAGTTTGCTGGGCTCCGTGGGGGTGGGACCCGCCGAGCCAGACCACTTCAACTTTTCCTCATTCAGTATTTTGTTGGCTGTGGGCTTGTCATAGATGGCTTTTATTACATTGAGGTACATCTCTTGTATGTCAATATTGCTGAGAGTTTTAATCATAGACAGATGCTGGGTTTTGTCAAATGCTTTTTCTGCATCTATTGAGATAATTATGTGATTTTTGCTTTTAATTCTGTTTATGTGGTGTATCACATTTATTGACTCGCATATCTTAAAACATCCCTGCGTCCCTGGTATGAAAACCACTTCATCATGGTGGATTATTTTTTGATACGTTGTTGGATTCGGTTAGCTAGTATTTTGCTAAAGATTTTAGCATGTATGTTCGTCAGGGATATTGGTCTGTAGTTTCTTCTTTTGGTTATGTCCTTTCCTGGTTTTGGGATTAGGGTGATGCTGACTTCATGTAATGAATTAGAGTGGGTTCCTTTTTGTCTCTACCTTGTGGAATAGTGTGAAAAGTATTTGTACCAACTTTTCTTTGAATGAACTGGTAAAATTCTTCTGTAAATTTGTCTGGTCTTGGACATTTTTTGTTGGTAATTTTTAAATTATCATTTCAATCTCTCTGCCTTTTTTTGATCTGTCCAGGGTATCTAATTCTTTCTGATTTAATCTAGGAGGGCTGTATTTTTCTAGGAATTTATTCATCTCTTCTAGGTTTTCTAGTTTATGTGCCTAAAGATGTTCACAGTAGCCTTGAATGATCTTTTGTATTTCAGTTATATCAGTTGTAACGTCTCCTGTTTCATTTCTTATTGAAGTTATTTGTGTTTACTTTCTTCTTTTTTGGTTAATATCAATAATGGTGTATCAACTTATTTATCTTTTCAAATAACCATTTTTTGTTTTATTTATTTTTTGTATTTTGTGTGTGTGTGTGTGTGTGATTCTTTTATTTGGTTGTCTTGGTCTCTAGCAAGGCCTGGGAAGTTTTCCTCAATTATTCCCCCATATATGTTTTCCAAACGTTTAGATTTCTTTTCTTCCTCAGGAACACCAATTATTCTTAGATTTGATCATTCAACATAATGCCAGACTCCGCGGAGGCTTTGTTCATATTTCCTTATTCTTTTTTTCTTTGTCTTTGCTGGATTGGGTTAATTTGAAGACCTCGTCTTCATGCTCTGAATTTCTTTCTTCTACTTGTTCAATTCTATTGCTGAGACTTTCCAGAGCATTTCACATTTCTGTAAGTGTGTCCATTGTTTCCTGAATTTTAAATTGCTTTTTTGAACTTTTTTTTTTTTAAATATTTCTCCCTTTACTTCTTGTATCGTTTTTTGGATTTCCTTGCATTGGGCTTCCCCTTTCTCTGGTGCCTCCCTGATTAGCTTAATAACTAACTTCCTGAATTCTTTTTCAGGTAAATCAGGGATTTTTCATCTTGTTTTGGATTAATTGCTGGTGAACTTGTGTGATTTTGGGGTTTTGTTTTTTCATATTACCAGAGTTGGTTTTCTGGTTTCTTCTCATTTGGGTAGGCTCTGTCAGATGGAAAGTCTAGGGCTGATGGCTGTTGTTCAGAATCTTTTGTCCCGTGGGGTATTCCCTTGTTGTAGTACTCTTTCTCTTTTCCTATGGATGTTGTTTCTTGTGAGCCAAACTGCAGTGATTGTTGTCTCTCTTCTGGGTCTAGCCACCCAGTACGTCTAAACAGCTCCTGGCTGGTACTGAGAATTGTCTGCCCAGAGTCCTGTGATGTGAATCGTCTATGGGTCTTTCAGCCAAGAATACCAGCACCTGTTCTGGTGGAGGTGGCAGGGGGGTGAAATGGACTCCAAAGGTTTCTTAGCTTTAGTGGTTTAATGCTTTATTTTTGTGCTGGTTGGCATCCTGCTGGGAGGTGGTGCTTTCCAGACAGCATCAGCTGTGGTAGTATGGAGAGGAATTGGTGGTGGGTGGGGCCCTAGAACTCCCAAAATTATATGCCTGTTGTATTCAGCTACCAGGGTGGGTAAAGAAGGACCATCAGGTGGGGACATGGCTAGGTGTGTCTGAACTCAGACTCTTCTTGGGCGAGTCTTGCTGTGGCTGCTGTGGGGGATGGGTGTGAGGTTTCCAGGTCAATGGAGTTGTGTACCTAGGAGGATTATGGCTTTCTCTGCTGAGTCATGCAGGTTGTCAGGAAAGTGGGGGAAAGCTGGCAGTCACAGGCCTCACCCAGCTCCCATGCAAACCGAAGGGTCTGTCTCACTCCCACCGTGCTCCCCCAACAGCCCCAAGTCTGTTTCCAGGCAGTGGGAGAGCCGGGCTTGAGAACCTGCCCCAGGCTACCCACCACCCAGCTGTGAAATTAAAGGGCTTGGTTCTTCCCCTGCCTGTGGAGTCTGTGCACCGGATTCATGCCCTTCCCTAAGTTCTGGCCAGGAGGCTTCTTGTCTTGCTCAAATTGTTACAAAGTTCAGCTGGAGATTTTCTTCTTTCTGTGCTGTTTTCCCCCCACTCCTCTGGCCGCCCTCCCAATGGATCCCTGTAATGCCAGGCAGGTATGACCTGCTTGGGGACCCAGCAAGCTCCCAGGGCCTTTCTGCTGCTTCCTCTACCCCTGTATTTCACTTGGCTCTCTAAATTGACTCAGCTCCAGGTAAGTTGGAAACTTCTCCCACAAACAGACCTTCAGTTCCTCCAGTGGGGGTGTGTGTTCGGGAGAGAAGGATCACCCTTTCCCACTTCTGCCACTTCTGCTGTTGGGGCACTCCCAGTATTTGAGGTGTCTCCTGGGTCCTGCAAGAGCATTCTGCTTTCCTCAGAGGGTCTTTGGGTTCTCTTGGGATTGCTTATTTGTTTTTGCAGTCAATCTGGAGCTAAAATTCACAATGTGAGGCTCTGCACGCTGCTCTGTCTGTCCAAGTCAGAGCTGCAATCCTGCCTCCTGTCCACCATGATGATCAGGTTTTCCTTTATAGGTTACCTGGTGCTTTTGTCTCACAGATCTTAAGATTCTTTCATTCATCTTAACTTTAGATAACCTGATAGCAGTTTTGATTGTTTTTTATTTATGCTATTTCCTTGAATATTTCTCCCTTCACTTCTTGTGACTTTTTTTTTTTTTTTTTTGGATTTTCTTACACTGGGCTTCCTCCTTCTCTGATGTCTCCCTGATTAGCTTAATAACTAACCTACTGAATTATTTTTCAAGTAAATCAGAGATCTCTTCTTGGTTCGGGTCCCTTGCTGGTGAGCTAGTGTGATTTTTTGGGGGGTGTTAAAGAACCTTATTTGGTCATATTACCAGAGTTGGTTTTCTGGTTCCTTCTCATTTGGGTAGCCACTGTCAGAGGGAAGGTCTAGGGCAAAGGCTGTTGTTCAGAATCTTTTGTCCCACAGGGTGTTCCCTTGTTGTTGTACTCTACCCCTTTTTGCATGGATGTGGCTTCCTGAGAGCTGAGCTGCAGTGATTGTTGCCTCACATCTGGATCTAGCAACCCAGCAAGTCTACCAGGCTGGGGGCTGGTGCTGGGGGTTGTCTGCACAGAGTCCTGTGATGTTAACCACCTGTGGGTCTCAGCCATGGATACCAGGACCTGTTCTGGTGGAGGTGGCAGGGGGGTGAAATAAACTCTGTGAGGGTTCTTAGCTTAGGTGGTTTAATGCACTATTTTTATGCTGGTTGTCCTCCTGCCAGGAGGTGTCGCTTTCCAGAGAGCATCAGCTATGCTAGTATGTTGTGGAATAGGCAGTAGGCAGGGCCCTAGAACTCCCAAGAGTATATGCTTTTTGTCTTCAGTTACCAGGGTGGGTAGGGAAGAACCATTAGGTGGGGGCTGGGCTAGGTGTGTCTGAGCTCATACTCTCCTTTGGTGGGTCTTGCTACAGCTGCTGTGGGAGATGGGGGTGAGGTTCCCAGGTAAATGGAGTTATGTTCCTAGGAGGATTATGATTGTCTCTACCGTGTCATGCAGGTTTTCAGGGAAGTGGGGGAAAGCCAGCAGTCACAGGACTTACCCAGCTCCCATGCATTCCAAAGGGCTGCTCTCACTCCCTTCATGCCCCACACAACAGCACTGAGTCTATTTCCAGGCAGTGGGTGAGCAGGGCTGAGAACTCACCCCAGGCTATCTGCCTCCCAGATGTAAAAGCAAATATGGCTTTCCTTCTTCCCCTGCCTGTGGAGTCTGCACACCAGATTCACACCCTTCCTTGAGTTCTGGCCAGGAGGATTCTTAATCAGTTCAAATTGTTACAAAGTTCAGCTGAAGATTTCTTTCTCCCTGTGGCCTTTTACCAGTGCTTCTGGCCACCCTCCTGAAGGACCCATGTGAGGCCAGGCAAAAACGGCTTGCTAGGGGACCCAGCAAGGTCCTAGAACTTTTCCCACTGTTTCCTCTACCCTTGTTTTTTGCTCGGCTCTCTAAATTAACTCAGCTCTAAGTAAAGTCAAAATCTTCTCTGATAATCTAGGCCTTCAGTTTCTCCAGTAAAGGTGTGTGTTCAAGGGTGGACAATCTCCCTTTTCTGCTTCCACAGTTTGGGCACTCACAGTATTTGGGTGTCTCCCAGGTCCTGCAGGAGCAATATGCTTCCTTCAGGGTGTTTATGGGTCTTCTCAGATGTCCTGATTTATTCCTGCAGTCATTCTGCAGCAAAAATTTCTAATGCGAGCTTCCACATACTGCTCTGTCCGTTGAAGTCAGAGCTGCAATCTAGTCTTGCCTCCCATCCTCCGTGATCCCCCCAGACTCCAGGCAGCTGTATTTTTACTTTTTGCGGAGCCTCTAAACTGTTCTCCATAGTAGTTGTACTAATTAACATTTCCACCAAGGCTGTACAAGAGTGAAAAGGGTTCCCTTTTCTCCATCTCCTAGCCAGCATTTGGTATTGCCTGACTTTTGCATAAAAGCCATTTGAAATGGGCTGAGCTGATATCTCATTGTAGATTTGATTTGCATTTCTCTGATAATCAGTGATGTGGAGCACTTTTCATAGGCTTGTTTGCCATTTGTATGTCTTTTGATATATGTCTATTCAGATATTTTGCCCATTTTTAAATTGGAGTGTTAGATTTTTTTCTATAAAGTTGTTTGAGTTCCTTATATATTCTGGTTATTAATGTCTTCTAATATGAGTAGTTTGAATATATTTTCTCCCATTCTGAGTTGTCTCTTCACTTTGTCAATTGTTTCTTGTGTCAATTGCTGTGAAGAGGCTTTTTGACTTGATATGATTCCATTTCTTTTATTTTTGCTTTGGTTTCCTGTGCTTGTGGGGTATTACTTAAGAAATCTTTGCCCACTTCAATGTTATGGAGAGTTTCCTCAATGTTTTCTGTTAGTAAGTTTGTAGTTTGTGGTGTTAGATTTAAGTCTTCAATCCATTTTGGTTTGATTTTTGTATATGGTGAAAGATAGAGGTCTTGTTTTATTCTTCTCCATGTGGACATTTCGTTTTCCCACCACTATTTAGTGAAGAAATTGTCCTTCCCTCAATATATGTTCTTGACACCTTTGTGAAAAATGAACTCACTTTAGATGTATGGATTTATCTTTGGGTTCTTCATTCTGTTTCACTCATCTATGTGTCTGTTTTTATGCCAGTTCCATGCCATTTTGGTTACTATAGCTGCATAGTATAATTTCCAGTCAGATAATGTGATTCCTCCAGTTTTCTTTTCTTGTTGTTATTATTTAGGATAGTCTTAGCTATTCTCGGTCTTTTGTGGTTCCATATAAATTTTAGGACTTTTTTTCTATTTTTGTGAAGAATGTCATTAATATTTTGATAGTTATTACATTAAATTTATAGATTGCTTTGGGTAGTATGGACTTTTTAACAATATTGATACTTCCAATCCATGAACATAGAATATCTTTACATTTTTGGGGTCTTTTGAAATTTCTTGCATAAATGTTTTATAGTGTTTATTGTAGAGATCTTCCACTTCTTTGATTAATTTACTTTCTAGGTATTTTATCTTATTTGTAGCAATTGTAAATGGGATTACTTTCTTTTTTAATTTCTATTTTAAGTTCAGGAGTACAAGTGCAGATTTATTACATAGGTAAACTTGTAATATGGGGATTTGTTGTAAAAACTATTTTATCACTCAAGTATTAAGCCAAGTACCCATTAGTTATTTTTCTTGATTTCTTTTTCAAATTGTTCACTGTTGACCTATAGACATGCTTCTGATTTATGTATGTTAATTTTGTGTGCTGAAACTTTACTGTGTTTCTTTCTCTCTTCTAATAGTTTTTTGCTGGAGTCTTTAGGTTTTCCAAAATATAAGATTATATTATCTAAATAAAAGGATAACTTGACTTCTTCCTTTCCAACTTGAATGCTCTTTATTTCTTTTCTTGTCTGATGGCTCCAACTAGTACTTCCAATACCACGTGGAATAAAAGTGGTGAAAGTAGACATCCTTGTGTTCCAGATCTAAGAGGAAAAGCGTTCAGTGTTCCCCATTCATGTAATTTTAGCTGTGAATTTGTCATATATGGGTTATGTTGAAATATGATTCCTTCTACATCCAGTTTTTAAAGCATTTTTAGTGCAAAGAATTGTTGAATTTCATCAAATGCTTTTTCAACATCTATTGAAATGATCATATGGTTTTTGTCCTTCATTTTGTTGATATGATGTGTTACATTAATTGATTTGCATATGTTGAACCATTTTTGCATCCCTGGGATAAATCCCACTTGGTCAAAATGAATGATCTTTTAAATATGATGGTTTGCTAGCCTTTTGCGAGAATTTTTGTATTAATACTTGTCAGTAATACTGGCTTGTAGATTTGTTGTTGTTGTATCTTTGTCTGGATTTGGTATCAGGATAATATTGGCCTCATATAATAAGTTTGGAAGTATTCTCTCCTCCTCTACTGTTTGAAACAGCTTGAGTAGGATTTGTATTTGTCTTTAAATGTTTGATAGAATTCAGCCTTTTTTACCTGCTCCAGTGCCTCTTTCAGTGATATGAATTTAAAAGTAGATACTGTGAGTTCTCACTGGATTTTTGGTACTTATGAAGGTGCTGTTTTTGTGTAAATAGTTGTAAAATGTGGTGTTCCTGTGGTGTTCCTGTGCGGGTTACAAACCGCAATTACAATGTTAGAGTATTCTGTATTTGTCTATGTACTTACTATTATCAGTGGTTGATTACCAGTATCAGATGATTACTTCCTATTTTTTAACATCCTTTTCTTTCAAATTGAAAAACTCCCTTTAGCATTTCTTGTGAGATAGGTTTGGTCTTGATAAAATTGGTTGACTTTTGTTTGTCTGGGATGGTCTTTATTTCTCCCTTATGTGTAAAGGCTAATTTTGCTGAATATAATATTCTACACTTAAAGTTTTTTCTTTCAGTACTTATACGTCATCCCATTCTCTCCTGAACTGTAAGGTTTCTGCTGAAAACATTGTTGCCAGATGTTTCAGAGCTCCTTTATATGTTATTTGCTTATTTTCTCTTGCTTTCAGAATCCTCTCTTTATCCCTGACTTTAGAGTTTAATATTCCTTGATGTAGTATTATTTGGGTTGAATCATCTTGATGTGCTATGACCTTCTTTACCTGGATATTTATATCTTCCTCTAAGTTTGAAAAGTTCTCTGTTATTATTCTTTTCAATAAATATTCTACCCTGATTTCTCTCTCTCTCTCTCTCTCTGTGTGTGTGTGTGTGTGTGTGTGTGTACAGATATATAGATATGGATAGATAGATACATATAGATATATTTCTTCTCTAAGGTCAACAAGTCTTAGATTTGCTGTTTTGAGTCTATTGTCTAGGTCTTGTAGGTGTGGTTTATTATTTTTTATTCTTTCTTTTTTCTCCTCTGACTGTAGATTTTTATACAGCCTCTCTTCGTCTCACTATTTCTTTCTTCTACTTAATCAATTCTGCTACTGAGAGACTCTGATGCATTTGTCAGTTTGTCAAAGTTTTCAACTCCAAAATTTCTGCTTAATTTTTAAAAATTATTTTAGTTTCTTTGTTAAATTTCTGTGATAGAATTCTGAATTTCTTCTCTGTGTTATCTTGAAGTCCATTGAGCTTCCTCAGGACAGTTATTTTAAATTCTCTGGGTGAAAGGTCACATATATTTGTCACTTCAAGGTCATTGGTTTCTTATTTAGCTTGGTGAGGTCATGTTTACCTTGATGTTCTTATAACTTGCATACATTTGTCAATGTTTGGGAATTGAAAAGTCAGGTACTTATTTCAGTCTTCACAGTATTGAGCTTGTTTGTAGCCATCCTTCTTGATAAGGCTTTCCATGTATTCAAAAAGAATTAAGTATTGTTATCTAAGACTATGATGTTTCCAGCTTCATGAGCACTACGAGTTACCTTAAGCACACCTACTGCAACTCTTAGTGACTTCTAGAGGCCCTACCTTGGTGGATTTGGGTAAGTTTCAGGAGACTTATCTGGTTGCCGGTGAGAGTCTCTCACTCTTCCCTCTCTTCCCCCAATGAGAAGGTATTTCTCTCCACGCTGAGCTGCCTGGAGTTGGTGGAGGGGTAACATGAGCACTCCTGTGGCCTCTACAGCTGGCACTGCACTGGTTCACACCTGAATCCACTACAGTATTGGGACTTGCCCAAGGCCCATGGCAACTACTACCTGACTAATACTGACGTGTATTCAAGGCCTAAGGGCTCTTTAGTCAGCAGGTGGTGAATCCTGCCAGGACTGGGTTCTAGCTTTCAGGGCAAAAGATTCCCTTCTGGTCCATGGTGAGTCTAGAAATGATATTCAGTAGCTAAGGTCCCTGGAATCCAGGATTTCAGGAATCTGCTATGTGCTTTATTTTACTGTGGCTGAGCTTGAACCCAAGTTGCAAGATAAAGTCCTCTGTACTCTTCCCTCTTCTGCCCCAAGCAAAAGGAGTATCTTCCCAAGCTGCACTACCTGGGTTTGGGGTAAAGGTGATTCAGGCATTCCCTTGGCTGCTGCAGCTGGTGTCACACTGGGCCACACATAACTCAAGTCCACTGCCTCTGAAACCTGTGTAGCACCAGGGCTTGCCCAAGTACTGCAGTGCTTGTGACCTGACTGCCACACAAGTTTATTCTGGAACTTAGTCCACTTTAGTGAGCCAATGATGAACCTACCCGGGGCTTGGATTTCTCTTGTTGGGGCTGAGAATACCTCTCTGGCCTGGTGCTGCTCTAAATGCTCCCTCTGTGGGCACTACCAGAATTGTGACCTGTGTTGTGTTCCACTGTAAAGGGAAAGCACTGAATTCCAATGCAGAGACTCACACTCACTTCAGTCTCCCTTCCTCAAACACATACAGATTCTCTCTCCTGATAGAGAATGTTCAGGGAGTGGTGTAAGCAACACAAGAGTGTCTTTCCTGTTATCTTCAATGACTACTTCTTTGATATTATGTTAAAACCAGGTACTGTGATCCCTCACCTGATTTTTTGGTTCTTATAAAGATGCTTTCTTGTGTGGATAGTTGTTAATTTGGTGTTCCTGCATTAGTACTATCACTGCAGGGTTTAATCAGCCATCTTGTTCTTCTGAGATTGATTTTACTTGTTTTAACTTTGTGTTAACTGATTTTCAAATAAAGATATTGAACTTTTCAGTGATTATGGTGTGTTTAATTTTCTCAACCTCCCTTCCTAAGGCATTTATTTACTTTCCGTTTGCTCTGGACTACATAAACACTCTGTTCTCCATAGTGTAGCTCTTATCTGAATTTTATATGAAAAGAAACTTTCAACTTAAAACAACAACTAAAGTATCAAAGAGTTCAGGACAAAGATGTTAGTGGAATTAAAATGAGGCTCCCTTCTTATATCAGGAGAATTGGAAAAGAGGGATTGTGGAAAACTAAAGGCTTTGTTGTTATGCCAAGGTTGCCTAACTAACTGCTACATTTCAAGTTTTCTTATGACTCCTGCTTCTAGGATAGTGTTGTAGTGCTCCAATCATATAAAAAGTATCTTGAAAAAAACCTAGATACCATTGATTTTGTCAGCCTAGCACCAACTGCACTTCTCACAGGGCCTAGAGACAAATATAAAACTTTTCTTCCTTATCTACATTAAAGATGCACACATTAGTGCATCTCTGTGTTTTCTGGTTTACATAAGATTCTAGTATGGAAACACACACACATCAGGGTGTTGAGAGCTTTTCAAGTGCCAAATACTGTTCTAAATTATTTAAATTAATAAGTTCTATTATTGGCTTGATCTCTCAATTCAGGACATTGAGGCTTAGAGAAATTTAATAATATTTCAAAGACACATAAGAAATAAAAAGTTGGAGCCAGAATATGAATCTAAATAATCTAACTTCAGAGCCCATCCTCTCAGACACTAAGAAATCTAATTATAAAGTTTTTTACACTTACATTTTGTTATGGCCACTCCTCTATCATTGGTCCAAATGGAAACCACTGGAATTCTAACTAAATGTTATTATACTCTTTTAGACCTGATAATCCCTGTCCTATTCACAGTGTCCCATCCATAATGGTTAAGAGGATGCACTCAAGAAACAAATTGCCTGAGTTCTAATTATGGCTGTGCTATACTGGCTGTGGAAACCTTGGTTACATCACTTAGCTTGTGTGTGCCTTAGTTTCTTCCTTTGCAAAATGAAGATTAATAGTTATATATACGTTTTATGGTTGTTGTAAGAATTGTATGACTTAAAGCACATGAAAAACTGAGAATCATGCCTTGTAGATAGGAAGCTGTCAGTGGGTATGAGTTATTATTAATATTGTTCCAAATCATGTTTTAGTAGTTTAACTCTTAATCAAGAACACTGAATTTCTTCTCAGCTAATATAAGGCCTGAATTTAAGAGTCACCTTTTTCCAGAGTTGTAGAAGAATCATAATGCAGGGAAGAGTTATTTGCTGTAAGGTGTCTAATCATATATTTTTTATGTTACCAAGCACTTGGGTTCTTTCTAGATATAGACTTATGGTAAATCCTCTCGCAAACATATCTGAATTGGGTAACATATTGTTCAGGTGCAGCAGGCTGAGCACTTACCTCCATAGATAAAACAGCCATACCAGATTTCATCGTAAAGTTAAAAATATAGCCCAAATGCCTCAGTTCCCTCAGTACCACCAAATAATGGACTCATAACAATTCTTGGTGAATGTAGACACCAAGCTATGAACTCCATGGTGCTATACATTGCTACAGAGAGTTAAGTGCCTTGAGGCACTACAAAATCTTTTGAAGTGGCAGGTTTCTTGTAGTCCACCATTGAGTCAACAGTGTATTTCTGAGTGTACAAATTTCCCAATGTGCTAAAGGGGTAGGTAATTGGTAAAGTCTCAACTTTTTGTGTGTGTGTGTGTGTGTATGCACACACATATTAGGGCATTTTAAATTAGTCAATTTGAAGTGCAGACACCTAGCCTTCTGGTTATTTAAAACCAAATACATGTAATAAGATTTTACATGTGTGCCATAAATCTGTACAAATAAAAGAGAGGCCAGGTGCTGTGGCTCATGCCTGTAATCCTAGCACTTTGGGAGGCTGAGGTGGGCAGATCGACTGAGGTTGGGAGTTTGAGACCAGCCTGGCCAAAATAGTGAAACCCTGTCTCTACTAAAAATACAAAAATTAGCTGGATGTAATGGTGGTGCATGCCTGTAATTCCAGTTGCTCAAGAGGCTGAGACACAAGAATCTCTTGAACTCAGGAGGTGGAAGTTGCAGTGAGCAGAAATCACAACACTGCATTCCAGCTTGGGCAACAAGAGTGAAACTCCATCTCAACATAATAATAATAATAAAATAAATAAAAAGAGAAAAAACTAAATATGAATACTATTTGAAGTGCTAATATAACAATAATAAAACATATCATAACACATATCTATATTAGCACAACATGTAACATAGTATGAACTCTATGTAAGCACATAAAACAAATTGTAGATACTTATGAGACTTCTGCTTCAAGATGACAATATCAGTTATGTATTTAATTTCCATCTTTCCAAATTCCTATGCAAATAACAAAATAAATATAATACTACAAATAAAAAAGTGTTTAAAAAGCTAGAAACTGAGGTATTTCCATAAGGTACAATGCCCAGGTTAGAATGTATTTAGTGGATGGACATGCAAAACATGATTCACAGCATGCACAGTAAAAGCTTACACAGAGTAAGTGAAACCCCATTCTCCAGAGGAACTCTACTTCTACACCCTAGAATCAGAACAAGTGGGGACTGAATCAAAAAAGTTTACTCCATGCCTAGACACCAAAATTCAGAAAGCAATGGGATCTACTTAATAATTTGTATTTGATTCATATTAGGAAAAAAAGTTATTTAACAAATATCTTTAAATTATTTGCAAAAAGAGTTAAATGGAAAAAAAAAAAAAAAAAGCTGCACTGTAAGTAGCTACACAGATTACTTACTCTTCCCCGAGAAAGACACCAGGCCCATTTTGGTAAGAAAGTTCAACACAATTTACAAAAAAAAACAATTAATTCCAATCTCATTCTGTTTCAGAATACAAGAAAATAAGTAACACTACTAATTTGATGAGACTAGTATAACCTTGAAGTAAAGTCAGACAAGAATAATACATATGGGGGTGGGGGGGCGTTCCAGGATGGACAAATAGGAACAGCTCCAGTCTGCAGCTCCCAGTGTGATTGACTCAGAAGACGGGTGATTTCCACATTTCCAACTGAGGTACCTGGTTCAGTTCATTGAGACTGGTTGGACAGTGGGTGCAGCCCATGGAGAGTGAGCTGAAGCAGGGTGGGGCGTTGCCTTACCCGGGAAGTGCAAGGGGTTGTGAGAGTTCCCTTTCCTAGCCAAAGGAAGCCGTGACAGACTACTTGAAAAAACGGAACACTCCCTGCCCAAATACTGCACATTTCCCAAGGTCTTAGCAACCAGCAGACAAGGTGATTCTCTCCTGTGCCTGGCTCGATGGGTCCCATGCCCACGGAGTCTTGCTCACTGCTAGTGCAGCAGTCTGAGATCGATCTGCGAGGTGGCAGCCTGGCTGGGGTTGGAGCATCCGCCATTGCTGAGGCTTGAGTAAGTAAACAAAGCAGTCCGGAAGCTTGAACTGGGTGGAGCCCACCACAGCTCAACAAGACCTATTGACTCCAGCTCTGTGGGCAGGGCATAGCTGAACAAAAGGCAGCAGACAACTTCTGCAGACTTAAACATCCTTGTCTGGCACGCTCTGAAGAGAGCAGTGGTTCTCCCACACGGCATTTGAGTTCTGAGAATGGACAGACTGCCTCCACAAGTGGGTCCCTGACCCCCAAGTAGCCTAACTGAGAGACACCTCCCAGTAGGTGCTGACAGACACCTCATATAGGCAGGTCCCCTTCTGGGAAGAAGCTTCCAGAGGAAGGATCAGGCAGCAATATTTGCTGTTCTGCAATATTATTTGCTGTTCTGCAGCCTCTGCTAGTGATACCTAGGCAAACAGGGTCTGGAGTGGAACTCCAGCAAACTCCAACACACTTGCAGCTGAGGGACCTGACAGTTAGAAGGAAAACTCACAAACACAAAGGAATAGCATCAACATCAATAAAAAGTTCATCTATACCAAAACCCCAACTTTAGGTGACCAACATCAAAGAACAAAGGTAGATAAAACCACAAAGATGAGGAGAAACCAGAGCAGAAAAGCTGAAAATTCTAAAAATCAGAGCACCTCTTCGCCAAAGGATTGCAGCTCCTCACCAGCAATGGAACAAAGCTGGATGGAGAATGACTTTGACAAGTTGACTGAAGTAGGCTTCAGAAGGTCAGTAATAACAAATTTCTACGAGCGAAAGGAGCATGTTCAAACCCATCACAAGGAAGCTGAAAATGTTGAAAAAAGATTAGATGAATGGCTAAATAGAATAAACAGGGTAGATAAGACCATAAATGACCGGATGGAGCAGAAAACCATGGCACGAGAAGTTCGTGACGCATGCAAAAGCTTCAATAGCTGATTCAATCAAGTGGAATAAAGGGTATCAGCGATTGAAAATCAAATTAATGAAATAAAGTGAGAAGACAAGGTTAGAGAAAAAAGAGTAGAAAGAAACAAACAAAGCCTCCTAGAAAATACGGGACTATGTGAAAAGACCAAATCTATGTTTTATTGGTGTACCTGAAAGTGATGGGGAGAATGGAATCAAGTTGGAAAACATTCTTCAGGATATTATCCAGGAGAACTTCCCCAAGCTAACAAGGCAAGCCAACATTCAAATTCAGGAAATACAGAGAACACCACAAAGATACTCCTCGAGAAGAGCAAACCCAAGACACATAATTGTCAAGTTCACCAAGGTTGAAATGAAGGAAAAAGTGTTAAGGGCATCCAGACAGAAAGGTCGAGTTACCCACAAAGGCGCAAAGGGAAGCCCATCAGAAAAACAGCGGCACTTGGCAGAAACCCTACAAGCCAGAAGAGAGTGTGGGCCAATATTCAACATTCTTAAAGAAAATAATCTTCAACCCTGGATTTTATATCCAGCCAAACTAAGCTTCATAAGTGAAGGACAGATGAACTCCTTTACAGACAAGCAAATGCTGAGAGATTTTGTCACCACCAGGCCTGCCTAACAAGAGCTCCTGAAGGAAGCACTGAACATGGAAAGAAACGACCAGTACCAGCCACTGCAAAAGCATGCCAAATTGTAAAGAACATCAGTGCTATGAAGAAACTGCATCAATTAAGGGGCAAAATAACCAGTGAATATAATAATGGCAGGATCAAATTCACACACAAACTTAAATATAAATGGGCTAAATGCCTCAATTAAAAGACACAGACTGGAAAATTGGGTAAAGAGTCAAAACCCATCAGTGTGCTATATTCAGGAGACCCATCTCACATGCAGAGACACACATGGGCTCAAAATAAAGGGATGGAGGAAGATCTACCAAGCAAATGGAAAGCAAAAAAAAAGCAGGGGTTGCAATTCTAGTCTCTGATAAAAAAGACTTTAAGCCAACAAAGGTCAAAAGAGACAAAGAAGGCCATTACATAATGGTAAAGGGATCAATTGAACAAGAAGAGCTAACTGTCTTAAATATATATGCACCCAATACAGGAGCACCCAGATTCATAAAGCAAGTCCTTAGAGACCTACAAAGAGACTTAGACTCCCTCACAATAATAATGAGAGACTTTAACACCCCACTGTCAATATTTCACAGACCAATGAGACAGAAGTTTAACAAGGATAGCCATGCCTGAACTCAGCTCTCCAACATGCAGACCTAATAGACATCTACAGAATTCTCCACCCCAAATCAACAGAATATACATTCTCAGCACCACATTGCACTTATTCTAAAATTGACCAAATAATTGGAAGTAAAGCACTTTCAGCAAATGTAAAAGAAATCACAACAAACTGTCACTCAGACCACAGTGCAATCAAATTAGAACTCAGAATTAAGAAACTCAGTCAAAACCGCGCAACTACATGTAAACTGAACAACTTGCTCTTGAAGGAATACTGGGTAAATAATGAAACGAAGGCAGAAATAAAGATGTTCTTTGCAACTAATGAGAAAAAAGAAACAATGTACCAGAATCTCTGGGACACATTTAAAGCAGTGTGTAGAGGGAAATTTATAGCATGAAATGCCCACAAAAGAAAGCAGGAAAGATCTGAAATCGACCCCCTAACATCACAATTAAAAGAACTAGAGAAGCAAGAGCAAACAAATTCAAAAGCTAGCAAGAGGCAAGAAATAACTAAGATCAGAACAGAACTGAAGGACATAGAGACAAAAAAACCCTTCAAAAAATCAATGAATCCAGGAGCTGGTTTTTGGAAAAGATTAACAAAATTGATAGACCACTATCAAGACTAATTAAGAAGAAAAGAGAGAAGAACCAAATAAACGCAATAAAAATGATAATGGGGATATCACCACCAATCCCACAGATATACAAACTACCATCAAAGAATACTATAAACACCTCTATGCAAATAAACTGGAAAATCTAGAAGAAATGGATAAATTTCTGGACAGATACATCCTCCAGAGACTGAACCAGGAAGAAGTTGAGTCCCTGAATAGACCAATAACAGTCTCTGAAATTGAGGCAATAATTAATAACCTACCAACAAAAAAAGTCCAGGACCAGAAGGATTCACAGCCGAATTCTACCAGAGGTACAAAGAGGAGCTGGTATCATTCCTTCTGAAACTATTCCAATCAAGAGAAAAAGAGGGCATCCTCCCTAAATCATTTTATGAGGCCAACATCATCCTGATACCTTAGCCTGGCAGAGACACAATAAAAAAAGATAATTTTAGACCAATATCCCTGATGAACATTGATGCGAAAATCCTCAATAAAATACTGGCAAAATGAATCCAGCAGCAAATCAAAAAGCTTATCCACCATGATCTTGTCGGCTTCATCCCTGGGATGCAAGGCTTGTTCAACATATGCAAATCAATAAACGTAATCCATCACATAAACAGAACGAATGATAAAAACCACATGATTATCTCAATAGATGCAGGAAAGGCCTTCGACAAAATTCAACAGCACTTCATGTTAAAAACTCTCAATAAACTAGATATTTATGGAACATACCTCAAAATAACAAGAGCTATTTATGACAAACCCACAGCCAACCAATATCATACTGAATGGGCAAAAGCTGGAAGCATTCCCTTTGAAAACTGGCACAAGACATGGACGCCCTCTCTCACCACTCCTACTCAACATAGTGTTAGAAGTTCTGGCCATGGCAATCAGGCAAGAGAAAGAAATAAAGGGTATTCAATTAGGAAAAGAGGAAGTCAAATTGTCCCTGTTTGCAGATGACATGATTGTACATGTAGAAAACCCCATCATCTCAGCCCAACATCTCCTTAAGCTGATAAGTAACTTCAGCAAAGTCCCAGGATACAAAATCAATGTGCAAAAATCACAAGCATTCCTATACACCAATAACAGGCAAACAGAGAGGCAAATCATGAGTGAACTCCCATTCACAACTGATACAAAGAGAATAAAATACCTAGGAATCCAACTTACAAGGGATGAGAAGGACCTCTTTAAGGAGAACTGCAAACTACTGTTCAATGAAATAAAAGAGGACACAAACAAATGGAAGAACATTCCATGCTCATGGAAAGGAAGAATCAGTATTGTGAAAATGGCCACACTGCCCAAGGTAATTTATAGATTCAATGCCATCCCCATCAAGCTACCAATGACTTTTTTCACAGAATTGGAAAAAACTACTTTAAAGTTCATATGGAATCAAAAAAGAGCCCGCATAGCCAAGGCATCATGCTACCTGACTTAAACTATCCTACAAGGCTATAGTAACCAAAACAGTGTGATACTGGTACCAAAATAGATATAGACCAGTGGAACAGAAAAGAGGCCTGAGAAATAGCACCACACATCTACAACCATCTGATCTTTGACAAACCTGGCAAAAACAAGAAATAGGGAAAGGATTCCCTATTTCATAAATGATGCCAGGAAAACTGGCTAGCCATATGTAGAAAACTGAAACTGGATCCGTTCCTTACACCTTATACAAAAATTAATTCAAGATGGATTAAAGATTTAAATGTTAGACCTAAAACCATAAAAACCCTAGAAGAAAACCTAGGCAATACCTTTCAGGACATACACATGGGTAATGGCAACAAAAGCCAAAATAGACAAATGGAAAGAGCTTGTGCATGGCAAAAGAAACTACCATCAGAGTGAACAGGCAATCTATAGAATGTGAAAAAATTTTTGCAATCTACCCATCTGACAAAGGGCTAATATCCAGAATCTACAAAGAACTTTAACAAATGTACAAGAAAAGAAACAAACAACCCCATCAAAAAGTGGGCAAAGGATACGAACAGACACTTCTCAAAAGAAGATATTTATGCAGCCAACAGACACATGAAAAAATGCTCATCATCACTGGTCATCAGAGAAATGCAAATGAAAACCGCAATGAGATACCACCTCATGCCAGTTAGAATGGCAATCATTAAAAAATCAGGAAACAAGAGATGCTGGAGAGGATGTGGAGAAATAGGAAAGCTTTTACACTGTTGGTGGGAGTGTAAATTAGTTCAACCATTGTGGAAGACAGCGTGGTGATTCCTCAA
Source organism: Homo sapiens (assembly GCF_000001405.40). NCBI lineage: Eukaryota > Metazoa > Chordata > Mammalia > Primates > Hominidae > Homo > Homo sapiens. Next base: position 56,490,073 of record NC_000023.11, on the reverse strand, counting down.
GGATCTAGAACTAGAAATACCATTAGACCCAACAATCCCATTACTGGGTATATACCCAAAGGATTATAAATCATTCTAATAAAAAGACACATGCACACATATGTTTATTGTGGCACTATTCACAATAGCAAAGACTTGAAACCAACCCAAATGTCCACCAATGATAAACTAGATTAAGAAAATGTGGCTTATATACACAGCGGAATACTATGTAGCCATAAAAAGGATGAGTTCATGTTTTTTGCAGGGACGTGGATGAAGCTGGGAATCATCATTCTAAGCAAACTATCACAAGGATGGAAAACAAAACACTGCATGTTTTCACTCATAGGTGGGAAGTGAATAATGAGATCACTTGTACACAGGGTGGGGAGCATCACACACCAGTGCTTGTCATGGGGTGGGGGTCTGGGGGAGGGATAGCATTAGGAGAAATACCTAATGTAAATGATGAGTTGATGGGTGCAGCAAACCAACATGGGACATGTATAACTATGTATCAAACCTGCACGTTGTGCACATGTACCCTAGAACTTAAAGTATATACATATATACATATATATATAAAGAATAATACATGTATAACAAGAAAACTGAGGTAAATCTCATCTATCCATTTCAGATGAGGAGAAATTCATGCAAAAATCTTATTTTTGTGTATAAGAATGCTTAAGCTAACGTTACAGTAAGCTTCATATAGTTCTCATGTCAGAGTGTGGTTTAGTAATTCTCAATTTGTCTATTATGTTACTTTCAGAGAGCCACACATTAAATAACATCTCAAGGTATTTTCATAGATATGTTAAATGAGTGAATATGCAAACTTTTTCTCTGTTCCTACAAAATAAAATAGCTAAGGGGGTAGGATAAGAAAAATTTTATTTTGCTCTTGTGGGAATTCTCTCTATGTAAATCATGTCCAAGAAACAAGAGACTTAGTAAATAATGCTGCCTAAGAGGTAACCCAGTATACAAAGAAATCACTTATTTCCCTGCATATAAATTAGTTTCATGGGAAACAGTTTATCCTTCTAAGAGAAACATGACTCCAATACTTCCTAGATAACAAAGGTACACTCTAGGGAAGGATCCAGGTTTAGCCACAATTATGCATGGGTTTGGCTTAATTACTCGAGGTGTTTGCTTTATCTTTCACATGTTCAGCATTCTTTTTCTTTCTTTTATCTTCCTTTTTCTCCAAGTTCCAGGGTTTCATATCACTTGTGCTATTGCTTCTCTTTTCCTCTACACATTGCTTTCTCTTTTATTTTTACTCAGAAATCAGTGATGGACAAGCAGTGTGCCAACAACACATATCCCAGCTCAGAACAGGAAGAGTGAGACTGAAGTCACAGTTCTTCCAGAAACCAAAGAACAACCATTCCCTTCCTGAGGATCTCACACATCTGGCTACAGAAACACTGGCCTGATTCGATCATTCTGTGTCATTATCTGCTGCCTTAATATACTTGTCTGTCTTCCTGCCAGATGTGAATTTCATGGCAACTACTTCAGTGCTGCCTTCACTAAAAGCTTTGACTCCTTAACCTTTCATAGGTGTCGTATATCTAAATCCCTCATTTTCACTCCACCCCCACTCCCCTGAACCCTCCCACTAGAAAAAAAGATCTGACCTAATCCCCTACAGACTTATGCTATCTGTTTTCATTTCTGTCATTATTATTACTCATAATTCTTCTATTAAATTTCCGCTGGCTTTCTAACATACTTTAAAGATTACTTTAAAAGTAATGCATGGATTCAGATCCAAAAGGGCCGATTAGAAGCAGCTGCAGTCCATGGCACTTACAGAGAGGAATGAAAATGGGCAAGTGAATCCAGAACCTTCCACTGAAATATCCAGGTTCTTATGTTGAGACTGACCAGGCAAACAAGTCCACCAATGGAGAACAAAGAATAGTGAGGGTTGGGGGAGTGAGAGCCCACCCTGGAGTGGCATGAAGCCAAAGCAACTCCCACTGCCAGCCAAGGAAATTGGTGACTATGCAACCCCACCTGAGAAATCATGCTTCTCCCATGGGTCTTTGCAACCCATGGATCGGGAGATCCCCTCATGAGCCGATGCCACCAGGGCCTTGGGTCTGATACACAGGGTTGTGTGGAGTCTCAGTAGAGCAGCTGCTCAGGTGTACACACAGACTCGGGTGTTCTCTATACTCCAGCCCTGGAATCCCAGCAAGGCAGAAAATATGTTTGTACATGTCCCTGGAAAGAGGGCTGAATCCAGTGAGCCAAGCAGTGTCATTCTGTGGGCCCCCTCTTCCGTGGCACCTCACAAGTTAGACCCACTGGCATGGAATTCTAGCCAGCCAACAGCAACAGGCAGGAATCTGCCTGAAATGGGTCTGAGTTCCCGGGGGAGGAGTGACCACCATCTCTGTAGTTTGTTAGACTCAGCAAATTCAGCCTTCCAGCTTTGGAGAATACAAACAGTTCAGAAAAGAAAGTGTCCACTATAATACAGTACAGCATGGTCCATCTTGCTAGACTGTGGCCAGACTGCTTCTTTAAGTGGAACACCAATCCATTTCTAGTCACTGCAGGGGCTTCAGCCACTCCAGCCAGGGTTCTATGGATAGAGCCCTGATCTCTCCCTGAGATGGAACTTCTGGAGGGAGGAGCAGCTATCATCTCTGCAGTTCAGTAGAATCAGCTGTTCCAGCCTGCTTGCTTTGGAGAACACAAATGGTTCAGTCAAGGAAGGGTCACCTTGAACACAACACACTTGCTCTACCAAAAAGCAGCCAGACTTCTTTTTTAAGTGGATCCCTGATCCCATTTCTCCTGATTGGGCGAGACCTCCTAAAAGGCGTTTCCAGTCACCTCCTACAGGTACATTCAGGCCAGCAACAGGTCAGTATTCACCAGGGGTGGAGCTTCCAGAGGAAGGAGGTGGTTGCCATCTTTGCTGCTTCTCAGCCTTCACTGGTGAAACCTTCAGGTACGTAAAACACTGAGGCAACTAGAGACTGGAGCAGAACCTCAGCAAACTGCAGCAGCCCTATGGTAGGGTGGTCTGACTGTTAATGGAAAAACAAACAAACAAACAGAAAACAACAGCATCAACAAAAAGACCTCATAAAAACCTCATTCAAAGGTCAGCAACCTCACAGATCAAAGGTAGATAAGCCCACAAAGATGAGAAAGAATCAATACAAAAATGCTGAAAACTCAAAAAGCCAGAGTTCCTCTTCTCCTCCAAATGACTGCAACACCTCCCCATCAAGGGCACAGAACTGGGCTGAGGCTGAGATGGCTGAATTGGCAGAAAAATAGGCTTCAGAAAGTAGATAATAACAAACTTCACTGAGATAAAGAAGCATGTTGTAATCCAATGCAAAGAAGCTAAGAATCATGATAAAACAACAGAGGAGCTGATAGCCAGAATAGTAGTTTTGAGAGAAACATAACCAACCTGATAGAGCTGAAAAACACAATAAAAGAACTTTACAATGCAATCACAAGTATCAATAGTGAAATAAACCAAGCTGAGGAAAGAATTTCAGAGCTCAAAGACTATCCTTCTGAAATAAGACAGGCAGACAAGAATAGAAGAAAAAGAATGAAAAGAAATAAACAAAACCTCTGAGAAATGTGGGATTATGTAAAGAGAGCTACGACTGATTGGGTATCTGAAAGAGATAGAAAGGAATCAAGTTGGAAAATGTACTTCAGGATATCATCCAGCAGCACTTCCCCAACCAAGACAGGCCAACATTCAAATTCAGGAAATGCAGAGAACCCCAGCAAGATACTCCATGAGAAGATCAACCTCAAGACATATAATTACCAGATTCTCCAAGTTCAAAATGAAAGAAAATGTGTTAAGGGCAGCCAGAGAGAAAGGCCAGATCACCAACAAAGGGAAACCCATCAGACTAAGAGTGGACATCTCAGCAGAAACCCTACAAGCCAGAAAAGATTGGAGGTCAATATTCAACATTCTTAAAGAAAATAATTTCCAATTCAAAGAATTTCATATCCAGCCAAACTAAGCTCATAAGCAAAGGAGAAATAAGTTCCTTTTCAGACAAGCAAATGCTGAGGGAGTTTATTACCACCAGACCTGCCTTGAAAAAGGTTCTGAAGGAAACACTAAATATGGAAAGGAAAATCTGTTGCCAGCCACTACAAAAACACACTGAAGTACACAGAGAAGTGAGACTATGAAGCAACCACATAAATAAATCTGCAAAATAACAAGGTAACATCATGATGACAGGATAAAATTCACACATAATGATACTAGCCTTAAATGTAAATGGGCTAAATGCCCCAATGAAAAGACACAGAATATGCAAGCTGAATAAAGAGACAAGACCCATTGGTATGCTGTCTTCAGGAGACACATCTCATGTCCAAAGCCACACATAGGCTCAAAATAAAGGGATGGAGGAAAATTTAGCAAGAAAGGCAAAATAGAAGAAAGCAGGGGTTGCAATCCTAGTTTCTGACAAAACAGACTTTAAACCAACAAAGATAAAAAAAAAAACAAAGAAGGACATCATATATTGGTAAAGGGTTCAATTCAACAAGAAGAGCTAACCATACAAAATATATATTCACCCAATACAGGAGCACCCAGATTCATAAAACAAGTTCTTAGAGACCTATAAAGAGACTGAGACTTCCATACAATAATATTGGGAGATTTTAACATGCCATTGACAATATTATTATTATTATATTATTATTATTATTATTTAATTTATTTTTTGAGATGGAGTCTCACTTTGTTGCCCAGGCTGGAGTGCAGTGGCACGGTCTTGGCACACTGCAACCTCGGCCTCCCAGGTTCAATTGATTCTCCTGCCTCAGCCTCCAGAGTAGCTGGGATTACAGATGTATGTCACCATGCCAGCCTAATTTTGTATTTTTAGTAGATATGGGGATTCACTATGTTAGCCAGGCTGGTCTCGAACTCCTGTCCTCAGGCGATCCACCTGCCTTGGCCTCCCAAACTACTGGGATTACATGTGTAAGCCACCACGCCCAGCCCCCACTGACAATATTAGACAAATCATCAAGACAAAATTAACAAAGATATCAGGACCACAACTCAGCTTTTGATCAAGTCAATGTGATAGATATTTACAGAACTCTTCACCCAAGTTCAACAGAATATACATTCTTCTCATTGCCACATGGTACTTACTCTAAAACTTACCATATAATCAATGCAAAAGTACTGAAATAATAACAAACAGTCTCTCAAACCACAATGCAATCAAATTATAACTCAAGATTAAGAAATTCACTCAAAACCACACGACTACATGGAAATAGAACAAGCTGCTCCTGAATGACTCTTGGGTGAATAACAAAATCAAGGCAGAAATCAAGAAACTCTGTGAAACTAATGAGAACAAAGAGACAAGGTATCAAAATGAGTGTGATACGGCTAAAGAAGTGATAAGAGGGAAATTTATAGAACTAAATGTCCACATCAAAAGCTAAAAAGATCTCAAGCTAACACCCTAAGATCTCAACTAAAAGAACTAGGGACCCAAGAGAAAACAAACCCCAAGCTGACAGAAGACAAGAAATAACAAAGGTCAGGGCTGAACTGAAAGAGATACACAAAAAATCCCTTCAAAAAATCAACAAATCCAGGAGCTGTTTTTTTTTGAAAAGAAATAATAAAATAGATAGACAACTAGCTAGGCTAATAGAGAATAAAAGAGAAAATAATCAAATAAACACAATCAGAAATGATAAGGGGGATATCATCATTAACCCCACAGAAATTAAAACAACCATCAGAATACTATAAACACATTTATGCACATAAACTAGAAAATCTAGCAGAAATGGATAAATTCCTGGATATATACACTCTCCCAAGACTGAACCAGGAAGAAATTGAATCCCTTAATAGACCAGTAATGAGTTCTGAAATTGAGGCAGTAATAAATAGCCTATCTATCAAAGTCCAGGACAAGTTGGACTAACAGGTGAGTTCTACCAGAGGCACAAAGAAGAGCTGGTATCATTTCTACTTAAGGTATTCCAAAAAATTGAAAAGGAAGGACTCCTCCCTAAGAGGCCAGCATCGTCCTGATAAAAAGACCTGGCAGAGAGAGAGAGAGAGAAACACTTCAGGCTAATATCCTTGATGAACACCAATGAAGAAATCTTCAATAAAATACTGGCAAACCAAATCCAGCAGCACACCAAAGAGCTTATCCACCACGATCAATTTGGCTTCATCCACAGGATGCAAGACTGTTTCAACATATGCAAATCAGTAAATGTGGTTCATCCCGTAAACAGAACTCAAGACAAAAAAAATATGATTATCTCAATAGATGCAAAAAGGCCTTCAATAAAATTCAACATCCCTTCATGTTAAACACCCTCAATAAACTAGGTATTGAAGGAACATATCTCAAAATATTAAGAGCCATATATGACAAACTCACAGCCAATATCATACTAAATGGGCAAAAGCTGGAAGCATTCACCTTGAAAACTGGCACAAGACAGGATGCCCTCTCTCATGACTCCTATTCAACATAGTATTGGAAGTTCTGGCTTGGGCAAGCAGGCAACAGAAAGAAATAAAGGGTAATCAAATAGGAAAAGAGAAGTCAAATTATCTTTGTTTGCAGATGACATGATCCTATATTTAGAAAATCCCATTGTCTCAGCTGAAAAGTTTCTTAAGCTATTAAGCAATTTCAGCAAAGTCTCAGGTTGCAAAATCAATGTTCAAAAATCACTAGCATTCTTATACACAAACAACAGGCAAGCTGTTTGCATCTATCTCAATAGATGCAAAGAAGGCCTTCAATAAAATTCAACATCCCTTCATGTTAAACACCCTCAATAAACTAGGTATTGAAGGAACATATCTCAAGATGTTAAGAGTCATATATGACAAACTCACAGCCAAATTATGAATGTGCCAAATTATGAATGAATTTCCATTCACAGTTGCTACAAAAAGAATAAAATACCAAGGAATGCAGCTAGTAAAGGAAGTGAAAGGCCTCCTCAAGGAGAACTACAAACTCCTGCTTAAATAAATCAGAACACAAACAAATGGAGAAACATCCCATGCTCATGGATAGGAAGAGTCAATATCATAAAAATGGCCATACTGACCAATGTAATTTTTAGATTCAGTACTATTCCCATTAAACTACTATTGACATTCTTCACAGTATTAGAAAAAAAAATTTTTAAATTCATATAGAACCGAAAAGGAGCCTGAAGAGCCAAGACAATCCTAAGCAAAAAGAACAAAGTTGGAGGCTTCATGCTACCTGAATTCCAACTATACTATACTACAAGGCTACAGTAACCAAAACAGCATGGTACTGGTACAAGGACAGACACATAGACCAACGGAACAGAATAGAGAATTCAGAATAAGAACTCAGATGTTTGCACTCCTACAAACATCTGATCTTTGACAAATCTGACAAAAATAAGCAATAAGGAAAGGACTCTCTATTTAATAAATGCTGCTGGGAGAGCTGGCTAGCCATATGCAGAAAATTGAAACTGAACCCCTTCCTTACACCATATACAAAAATTAACTCAAGATGAATTCAAAAGACTTAATTGTAAAACCCAAAAACATAAAAACCCTAGAAGAAAATCTAGGCAATATCATTCAGGACATAAGCGTAGGCAAAGATTTTATGACAAAATGTGAAAAGCAATTGCAAAAAAAGCAAAAATTGACAATTGGCATCCAATTAAACTAAAGAGCTTCTGCACAGCAAAAGAGACTATCATCACAGTGAACAGACAACCCACAGAATGGGAGAACATTTTTGCAATCTTTCTATCTGACAAAGTCCTAATACTCAGCATCTATAAGAAACTTAAACAAATCTATAAGATAAAAACAAACAACCCCATTAGAAAGTGGGCGAAGTTGCCTAGAATAGCAGCTGATATGAAGTAGGTATTTAGTGAATATTTGTTAAATGAATGAATAAATGAATGACCCTAAATGGCTCAGTAGTTCACGTTACATCTATCTACATATAGAAATACTATATTAATTTGAAAAAGACACTTGAACAGATACTTCTGAAAAGAAGACATACACGCAACCAAATACATATGAAACAAAGGTCAACATCACTGATCATTAGAGAAATGCAAATCAAAACCACAATGAGATATTGTCTCACATCAGTTAGAATAGCTATTATTAAAAATCATGGGCCGGGCGCGGTGGCTCACGCCTGTAATCCCAGCACTTTGGGAGGCCGAGGCGGGCGGATCACGAGGTCAGGAGATCGAGACCATCCCGGCTAAAACGGTGAAACCCCGTCTCTACTAAAAATACAAAAAATTAGCCGGGCGTAATGGCGGGCGCCTGTAGTCCCAGATACTTGGGAGGCTGAGGCAGGAGAATGGCGTGAACCCGGGAAGCGGAGCTTGAAGCGAGCCGAGATCCCGCCACTGCACTCCAGCCTGGGCGACAGAGCGAGACTCCGTCTCAAAAAAAAAAAAAAAAAAAAAAAATCATGAAACAACAGATGCTGGTGAGGTTGTGGAGAAAAAGGAATGCTTTTACACTGTTGGTTGTTGCATAAATTAGTTCAACCATTGCAGAAGACAGTGTCGTATTTCCTCAAAGACCTAGAGGCAGAAACATCATTTGATCCAGCAATCTTATTACTGGGTATATACCCAAAGAAATGTAAATCATTCAATTATAAAGATACATGCACATAAATGTTAATTGCAGCACTATTCACAATAGCAAAGGCATGGAATCAACCTAAATGCCCATCAAGGATAGACTGGATAAAGAAAATGTGGTACATATATAGCATGGAATACTACGCAGCCAAAGAAGGGAAAAAGATCATGTCCTTTGCAGGGACGTGGATGGAGCTGGAAGCTACTATCCTCAGCAAACTAATTCAGGAACAGAAAACCAAACATATTCTCACTTACAAGTGGTAGCTGAGTGATGAGAACACAAGGACACATGGAGGGGGAAACAACACACACTGGGGCCTGTCAGGTTGGTGATGGGGGAGGTAGAGCTTCAGGAAGAATAGCTAATGAATACTGAGCTTAATAACTAGGTGATGGGATGATCTGTGCCACAAACCACCACGACACATGTTTACGTAGGTAACAAACCTGCATATCCTGCACATGTACCCGGAATTTAAAGTAAATTTAAAGGAAAAAGAAGTAATGCATGTTCTTGGAAAACAATGGAATAGTATAAAATAGTAGAAATGAAAAGTTACCAAATTCCTCCCAACTGTCCAGTCATATTTCCAAGCATTAGTCACTATTTCTTAAATATCTTTCTGAGGAATTTCTATATATCACTCTTCTCCTCAGTCATGATAAAATGTAAGCTCATGAGAAGAGGAACTTTTTGTTTTGTTCACTGATACAACACAGCATCTAAAAAACTGCTTTATACATAATAAGAGCTCAACAATTGCAAGTTGAATAAATGAATAAATCCTTTTTCAAGGGATATCTTATTTGAAAATCACTTATATTATCATGCTACACATACTGTTCATTATTTTCCTTTTTTAAATTAACATTTCTTGGGTATCACTTCATATCTGCCTCTCTAGTTCTTCATTATTCTTTTTCAAATCAATATAGTATTTCTATATTTAGATGTGACATGAACTATTAAGCCAGTTAGGATCATTCATTTTTCATTCATTAAACAAATATTCATTGAATACTTACTTCATATCAGGTGCTATTCTAGGAAAACAAAGACCATTCCTTTACTACACTTACAGTTCAATGGTGGAGACAACAATCAATAAATAATCCTATTATAATATATTGTCACACAGTGATAAATGCTTTGAAGAAAAATAAGGTAAATAAGGTGACAGAAAGTGAGAACAGTGGAAGTATTATTTTATTTATATAGGTTTGCAAAAATAGGCTTGTCTAATAAAAATATAAGGAAAAAGAATTCATCTCCCAATCTCAGTGGTAGGCCATTATTAATGGTTTGCTGTGTATCCTTGCAAACATTTTTCTAGAACTTCTGTTTTTAAGTTGTTGGTGTTTAGCACAAGTTGAATTATGCTCTTCACCATGTCCTACAAATTGATTTTTATCATTTAATCATGAGCCATGTATATTTTTACACTTTAGCATATTTAAACATACCTCATTCCCTTTTAGTAACAACACAGTATTCCTTTTATGTATGTACCATAATTTACTTAAGCATTTCTTATTGATTACTTTTAGGTTGTTTCAGGTTTTTTCGGTTATAATCAATAATGCAATGGATATCCCTGTAAATATATCTTTATCTACTTGTTTAGTATTTCTAAAGGATAGACTCATAGAATTGTAGGCATGCATAATTTAAATTTTGGTAGATAATGTCAAATTATCCTTCATGGTAGAAACTGCTAATCTTCCCTGGTGTGTGTTTCTCCTCTCCTTTTAGACACATACAAGAATTATACATCCTTGTCCCCATTGCAAGTGGCTGAGTCTATGTGACTATTTCCAGCCAATGGGTTTGGGAGTACAACATCTGTCATTTCTGAGATGAAGCATTTAATTTCAATGAAAGATGCTCTTCTGTTGCAGCAGTGGACTTCAATACACTCTGTTGAGATACCGGCATAATAAGAAAACATGGAATGAGGACATGGAGCAGAGTCCCCTGGTGATTTATGTTGTACATGTAGCATTAATAATACACTTCCATTTCACTGAGCCATTGACATTTGGAGCTTGGTTTTTACGATAATGTAACCTAGACATCTGATTGACATGCCCTTTAAATCATTTGCACCAACTAACATTCAAACTAACAGTGATTATTCTGTTTTTATCAACTTACTATTTCTAGCAGTTTTGCTTGATGAATTTCAGAGCTCTGCTGTACAGTACATAATTCATGAGTGATGTAGCTCCTTGGTGGATAGTATCTTATATCAATAAGAAATAACATTTTTACACTATTTAATATTTTTCCCTGAAGTTTATTTTGTATTCCATAAATATTACCTTCTGATTGAATTTGTCTATTATATCTTTGAGTATTCTTTTTTATTCCTGCCTTTATCATTTTGTTCTTTGTGATGTATCTCTTTACAAGCAAAGCATAGCTGGCTTTTGACCTTTTACTCACTTTTGTGTAAGAATATTAGTAGAAGTTTAGGGAATACCTATTTCCCAGTCAACTGCTCTATTCAAAAAAACTCACTTTAGAGACCTGGAAAAAATAACAATATATAATTTTGGGTATAGCTCTATATTGAGCCCACATGAGGGTATGTGTAAACATCACTTTAATATTTCTTCTTAGCAATTGGTGAGGATTTTTGACCAAAAAAGTCAAGACGTTCTTTAAATTAAGAAAAAAATCCTTTTTTGTTAAAGATCTATTTGAGCAAATACTAATCATGGTTTAACAGACATAATTAATCACTGTACTTATTTAGGACAGCTTCCATCATTTAAAGAAGTGCATGGCTCAGTAGATTAGATTTGGCTTCAAGAGCACCATACACAGTGTTTCAGACACAATATTCCTGGCAGAGAAGGCAGTTTGCTTTATGTCTTATCCACTCTTGGGTAGGTCAGATAAGTTTTTCTAGGTTTGTTCAATTCCCCTTATATACAAAGTCATTTTCTGAGAATGGAAGGTACAGAATCTGTTTTTCTTCTTCATTTTATAGTAAAGTCTGATGACAGCAGTTATGTATAGTTCTCACTAACAAGCTTTCATCATTTGTTTGCTTAACCTAGAATCTTTATCTGATTACTTTTATGTGAAGTATCATTTCACCACCACAACAACCCTCCCCAATCTCTGGCATTTGCTTTCTTCTCATCTGATTTATTTTTTCATGTCACACCTCAAAGATATATTTGCAAATATACCTGTTTACATATTTGTCATCTGTCTCCATCATTTGACAGCTCCCTGAGGACAAAACCTTGGCATTAAAACACAGACTAGAATATCATTGGTCCACAGTACATAATTGTTGAATGACTGCCAATCAAAGGGGCTCTAATATTAGGCTGCCAGATCAGTGGTTTCTCTGTCTCAAGATAACTAACCATAGCTCACACTCACTAATGCTGTCAGGACCTGTTCAGATTGCAGTCACCCACCTTTCTTCAAGGCAAAGCCATTGCTCTCCACTCCTGGCTCTTATATTTTAATACGTTGCCTGGGAAGAGATAGGGCATCTAGTGTGGCAGTTAGTTTCCCAAAGTGAAGCCCTCCTCATTCTGAAATTTCATAGGAGCAAGCTAAGAGTTGATTTTAGTCTGTGCATCCTGTATAACAGCAGAGTAAATGCTCTTAGAATGATTAACCTAGACCAAGATTACCAGACATATGAAAAAAGGCAAGGTATACTAGAAAAAAATCAAAATAAATAAAGAAAAAAGGAGAAGAAAGATAACTTAAAAATTCTAAATTAATATTCTCACAGAGATTAATGTATTTATGAAATAAAAAGTATGTTATGAAAACCTAATCAAATAATGAGAAAGAGATTATAGAAATTAAAATAGGATTTCAAAAATATTCTTGACTTTCTTTTTTTTAATTTTATTATTATTATACTTTAAAAACCTGAAGCATGAAGTTAAGAATATCTCCTAAAAAATACATTCAAATGGCAGAAATATATAATAAGAGAAAATGAGACAATTCAGGAATTCCAGAATTTGACTAATGGATGTTCAAGAGAGAACAGAAGAAGGGGGAAATTATAAAGTAAGCTTACAAAAAATATCCATGAGTAAAAAAATCTAATTTTTAAATTAAAGGGATCCAATAGAAATAAATTAAAAGACTCATTTCAAGTTTACAAAATTCTAGAATACCAAAAACAAAGAGAAAAACTGAAACATTTCCAGAAAAAAGCCACCTACAAAGTAAAAAAATGACATTTACATCAGAAGTTCCATCAATAACACTGGAAGATAATGCATCAGTACCTTGATTTTGAACTTAGACATATCTACCCAACTAAATTAGCAATCAAATGTAAAGGCAAAAGAAAGATATTTTTATATATGCAGGAACTAAAAAAATTTGTGTCCTAAGCATTTCTTCTAAGGAAAGAACTTAAGGTTTTAGTACAGTGAAATGAGGTGTGAACCAAGAAAAGGAAAGGTATGTGAATTTACTTGTGGAATTTACTCTGTGGGGCAATGTAAATAAATCCCAGGATGACAGCTGTTCAGCAGGCCTAGAAAGTAATCACTACAAATTAGAACAGGAAGGCAGTAAGCTCCAAGAAGAATGTCTCCAAAAAGGAAATTTGACTGGATTCCCATCAATCAATAGAATGAGTAAGAAAGCCAGAAAATTTTATTGATGTGGTGAAAAGGGCATATGTTGCTTCTCTCAACAACAAAAACAGAGAAGCTAGAAACTACAGAAAAGGTTCTTTGTTTAAAAAAATTTTTTTACAAGAGTGTTAAGGTCTAAATACTAAGCAAACTAAAATGTGGCATGATTTTGAGCTATTAATGGAGTATACGAAAAGAGAATCCATTTGACCTTGAAACTGAGAAAATTATCTTTTGAATTGTAACACTGGACCCATGGAGAAATAAAGATAATCCTATGGCACTTCCAGTCTCTGCAGTGAACAATATTTACATAGTTATAATAATGTCATCTGAAATAAAGATGGTTGCCAGTAGTGAGAGGAAATGGGCACGGCAGCGATTGCTTTACATCGTTAAGTCCTGCTGTATTATTTGACTTAAAAATTTGATGTATGTATTACCTTGATTAAAAAATAAAAACAAATAAATGCCAAGGTCTGTGTTGTTTGATTTTGATTGGAATTATATTAGCCCATTGTGATAATACTCTTCATTCTAAACAACCTATGAGTCCTCCCTTATGTTTATACCCCTTTGGGCTTTGATTTCCAGGGTATCTGAACTATGAGCAGATTCTCAAACATGCTGGCCTATATTCTGTTACGCCCTCTGGAAATGTTCTATTTATCTCTCAAGGCCCAACTCTTCTTATTTAAGCCTTCTTGGGGTACCCTGCTGGGAACCCCTGAGACTGTATTCTCCACTCCCCCAGTCACTAATAAACCTCCAGTCCTTCCTGCCCTCATTGTCCCAGGTATAGCCTTCCATTACAGGACTTAATCTGAAAAAGGAGACAGATATGAGAAGCAATAGAAAAGGACATTAACCTCCAGAATAATGGAGTAGACATATTTTTTACTTGTTTCATTAAGTACCACTAAAAAGCCTGGACATGATTTATAAAAGAAACATAAGTAGACTCTAAAAGGTTGAGAAAAAGGAGGATCAGTTGGGGACTTCGGGACCCAAGAAAGAACATGTCAGTGAGTTCCTTGGGTTTTGTTTTCTGTTTTCTTGTTCCTTCAGTTTTTTTGTTTGTTTGTTTGTTGCCTCACATATCCCAGACTTGGTGTGGGAGAAACTGGCAACCTGAAAACACCAATAAGTATAGACCAAAAAAAAAAAGTCTAAATGGAAGCCTGTTCTCTCCAGCCAAAGGACCAGGAAAAGGGCATCCTAGCAAAATAGAAAACTCTTGATCGTGTACTTTATTCCAGCTAAATATCAGAAGGAAAAAAGTGTGGCTCCTCTCTCACTTTAGCAAAGGTGTAATGAGGATCGTAGACTTCCTCCTTCACCAGGCTCTAATGAAGCACCCAAACTGGCAAACTGTCCCCTTTTCCAGAATAATTATGTTGGAAGCCTAAACTTTATCCCCATTGGTGTTAAAGACTCCCTCCCAGTGGGGAGCTTGGACTTTCATCACTTTCCAAGGATAACAAGTCTTCTTGCAATTGAGGTCGTCAGAGGTCAATTGGAAAACAGAAATGAGGCACCCTTTTGCTTCCCACCAGGGTAGCATCAACAAAGGCCTAATAGAGAACCTGGACCTCCACTCCACCTAGCAGTAACAAAGCTATGCTCCATTTCCCCATACCAGGAAGGTGTCAGAGGATGTCTGCTAAAAATAGAAAAAGGAGAGCAAAATAAACCCAAATGAAGCTGAAGGAAAGAAATAATAAGGATAAGAGCAAGAATTAATGAAATCTAAAAGAAGAGGGAAAATCAATGAAAAGTTGGTTCTTGGAATAGATCTATAAAATTCAGAAACATCAAACAAGACTGACAAAAATAGAGAAGGCACAAATTAACAATATCTGGAATGAAACAAGATGTATCACTAGAGAACTTGCATCAAAAGGTAACAAAAAATAGCATGAACAACTCTGCCCACAAATTTGATAACTTACAAGAAAAGATCTAATTCCTTAGAAAGGATGAAGTACCACATGAAATTCAATATGAAATAGATTACTTGAATTGCCCTATAAGTATTAAAGTAATTGAATTCATAAGAATTTTAAAGCTCTAGAAAATTAGTCTTCAGGTTCAGAAGCTTTATGGGAGAATTCTATCAAATATTTAAGGAAGAATTGCATTAATTCTATGAAACTTTGTAGTTTTTGTCAGTTATTATCCTGATACCAAAGCATAGACAGTACATAAAAAGATCAATATCCCTCAAGAATGTAGATGCCAAAATCCCTAGCAGATTTCTACTATATTTTATCAAATTATATATATATATATATATGAAAAATTATGTATCATGATCAAGTGGGTTTAATCCAGGAATGAAAGACTGGTTCAACATTTAAAATCAGTCAATGTATTCTCCCAAATTAATAGGATAAGAAAAAACCCCACAATCATATCAAATGATGCAGAAAAAGTTATTTAGCAACATTTGACTCTCACTTCATGGTAAACATTCTCAGAAAGTTAGAAATAGAAGAAAATTTCTCAACTTGGTCAAGAGTATATACAAAAATTCTACAGTTAACTTTGTACTTAGTGGTGAAAGCTTGAATATTTTCCCCCTAAGGTAAGGAGTAAGGTAAGAACTCTCACTACTCTTATTCAACGTAGTGCTGGAAGTCCAAGCCACTTCAATAAGGAAAGAAAGAAGCATGCAGAAAGATTGAGAAGCAAGAAATAGTTCTGTTCCAATTTGGAGTAAACATGATTCTTTACATAGAAAATTCAAGCAATTTCCAAAAAATTACAATTCATAAGTGAGTTCAGCAAAATCATAGGATAAAAGATCAACATTAAAAACTCAACTCTATTCCTATATACTAGCAATAAACATGTGAGAATTGTAATTAAAAATTCAATAGCATTTACAATCACTTAGAAAAAATATATACTTAGGTATACTTTGAATAAAATAATGAATTTGAATACTGCAAATGATGAAGGGCTGATGAAAGAAAAATAAATCAAAGACCTAGATAAATGGAGAGACATACTATATTTATGAGTTGGAAGAATCAACATGGTAAAGATGTCAATTTTGTTTCAAATTGATATATAGGTTTAAGGCAAACCCTATCAAAATCCTAGGGATATTTCTTGTGGACATAGACAAGGTTATTTTAAGATTTATATAGTGTTATGGGCTGAATAGTGTCCCTCTTTTCAAAAAAGATATGTTGCAGTCCTAACTCTTTCCACCTCAGAATATAACCTTATTTAGAGATAGAATCTTTTCTTTTTACTTTCTTTCTTTCTTTCTTTTTTTTTTTTTTTTCTGAGATGGAGTATTTCTCTGTCCCCCAGGCTGGAGTGCAGCGGCATGATCTTGGCTCACTGCAACCTCCACCTCCCAGGTTCATGCGATTCTTCTGCCTCAGCGTCCCGAGTAGCTGGGATTACAGGTGCATGCTACTGCACCTGGCTAATTTTTGTATTTTTTATATACACGGAGTTTCACCATATTGGCCAGGCTGGTCTTAAACTCCTGAACTCAGGTGGTCTGCCCATCTCAGCCTCCCAAAGTGCTGGAATTACAGGCCTGGCTTAGAGATCGAATCTTTACTGATGTAATCAAGTTAAAATGAAATGATTAGGGTGGAAACTATGACTGGTGTCCTTATAAAAATGGGAAATTTGGACACAAAGATAGAATGTTATCTATAAGCCAAGTGTATTAGTCAAGCCAATTATTGCATTGTTATAAAGACCTACCTGAAACTGGGTAATTTATAAAGAAATGAGGTTCAATTGGCTTATGGTTCCATAGCCTGTACATGAAGCATGGCTGGGGAGGCCTCGTGAGACTTACACTCATGGCAGAAGGCAAAGGGAAAGCTGGGAAATCTTACTTGGCAGAAGCAGGAGGAAGAGAGCAAAGGAGGAGATGTTACACACTTTTAAACAAACAGATCTCGTGATAACTCACTAGCTATCATGAGAACAGAAAGGGGGAGGTCTGCCCTCATGATCCAATCACCTTCCACCAGGACTCTCCTCCAACTTTGGGGATTACAATTCAACATGGGATTTGGGCAGGGACACAAATCCAAACTATATCACCAAGGAATGCCTGAGGCTACCAGAAGCTAGGAGACAGGCATGAAAAAAAGTCTCCCACATAGCCCTCAGAAACAGTCAACTTGGATGACATCTTGATTTCAAATTTCAAGCCTCCAGAACTGTGAGACAATAAATTTCTGCTGTTTAAGCCACCCAGTTTGTGGTAGTTTGTTATGGCATCCTCAAGAAACTAACACTAATGGAAAAACATATGTATTTGAATATTAGCGTATGTATTTAAATCAGCTAAAATAATTTTGAAAAAGAAGAATAAAGTGGGAAGAATCACTCTATGCAAGTTCAAGAGATTATATAGCTCCAGTAATCAAGACTGTGTGGTATTGGTGAATGGTTAAAGACATAGATCAGTGTAACAGACTAAATAACTTAGAAATAGACCCACACACATATCACCAACTGATTTGTGACAAAGACAGCTAGATAGTCTAATTCAGGAAGAATAGTCTTTTTTAACAAATTGTGTTAGAGCAATTGGACATTCATAGGCAAAAAAACCCAAAACCTTGACTTTAACCTCACACTCATACAAAAATTAACCAAAAATGGACAATAAACTTAAATATAAAATATAAACCTAGAAAACATTCAGGAAAAAACATGGAGAAAATCTTCAAGGCCTAGGACATGGTGAAGATTTCTTAGAGATAACATCCAAAGTACAGTCCATACAAGGAACAATCGATAAATTGGACTTAATCAAAATTAAAACCTTTTGCTCTGTGAAACATCCTGTTGAGTGAATGAAAATATTACAGACTAGAAGGAAATATTTGCAAAACACTTAGGCAAAAAAAAAAACCTACTATTTTAAAACCCTTAAAATTCAAGAGTAAGTAGACAATCACAAATGAGCATAATTGTCTCTCCAAATAAACAGGGCAAAAGACTTGAAGAGACATTTCATTGAATATGATATAATGGTAGCAAAGAAATGCATGAAAAATTGTTCAACATCACTAGCTGTTAGGAAATGCCAATTAAGACCATGATGAGATAGCACTACACAACTATGAGAAGAGCTAAAATTTTAAAAAATATTGATAATATCAAATGTTGGCAGAGATGCAGAGAAACTGAATCTTATATGTTGATGATGAAATGTGAAATGAAAGAGCCACTTGGGAAAATGAATTTGTAGTTTCTTTAAATACTAACCATAGGGCCGGGCATGGTGGCTCACGCCTGTAATCCCAGCACTTTGGGAGGCTGAGGCGGGTGGATCATGAGGTCGGGAGATTGAGACCATCCTGGCTAACACAGTGAAACCCCATCTCTACTAAAAATAGAAAAATTAGCCGGGTGTGGTGGCAGGCGCCTGTAGTCCCAGCTACTTGGGAGGCTGAGGCAGGAGAATGGCGTGAACTCAGGAGGCGGAGCTTGCAGTGAGCCGAGATCATGCCACTGCACTCCAGCCTGGGCGACAGAGTGAGACTCCATCTTAAAAAACAAAAAAATACTAACCATACACTTACCATATTTACCATATTGTACTCCTGGGTATTTACCCCAGATAAATAAAAACTTACATTTACACAAATACCCACACATAATCATGTATTGCAGCTTTATTTATAATAGCCAAGGGAAACAACCAAAATGTCCTCAATAGGTGAATAGTTAAATAAACTGTGGTACACATGTATCATGGAATATTACTCATTAATAAAAAGGAACAAACTGCTGATGCAAGTAACAACTTAGATCAATCTCAAACTATAATGCTGAGTGAAAAAAATACAATCTCAAAAGGTCACATATTGTATGATTCTATTTATATCACATTCTGAAAATGACAGAATTATAAAGACAGCAGACAGATTAGTGTTTGTCAGGGACTGGGGATGGTGGTGGTGTTGGGATTGTGGGACCATAACAAGGTAGCATGAGGGAGACCTTTTTCGATGGTGGAATAGTTCTATATCTTAATTGTGATGGTGGTTACACAAGTCTACACATGTGGTAAAATGATGTAGAATGAAATACACACCTTGTACTAATGTTGAGTTACTGGTTTTGACATTGTACTACAGTTATTTAAGATGTGACCTTGGGGAGACATTTGGCAAAGGGGTAATGGACTTCTCTGTACTAATTTTGCCACTTCCTGTGAATCCACAATTACTTTCAAATAAAACATTTTAAAAAGCAGTAGGTTATCTCTCTCTCTTTTTCCAGGACCTAACATAGTGTCTGGTGCCTAATGGGTACTTGATAACGTTTGTTAAAATAATTAAGAAACTGTAAATTTTGTATATCCTTCTTCATTAAGATATAAAAAATGAATGATTAATAAATGCAGTTTGGCAGAGAAAAATCTTTCAACATATAGAAAACATGGGAACATATGGAAAGTAATAAAAGAGGTATTTGTTGCAGGAAGTTTAGGGAACCACTTTACCCCTCATCCTCACCACTATACATACACACACACACAAACACACACACACAGTCACACACATCCTGCCACCTCCAAATTAGGGGAGGATATTGGAGAAAGTTGCAGAAAAAAAGCAATTGAATAAAGCATATGCAGCTAGACAGAGCATGATGTCAAAGTAGCGTGGTAACAGGCAGTAGACAACTATCCTGGTAGGCAAGGGAACTTAAGGAATACGTTAACTGGAAGAACAAAACAAATCTTGCCACAGAAAAATGTGGATATGAAGTAATGTGTCAGTCATAAAAATACAAGACAAGACTCTCCCCAGTATTGAGATCAGGGCAAAAAATAATGGGTCCTGGTCATAAGAAGCAAGAGCAAGTAGAAAGACAAGTTACTGAACTGGGGTCCAATACCACAGTGTGTCTAACAGCAAAGCTTGTGGCTTTAGGAATCATTTCACCTTTCAAACCTCATCTGCAAATGGAAGAAAATCAAGGTATAAAAATAACAACTTTGGATGAGAAGGAACATGGAGAGGAGATGGCTAATGTGTATCTCCCACGTGGATGGACAAAACAGTGTGTGGAGACTCATGCCATAGGCTTTTGCTCCAAGAACCACCAGAGTAACATACCAGAAAAAAAAAAAAAAGAATTCACAGACTCTTTGAAAGAAGTGGCAGACCACTGCAAATTCTGTTTGACCAGATGAAAAACTATGAATGCCCAAAGTGTGAAGGGGGGGAAACCTGCCTCCAAACAGACATACTCACTTGGCAACCTGAAAATCCAAATTACAGAAAAAGAATTTAACCTTAACTAGAGCTGAAATTAATTCTGTGCAATATAAAAGTAGAACCAACAGTGGGAAGAGCCTTGTAGGCACTCCCATTCTCCAACTCGAGCCCAGGGAAGACATCCTTGACTAAATCTCACAGGATCTCTCAGGAAATCCAGCCGGCTGAATTTGGGAGGGGTCACAGGGTACAAGAAGCTTCCAAATGAACTTTGTCATAATTTCAAATGGGCACAAACACTCTTCAGCAGAATCCGGGGGGCAAACGGGAACTGCTACAGAAAGGAGCACAGGAGCCAAGGCTGACTGTGTGGGCAGATGGGGAGGGGTGAGACCTGAAAGCCCTGCTTGCTTTCTCAGTGGGGAAGCTTAGAGCCTAGGATAAGGTCTGACGCCCACGCACAGGGTAACTGGAGGTAAATTTGGCAGTTAGAAAGACAGTGGGAATGAGACCGGCCTTGCCAACTGCATGGGAGCTGGTGAGGCTTATTGCTCCTGGCTTTCCCCCACTTCCCTGGTGACGGAGGCAGCCATAATCCTCTCTGGAACATACACCTGCATTGGCTTGAGAACCACCACCCATCCCCCACAGTGGTCATGGCAAGCCCCGCCCAAGGATAGCTCAGAGCCACCTAACCCTGCCTTTACCTGATGATGTTTCTCTACCTGTCCCAGTAGCTGATCACAGAAGATTTAAACTCTTGGGAGCTTTATGACCCTGCCCATCGTCTGGGAAACCCGTGTTTATCCTGGCCAAATTAGAGCAAGCTTATATCTTCCCTCTACTATTGCAGCTGGTGCTCTCTTGAAAGTGCCACCTCCTGGCTAGAGGCCAATGAACTCAGGACATTACAGCAACTCATGATAGAATAACACCACTCCAAGAAAACAACAGCTCATTCCACTGCCTGCAACATCCTGGGTAACCAGAGGTTCTGAGTCTGTCCACCTGACAAGTTTACTGCTAGCATAACCAGCATTTGAGAAAGCCAGCACACTAAATATATCACAACCAAGGGCTCTCACAGAGTCTACTTTACTCCCCTGCCACCTCCACCAGAGCAGGTGATGGTATCCAAGGCTGGGAAATCTGAAGATTGATCACATCACAGGACTCCTTGCAGACATTCCCCAGCACCAGCCCAGAACCCAGTAACCCCACTGGGTGGCTAAAAGCAGAACAACTATAATAATTGGTGCAGTCCAGCGCCATCCTTAGGGGAAGGGGGAGAGCACTACATCAAGAGATCACCCTGTGGGACAAAAGAGCAGCCCTCCAGTTCCAGATTTTCCACTGAAATACTCTATCCAAATGAGAAAAATATCAGAAAAATAATTATGCTAATATGATAAAACAAGTTTCCATAACACCCCCCAAAGACCACACTAGCTCTCCAGGAATATATCCAAACCAAGAAGAAATCTCTGAATTGTCAAATAAAGAATTCAAAAGGTTGATTATTAAGCTGCTCAAGAAGATATCAGAGAAAGGTGAAAACCAACTTAAATAAATTGAAAAAACAATACAGAATATGGATGAAAAATTCTCCAGAGAAATAGATATTATAAAGAAAAAACAATCATAACTGTAAATAAAAGACACTGGCAAGTGTCAACAATAGACTAGAACGATAGAAGAAAGAACTTAAGAGCTCAAAGACAAGGCTTTCCAATTAAGCCAATCAGATAAAGACAAAGAAAAAAAAAAGAACAAAGCCTCCAAGAAATTTTGGATTATGTTAAGTAGCCAAACCTAAGAATAATTGGTGTCCCTGAGAAAGAAGAGAAATCTAAAAGTTTGAAAAACTCAAATGAGGAAAAAATCAAGTAAAACTTCCCCAGCCTTGCTAGAGATCTATACATCCAAATACAAGATGCTCAAAGAACACCTGAGAAATTCATTGCAAAAGGATCATCACCTTGGTACATAGTCATCAGGTTATCCAAAGTCAAAACAAAGGAAAGAATTCTAAAAGCTGTGAGGCAAAATCATCAGGTAACCTATGAAGGAAAACCTATCAGATTAACTGCAGATTTCTCAGCAGAAATCCTACAAGGCAGAAGGAATTAGGGTCTTCTCTTTAGCCTCCTGAAACAAAATAATTGTCAGCCAATAATTTTGTATCCAGCAAAACTAATATTCATGAATGAAGGAGAAATTAAAGCCTTTTTCAGACAAACAAATTCTAAGAGAATTCACCACTACCAAGGCAGCACTACAAGAAATGCTAAAAGGAGTTCTAAATTTTGAAACAAAACCCCAAAATACACCAAAATAGAACCCTTCTTAAACATAAATCTTACTGTGCCTCTAAAACAATAACACAAAGAAAAAAGGGTATTCAGGCAAGAACTAGAATGATGAATAAAATAGTACTTCAGATTTCAATACCAACATTAGATGTACATGGCCTAAACGCTTCACTTAAAAGAAACAGAATGGCAGAATGGATAAAAATCTCCAAACAAGTATCTGCCATCTTTCAAGAGATTCAACTAATATGCAAGAACTCACAGAAACTTAAGGTAAAGGGGTGGAAAAAGATACTCCATGAAAATGGACATGAAAAAGCAGGAATAGCTATTCTTATAGCAGACAAGAGACATTAAAACAACAACTGTTAAAAAAGACAAAGAGGGACATTATATAATGATAAAAGAATTAGTCCAACAAAAAAAATTAAAATCTTAATTATATATGCACCTAACACGGGAGCTCTCAAGTTTATATAAAAAGTATTACTAGGCCTGAAAAATGAGAAAGATAGCCACACAATAATAGCGAGGGATTTCAATACTCCACTGACAGCACTAGACAGGTTGATAAGACAGAAAGTCAACAAAGAAGCAATGGATTCAAACTATACCTGAGAAAATATAGACTTAGAACATTCTACCCAACAACTGCAGAACATTCTACCCAACAAATGCAGAATACACATTCTCTTCATCAGCACATGGAACATTCTTCAAGATAGACCATGTGATAGGCCACAAAACAAGTCTCAATAAACTTAAGAAAATCAAAATTTTATCAAGCACCCTCTCAGACCACAGTGGAATAAAACTGGAAGTTGACTCCAAAAGGAACCTCAAAAGTATACAAATACATAGAAATTAAATAATCTACTCATGAATAATTTTTGGGTCAACAATGAAATCAAGATGGGAATTAAAAATTCTTTTAACTGAATGATAATAGTGACATAACCTATCAAAACCTCTGAGATGGTGCAAAAGAGGTGCTAAAAAGGAAAGTTTATAGCAATGCCTACATAAAAAAATCTGAAAGAGTACAGAGAGACAATCTAAGGTCACAGCTAAAGGAACTAAAGAAACAAGAACAAAGAAAACCCAAACCCAGTGGGAAAAAATAATTAACAAAAATTAGAGCAGAACTAAATGAAATTGAAACAAAAAATATTAATACAGAAGATAAATGAAACAAAAAGCCAGCTCTTTAAAAATATAAACAAATTTGACAGACCATTAATGATATCAACCAACAAAAGAGAAGATCCTAATAAGCTGAATAAGAAATGAAACAGGAAATATTACAACTGATACCACAGAAATACAAAAGATCATTCAAGGCTACTATGAACACTTTTATGCAAACAAACTGGAAAATCTAGAGAAGATGGATAAATTCCTGGAAATATTCAACCCTTCTAGATTAAATCAGGAAGAAATAGAAACTCTAAACAGACCACTGGCAAGCAGAGAGATTAAAAAGGTAATTTAAAAATTGCCTACAAAAAAATTCCAGGACCAGATGGGTTCACAGCTGAATTCTATCAGGTATTCAAAGAAGAATTGATACCAATCTTATGGAAACTATTCCAAAACATACAAAAAGAGGGTCATCTCCTTAAGTCATCTAGGAAGCCAGTATCATTCTAATACTAAAATCAGGAAAGGACATAACAAATAAAGAAAACTACAGCCCAATATCCTTGATTAACATAGATGCAAAAATCCTCAACAAAATACTGGCTACCTGAATCCAAAAGGCATATCAAAAAGATAATCCACCATAATCAAGTAGGTTTAATACCAGGGATGCAGGGATGGTTTAACATATACAAGTCAATAAATGTAATACATCAAATAAAATTAAAAACAAAAATCATATGATTATTTCAATAGATGCAGAAAAAGCGTTTGATCAAATCAAGCATCGTTTTATGATTAAAACCCTCAGCAAAATCAGCATACAAGGGACATGCCTGAAGGCAAGAAAAGCCAACTATAACAAACCCACAGCCAACATTACACTGAACAGAAAAAAGTTGAAAGCATTCTCCCTGACAACTAAAACAACACAAGGATGCCTACTTTCACCACTGCTATTAAATATTGAACTAGAAGTCCTAGCCAGAGCAATCAGACAAGAGAAAATAAAAATAAAGGGCATCCAAATAAGCAAAGAGGAACTCAAACTCTTGGTGTGGACCACTAACATAATTGTATATCTCGAAAACCCTAAAGAGTCATCCATAAAGCTTCTAGATCTGATAAATGAATTCAGTAAAGTTTCAGAATACAAAATCAATGTACACAAATCAATAACACTGCTATACACCAACAACAATGAAACTGAGAATCAAATCAAGAACCCAACCCCTTTTCACAACAGCTGAAAAAATAAAGTAAAATACTTAGGAATATAACTAACCAAGGAGGTGAAAGATCCCTACAAGAAAAACTACAAAACAGTGCTGAAAGAAACCATAGGCAACAGAAACAATTGGAAACACATACCATGCTCATGGATGGATAGAATCAATATTATAAAAATGATCCTACAGCCAAATGCAATCGACAAATTCCATGAAATTCCCATCAAAATACCATCATCGTTATTCACAGAGCTAGAAAAAACAATTCTAAAATTCATATGGAACCATAACAGACTCTGCATAGCCAAAGCAAGAACAAACAAACAAAAAACAAATCTGGAGGCATTGCATTACCTGACTTCAAACTATACTACATGGCTATAGTTACTAAAACAACATAGTATTGGTTAAAAAAAAAGGCATATAAACCAATGGAACAGAATAGAGAACCCAGAAATAAAGCCAAGTATTTGCAACCAACTGATTTTTGACAAAGTAAATGAAAATATAATGTGAGGAAAGGACACCCTATTCAACAAATGGAGCTGGATAATAAGCAAGCCACATGTAGAAGAATGAAGCTGAATCCTCATCTCTTTCCTAATACAAAAATCAACTCAAGATGGATCAAAGACTTAAATCTAAGACCTGAAACCATAAAATTTCTTAGCAGATAACATCAAAATCTATCCTAGACATTGACTTAGGCAAATAATTCATGATCAAGAACCCGAAAGCAAATGCAACAAAAGCAAAGATAAACAGTTGTTGAAATTCTTTCTTTAAAGAATGACAAGGACCAAGGACTTCCAGTCTTCCTGGTAACAGGAGGTTGCCTTGAGTCTAGGAGTTTGAGGCTGCAGTGAGCTATAATCATGCCACTGCATTCCCGCATGGGAAACAGCAAGATCCCATGTGTAAAATACATACATACATACATACATACATACATACATACATACATACATACAAATTTTTAAAATAAAATGCAAACTACTCCCAAAACATTGGAAGGTGACTGTTTTCTCATGAATTGGTCCTGCACTGGAGAACCCTATTCCCTCAGCAGAATAAGAAAGAGAAGAGGCTTAAACAGTCAAACTTATTAGAGCCTGCACAGCTTCAAGGAAGAGGTGTAGACTCCAGCATCAGAGAAATGTAGGTTCAAATACTGTTCAGCGACTCATTATATTTACATAATTTCCTTTGTCTACCAGGTGGTGAGGTAGAAAAGGCACAGAATTTGTAGCTCTATTTCTAACCATTTTACTAGCTGTGCAATCTGGAACATTTGTTCTTCTGAGACTTAAAGTTCTCATCTGTAAAATTGGAAAAATGCCCTGATGCAGGAGTGCTGCAAGGATTGAGTAAAATAAGGAATGTTCAGTACCTAGTATTATGACGAGTCTGCAGCAGGCATTCAATAAATGACAGCTATATTTATATCCTTGAGATCTAAATTTGTGCATCGTAACAACCCCTTTATATTCTGAGTGCTCATTAAAGCTGAGAAGAAAATATTTGTATGATTGGTAGCAATCATACATGCAACTGCATCCTGTTAAGTTGTAGCTCTTTTCCAATGTTTAGAGCAATGATCTCCACTGTAGGGTGTGTGCACCCCAGTGGAGGGGGCTTATTTCATCTTTTTATAATTTTTTGTGAATATTTTATAATGTACAATATGTATTTTACTATAGTACATGTACATACATAATTTACACATAAATGAACATACATTAAAGATATATACTGCTTATCACTCTCTCCCTCACTCATTCAGCTGCAGCCACACAGATCTTTTGAGTATAATAAACACATTTCTGTCTGAGGGCTGTTGCACTGTTTCTTGTTCCCCATGTCCTTTTTTGCACAAATTCTTACCCTACACTCTTCTTTTCTATTTTTAAGAGATGAAAAAAAAGATGGTCATTTTAGTTTTCATTATAGCATGCTTTGATCCTGTTCTGGATTCCCCCTCCACCTACACACTGGTCCAGAGTGTTAGACTTTCCCTAGGTTAGGGGTATCATAGAAAAGAAAAGAAAAGAAAAAAAAAGAAAAGAAAAGAAAAGAAAAGAAAAGAAAAGGAAAAGAAAAGAAAAAAGAAAAAGAAAAGAAAAGGAAAAAAAAGAAAAAAGAGAAGTGTTCAACCCAGAAAATAAATCAGCAAAAGCAGTTCCAGGAAAATGTTGAGCAAACTGAAGTATGGTTTTGACTTCTCAGAACAAAAGATTTACTGTATGCCATGCACAGGGCTGTTATTAGACCAGAAGGACCACAATGCCACCCTGTGGCATTCATAATTCTGATTTTTTTCATTTAACATAATCAGAAACAAATTTTTATAGAACAAATTCACCTAATATGCAGATTTTAAAAACAAAAATAATGTGATCTAAAATATTATTTGAGCCATTTATTATAACTTGTAAAATCAAGGCTAACTTCTCAGGCCCTAACACACTTTCTCTTGAATCATTCTTATTGACCAAATTAGAAGGATGATTCAAGGATTAAATTGCAGCTATTAGCCAGCCTGGCAATACACTTCCTGCTAGGAGGTGAAACAATGCTAAGCATCCTTTTTGATGTCCCTTTCTAAGCCGTGTTTAAGGCATGAGCACCTGGTCACTGAGTACTAAAGTTAATTATGATTATCCGAGGAGCTGAAGTTTTAAAAAGAGATTATAGCAATTATTTCTCTTTTGTCAATATGCCATCCGAGTTATGCTCTAAGTCTGTATGAAAAAGATAGAGTCATACTACTGGAGTGTGCTTATGAGAATTGTTGTATGGGCACCAAGGAAAATGCTGAAGCACCTTCAAAACTAGCTGCTCTTACTAACAAAGCAAAACAGGCTTTTCTATTGCTTGAAACAGTTGAACCTCCCTAATTTTATGACAGGAGGAAAAAGAAATTTGAACTAGTGACAAGTATAATATTTTAAATAAATGCAAGGGTAATTCTTTCAAGAAAACATAGCAACCAAACTGGATTAAAAAAAAACTGGCTTATACAGATATATTGGAACCTGGAAGATGAGTATTTATACCCAGTACATCAATTCTGTTTCTAGATGGGTGCTTCTGAAGGCTTGGAAAAACAGTGTGCTCTCCCTATTTTGTTAAATATTCACTCTTGCAGAATTGTTTATAGTGTATTTGCTTAGCAAACTTTTATCATATATAGTACAGAAGTTAAATCCATCCCAACCTTGTTCTAGATTATTCAATTTTTAATCAGAATGTCTAAATTCATGAGATTTGACAGTAACATAATTTCTTCAGATAGTTTTGAAATTGTTTTCATTTGCCTTTAGCCTCAAGAACAGAGGTAGTCAAGTTAAACACCCCATAGGTAGAAATATGCAAACAAAAGTTCATATGAGAGGCAAGTCTTCTCAATCAGCCTGTTAGGCAGGTGTCAGATATACTAATTTTAACAGAATGCAATAGTGCTTAGAACAGCTGCAACCACAGGAAAGATGGGGCAGTTGTGATGTGGAAATCAGTCTTTGTCACTCTAGTCTTAGGGCTGCTCTTCCAAGAGAGAGGAGAGGAAGGAGATATTCTGCAACTTGAAGAATCTTCTATCAGTGGAGCCAAGATGGCCGAATAGGAACAGCTACAGTCTGCAGCTGGCAGTGTGAGTGACAGAGAAGATGAATGATTTCTGCATTTCCAACTGAGGTACCAGTTCATCACACTGGGGATTGTCGGACAGTGGGTGTAGGACAAGAAAAGGGGTGACAGATGGCACGTGGAAAATTGGGTCACTCCCACCCTAATACTGCACTTTTCCAATGGCCTTAGCAAATGGCACACCAGGAGATTGTATCCCACACCTGGCTCAGAGGGTCCTATGCCCATGGAGCCTCCCTCATTGCTAGCACAGCAGTCTCAGATCAAACAGCAAGGCAGCAGCGAGGCTGGGAGAGGGGTGCCTGCCATTGCAGAGGATTGAGTAGGTAAACAAAGCGGCCGGGAAGCTTGAACTGGGTGGAGCCCACCACAGCTCAAGGAGGCCTGCCAGCCTCTGTAGACTCCACCTCTGGGGGCAGGGCATAGCCAAACAAAAGGCAGCAGAAACCACTGCAGACTTAAATGTCCCTTTCTGACAGCTTTGAAGGGAGTAGTGGTTCTCCCAGCATGCAGCTGGAGATCTGGGAACAGAGAGACTGCCTCCTTGAGTGGGTCCCTGACCCCGGAGTAGCCTAACTGGGAGACACCCCACAGTAGAGGCAGACTGATACCTCACACAGCTGGGTACTCCTCTGAGACAAAACTTCCAGAGGAATGATCAGGCAGCAACATTTGCTCTTCACCAATATCCGCTGTTCTGCAGCCTCTGCTGATGATACTGAGTCAAACAGGGTCTGGAGTGGACTTCCAGCAAACTGCAACAGACCTGCAGATGAGGGTCCTGACTGTTAGAAGGAAAACTAACAAACAGAAAGGACATCTGCACCAAAACCCCAACTGTATGTCACCATCATCAAAGACCAAATGTAGGTAAAACCACAAAGATGGGGAAAAAACAGAGTAGAAAAACTGAAAATTCTAAAAATCAGAGTGCCTCTCCTCCTCCAAAGGAAAGCAGCTCCTCACCAGCAATGGAACAAAGCTGGATGGAGAATGACTTTGAAGAATTGAGAGGAAAAGGCTTCAGATGATCATACTAATCTGAGCTAAAGGAGGAAGTTTGAACCCATGGCAAAGAAGTTAAAAACCTTGAAAAAAAGTTAGACGAATGGCTAACTAGAATAACAAATGCAGAGAAGTCCTTAAAGGACCTGATGGACTAGAAAACCATAGCACGAAAACTACATAACGAATGCACCAGCCTCAGTAGCTGATTTGATCAAGTGGAAGAAAGGGTTTCAGTGATGGAAAATCAAATGAATGAAATGAAGTGAGAAGTTTAGAGAAAAAAGAATAAAAAGAAATGAACAAGGCCTCCAAGAAATATGGGACTATGTGAAAAGACCAAATCTACGTCTGATTGGTGTACCTGAAAGTGACGGGGAGAAGGGAACCAAGTTGGAAAACACTCTGCAGGATATTATCCAGGAGAACTTCCCCAATCTAGCAAGGCAGGCCAATATTCAGATTCAGGAAATAGAGAGAATGCCACAGGGATACTCCACGAGAACAGCAACCCAAAGACACATAAATTGTCAAATTCACCAAAGTTGAAATGAAGGAAAAAGTGTTAAGGGCAGCCAGAGAGAAAGGTCGGGTTACCCACAAAGGGAAGCTCATCAGACTAACAGCTGATCTCTCAGCAGAAACTCTACAAGCCAGAAGAGAGTGGGGGCCAATATTCAACATTCTTAAAGAAAAGAATTTTCAACCCAGAATTTCATATCCAGCAAAACAAAGCTTCATAAGTGAAGGAGAAATAAAATCCTTTACAGAAAAGCAAATGCTGAGAGATTTTTTCACCACCAGGCCTGCCCTATAAGAGCTCCTGAAGGAAGACCTAGACATGGAAACGAACAACCAGTACCAGCCACTGCAAAAACATGCCAAATTGTAAAGACCATCGAGGCTAGGAAGAAACTGCTTCAACTAATGAGCAAAATAACAAGCTAACATCATAATGACAGGATCAAATTCACACATAACAATGTTAACCTTAAATGTAAATGGGCTAAATCCTCCAAGTAAAAAACACAGACTGGCAAATTAGGTAAAGAGTCAAAAGCCATCAGTGTGCTGTATTCAGGAAACCCATCTCACGTGCAGAGACACACATAGGCTCAAAATAAAGGGATGGAGGAAGATCTACCAAGAAAATGGAAAACAAAAAAAAGCATAGGTGGTAATACTAGTCTCTGATAAAACAGATTTTAAACCAACAAAGATCAAAAGAGACAAAGAAAGCCATTACATAATGGTAAAGGGATCAACTCAACAAGAAGAGCTAACTATCCTAAATACATATGCACCCAATACAGGAGCACCCAGATTCATAAAGCAAGTCCTTAGAGACCTACAAAGAGACTTAGACTCCCACACAATAATAATGGGAGACTTTAACAGCCCACTGTCAACATTAGACAGATCAACGAGACAGAAAGTTAACAAGGGTATCCAGGAAAGGAACCTAGCTCTGAATCAAGCAGACCTAATAGACATATACAGAACTCTCCACCCCAAATCAACGGAATATACATTCTTCTCAGCACCACACCACACCTATTCCAAAGTTGACCACATAGTTGGAAGTAAAGCACTCCTTAGCAAATGTAAAAGAACAGAAATTATAACAAAATCTCTCTCAGACCACAGTGCAATCAAACTAGAACTCAGGATTAAGAAACTCATTCAAAACCACTCAACTACATGGAAATTGAACACACTGCTTCTGAATGACTACTGGGTACATAACGAAATGAAGGCAGAAATAAAGATGTTCTTTGAAACTAATGAGAAAAAAGACATAACATACCAAAATCTCTGGGACACATTCAAAGAAGTGTGTAGAAGGAAATTTATAGCACTAAATGCCCACAAGAGAAAGAAGAAAAGACCTAAAATTGACACCCTAACATCACAATTAAAAGAACTAGAGAAGCAAGGGCAAACACATTCAAAAGCTAGCAGAAGGCAAGAAATAGCTAAGATCAGAGCAGAACTGAAGGAAATAGAGACACAAAAAACCCTTCAAAAAAACAATTAATCCAGGAGATTGTTTTTTGAAAAGATCTACAAAATCGGTCGACTGCTAGCAAGACTAATAAAGAAGAAAACAGAGAAGAAACAAATAGACGCAATAAAAAATGATAAAGGGGATATCATCAACGATCCCACAGAAATACAAACTACCATCAGAGAATACTATAAACACCTCTATGCAAATAAACTAGAAAATCTAAAAGAAATGGATAAATTCCTTTACACATACACCCTCCCAAGACTAAACCAGGAAGAAGTTGAATCTCTGAATAGACCAAAAGTAGCCTCTGAAATTGAGGCAATCATTAATAGCTTATGAACCAAAAAGTGTCCAGGATCAGATGGATTCACAGCCGAATTCTACCAGAGGTACAAGGAGGAACTGGTACCATTCCTTCTGAAACTATTCCAATCAATAGAAAAAGAGGGACCCCTCCCTAACTCATTTTATGAGGCCAGCATCATCCTGATACCAAAGCCTGACAGAGGCACAACAAAAAAAGAGAATTTTAGACCTATATCCTTGATGAACATTGATGCAAAAATCCTCAATAAAATACTGGCAAACCGAATCCAGCAGCACATCAAAAAGCTTATCCACCATGATCAAGTGGGCTTCATCCCTGGGATGCAAGGCTGGTTCAATATACACAAATCGATAAATGTAATCCAGCATATAAACAGAACCAAAGACAAAAAACACATGATTATCTCCATAGATGCAGAAAAGGCCTTTGACAAAATTCAACAACACTTCATGCTAAAAACTCTCAAGAAAATAGGTACTGATGGGATATATTTCAAAATAATAAGAGCTATTTATGAGAAACCTACAGCCAATATCATACTGAATGGGCAAAAACTGGAAGCATTCCCTTTGAAAACTGGCACAAGACAGGGATGCCCTCTCTCACCACTCCTATTCAACATAGTGTTGGAAGTTCTGGCCAGGGCAATCAGGCAGGAGAAGGAAATAAAAGGCATTCAATTAGGAAAAGAGGAAGTCAAATTGTCCCTGTTTGCAGACGACATGATTGTATATCTAGAAAACCCCATTGTCTCAGCCCAAAATCTCCTTAAGCTGATAAGCAACTTCAGCAAAGTCTCAGGATACAAAATCAATGTACAAAAATCACAAGCATTCTTATACACCAACAACAGACAAACAGAGAGCCAAATCATGAGTGAACTCCCATTCACAATTTCTTTAAAGAGAATAAAATACCTAGGAATCCAACTTACAAGGGATGTGAAGGACCTCTTCAAGGAGTACTACAAACCACTGCTCAAGGAAATAAAAGAGGATATACACAAATGGAAGAACATTCCATGCTCATGGGTAGGAAGAATCAATATTGTAAAAATGGCCATACTGCCCAAGGTAAATTTCAAATTCAATGCCATCCCCATCAAGCTACCAATGACTCTCTTCACAGAATTGGAAAAAACTACTTTAAAGTTCATATGGAACCAAAAAAGAGCCCACATCACCAAGTCAATCCCAAGCCAAAAGAAGAAAGCTGGAGGCATCATGCTACCTGACTTCAAACTATACTACAAGGCTACAGAAACCAAAACAGCATGGTACTGTTACCAAAACAGAGATATAGATCAATGGAACAGAACAGAGCCCTCAGAAACAACGCTGCATATCTACAACTATCTGATCTTTGACAACCCTGAGAAAAACAAGCAATGGGGACAGGATTCACTACTTAATAAATGGTGCTGGGAAAACTGGCTAGCCATATGTAGAAAGCTGAAACTGGATCCCTTCCTTACACTTTATACAAAAATTAATTTAAGATGGATTAAAGACTTACATGTTAGACCTAAAACCAGAAAAACCCTAGAAGAAAACCTAGGCATTACCATTCAGGACATAGGCATGGGCAAGGACTTCATGTCTAAAACACCAAAAGCAATGGCAACAAAAGCCAAAATTGACAAATGGGATCTAATTCAACTCAAGAGCTTCTGCACAGCAAAAGAAACTACCATGAGAGTGAACAGGCAACCTACAAAATGGGAGAAAATTTTCACAACCTGCTCATTTGACAAAGGGCTAATATCCAGAATCTACAATGAACTCCAACAAATTTACAAGAAAAAAACAAACAACCCCATCAAAAAGTGGGCGAAGGACATGAACAGAAACTTCCCAAAAGAAGAGGTTTATGCAACCAAAAACACATGAAAAAATGCTCACCATCACTGGCCATCAGAAAAATGCAAATCAAATCCACAATGAGATACCATCCCACACCAGTTAGAATGGCAATCATTTAAAAGTCAGGAAACAACAAGTGCTGGAGAGGATGTGGAGAAATAGGAACACTTTTACACTGTTGGTGGGACTGTACACTAGTTGAACCATTGTGGAAGTTAGTGTGGCGATTCCTCAGGGATCTAGAACTAGAAATACCATTTGACCCAGCCATCCCATTACTGGGTATATACCCAAAGGACCATAAATCATGCTACTATAAAGACACATGCAAATGTATGCTTATTGCGACATTATTCACAATAGCAAAGACTTGGAACCACCCCAAATGTCCAACAATGATAGACTGGATTAAGAAAATGTGGCAGATATACACCATGGAATACTATGCAGCCATAAAAAATGATGAGTTCATGTCCTTTGTAGGGACATGGATGAAATTGGAAATCATCATTCTCAGTAAAATATTACAAGAACAAAAAACCGAACACCACATATTCTCACTCATAGGTGGGAATTGAACAATGAGAACACATGGACACAGGAAGGGAAACATCACACTCTGGGGACTGTTGTAGCGTGGGGGGAGGGGGGAGGGAGAGCATTGGGAGATATACCTAATGCTAGATGACGAGTTAGTGGGTGCAGTGCACCAGCATGGCACATGTATACATATGTAACTAACCTGCACATTGTGAGCATGTACCCTAAAACTTAAAGTATAATAATAATAAAAAAATATGCAAATCAATAAATGTAATCCAGCATATAAACAGAACCAAAGACAAAAACCACATGATTATCTCAATAGATGCAGAAAAGGCCTTTAACAAAATTCAACAACCCTTCATGCTAAAAACTTTCAATAAATTAGGTGTTGATGGGACGTATCTCAAAATAATGACAGCTGTCTATGACAAACCCACAGCCAATATCATACTGAATGGGCAAAAACTGGAAGCATTCCCTTTGAAAACAGGCACAAGACAGGGATGCCCTCTCTCACCACTCCTATTCAACATAGGGCTGGAAGTTCTGGCCAGGGCAATTAGGGAGGAGAAGGAAATAAAGGGTATTCAATTAGGAAAAGAGGAAGTCAAATTGTCCCTCTTTGCAGAAGACATGATTGTATATCTACAAAACTCCATTGACTCAGCCCAAAATCTCCTTAAGCTGATAAGCAAATTCAGCAAAGTCTCAGGATACAAAATCAATGTACAAAAATCACAAGCATTCTTATACACCAATAACAGACAAACAGAGAGCCAAATCATGAGTGAACTCCTATTCACAATTTCTTCAAAGAGAATAAAATACCTAGGAATCCAACTTACAAGGGATGTGAAGGACCTCTTCAAGGAGAACTACAAACCACTGCTCAATGAAATACGAGGATACTAACAAATGGAGGAACATTCCATGCTCATGGGTAGGAAGAAACAATATTGTGAAAATGGCCATACTGCCCAAGGTAATTTATAGATTCAATGCCATCCCCATCAAGCTATCAATGACTTTCTTCACAGAATTGGAAAAAAACTACTTTAAAGTTCATGTGAAACCAAAAAAGAGCCCACATCGCCAAGTCAATCCTAAGCCAAAAGAACAAAGCTGGAGGCATCATGCTACCTGACTTCAAACTATACTACAAGGCTACAGTAACCAAAACAGCATGGTACTGGTAACAAAACAGAGATATACATCAATGGAACAGAACAGAGTCCTCAGAAATAATGCCGCATATCTACAACTATCTGATCTTTGACAAACCTGACAAAAACAAGAAATGGGGAAAGGATGCCTTATTTAATAAATGGTGCTGGGAAATCTGGCTAGCCATATGGAGAAAGCTGAAACTGGATCCCTTCCTTACACCTTATACAAAAATTAATTCAAGATGCATTAAAGACTTACATGTTAGACCTAAAACCATAAAAGCCCTAGAAGAAAACCTAGGCAATACCATTCAGGACATAGGCATGGGCAAGGACTTCATGTCTAAAACACCAAAAGCAATGGCAACAAAAGCAAAAATTGACAAATGGGATCTAATTAAACTAAAGAGCTTCTGCACAGCAAAAGAAACTACCATCAGAGTGAACAGGCAACCTAGAAAATGGCAGAAAATTTTCACAACCTATTCATCTGACAAAGGGCTAATATCCAGAATCTACAATGAACTCAAACAAATTTACAAGAAAAAAAACAAACAACCCCCTCAAAAAGTGGGTGAAGGATATGAACAGACACTTGTCAAAAGAGGACATTTATGCAGCCATAAAACACGTGAAAAAATGTTCATCACCACTGGCCATCAGAGAAATGCAAATTGAAACCACAGTGAGATACCATCTCACACCAGTTAGAGTGGTGATTATTAAAAAGTCAGGAAACAACAGGTGCTAGAGAGGATGTGGAGAAGCAGGAACACTTTTACTTTTTATTTTTTATTTTTTTTAAATTATTTTCAGTGATTCTTTTTTTTATTTTTTATTTTTTATTTTTTATTTTATTGTATTATTTTTATACTTTAAGTTCTAGGGTACATGTGCACAATGTGCAGGTTAGTTAAATATGTATACATGTGCCATGCTGGTGTACTGCACCCATTAACTCGTCATTTAGCATTAGGTGTATCTGCTAATGCTATCCCTCCCCCCTCCCCCAACCACACAACTGTCCCCAGAGTGTGATGTTTCCCTTGCTGTGTCCATGTGTTCTCATTGTTCAATTCACACCTATGAGGGAGAATCTGCAGTGTTTGTTCTTTTGTCCCTGTGATAGTTTACTGAGAATAATGATTACCAATTTCATCCATGTCCCTGCAAAGGACATGAGCTCATCATTTTTTATGGCTGCATAGTATTCCATGGTGTATATGTGCCACATTTTCTTAATCCAGTCTATCATTGTTGGACATTTGGGGTGGTTCCAAGTCTTTGCTATTGTGAATAGTGCCACAGTAAACATACGTGTGCATGTGTCTTTATAGCAGCATGATTTATAGTCCTTTGGGTATATACTCAGTAATGGGATGGCTGGGTCAAATGGTATTTCTAGTTCTAGATCCCAGAGGAATCGCCACACTGAATTGCACAATGGTTGAACTAGTTTCCAGTCCCACCAACAGTGTAAAAGTGTTCCTATTTCCCCACATCCTCTCCAGCACCTGTTGTTTCCTGACTTTTTAATGATTGCTATTCTAACTGCTGTGAGATCCTATCTCATTGTGGTTTTGATTTGCATTTTTCTGATGGCCAGTGATGGTGAGCATTTTTTCGTGTTTTTTGGCTGCATAAATGTTTTCTTTTGAGAAGTGTCAGCTTTCTGGAGCCAAGATGGCCGAATAGGAACAGCTGCAGTCTACAGCTCCCAGCGTGAGCGACGCAGAATATGGGTGATTTCTGTGTTTCCATCTGAGATACTGTGTTCATCTCAGTAGGGATTGCCAGACAGTGGTTGCACGACAGTGGGTGCAGCACACTGTGAGCGAGCCGAAGCAGGGTGAGGCATTGCCTCACTTGGGAAGTGCAAGGGGTCAGGGAGTTCCCTTTCCTAGTCAAAGAAAGGGGTGATAAATGGCACCTGGAAAATCGGGTCACTCCCACCCTAATACTGCACTTTTCTGACAGGTTTAAAAAACGGCACACCAGGAGATTATATCCCGCACCTGGCTCAGAGGGTCCTACACCCACGGATTCTCACTGATTGCTAGCACAGCAGTCTGTGATCAAACTGCAAGGCAGCAGCGAGGCACGGGGAGGGGCGCCCGCCATTGCCCAGGCTTGTTTAGGTAAACAAAACAGCAGGGAAGCTCGAACTGGGTGGAGAAGTGCCTGTTCATGTCCTTCGCCCACTTTTTCATGGGGTTGTTTGTTTTTTTCTTATAAATTTGTTTGCGTTCATTGTAGATTCTGGATATTAGCCCTTTGTCAGATGAGTAGGTTGCGAAAATTTTCTCCCATTTTGTAGGTTGCCTGTTCACTCTGATTGTAGCTTCTTTTGCAGTGCAGAAGCTCTTTAGTTTAATTAAATCTCATTTGTCAATTTTGGCTTTTGTTGCCATTGCTTTCATCAAATAGATGCAAAAAATGATAAAGGGGGTATCACCACTGATCCCACAGAAATACAAACTACCATCAGAGAATACTACAAACACCTCTACACAAATAAACTAGAAAATCTAGAGGAAATGGATAAATTCCTTGACACGTACACCCTCCCAAGACTAAACCAGGAAGTAGTTGAATCTCTGAATAGACCAATAACAGGCTCTGAAATTGTGGCAATGATCAATACCTTACCAACCAAAAAGAGTTCAGGACCAGATGGATTCACAGCCGAATTCTACCAGAGGTACAAGGAGGAACTGGTACCATTCCTTCTCAAACTATTCCAATCAGTAGAAAAAGAGGGAATCCTCCCTAACTCATTTTATGAGGCCAGCATCATCCTGATACCAAAGCCGGGCAGAGACACAACCAAAAAAGAGAATTTTAGACCAATATCCCTGATGAACATCGATGCAAAAAACCTCAATAAAATACTAGCAAACCAAATCCAGCAGCACATCAAAAAGCTTATCCACCATGATCAAGTGGGCTTCATCCCTGGGATGCAAGGCTGCTTCAACATATGCAAATCAATAAATGTAATCCAGCATATAAAGAG
Organism: Homo sapiens; assembly: GCF_000001405.40. Lineage (NCBI taxonomy): Eukaryota > Metazoa > Chordata > Mammalia > Primates > Hominidae > Homo > Homo sapiens. Next base: position 56,451,267 of record NC_000023.11, on the reverse strand, counting down.
AACCAAAGATAAAAAACACATGATTATCTCAATAGATGCAGAAAAGGCCTTTGGCAAAATTCAACAATGCTTCATATAAAAATACTCAATAATTTAGGTATTGATGGGACGTATCTCAAAATAATAAGAGCTATCTATGACAAACCCACAACCAATATCATACTGAATGGGCAAAAACGGGAAGCATTCCCTTTGAAAACTGGCACAAGGCAGGGATGCCCTCTCTCACCACTCCTATTCAACATAGTTTTGGAAGTTCTGGCCAGGGAAATTAGGCAGGAGAAGGAAATAAAGGGCATTCAGTTAGGAAAAGAGGAAGTCAAATTGTCCCTCTTTGCAGATGACATGATTGTATATCTAGAAAACCTCATTGTCTCAGCCCAAAATCTCCTTATGCTGATAAGCAACTTCAGCAAAGTCTCAGGATAAAAAATCAATGTACACAAATCACGAGCATTCTTATACACTAATAACAGACAAACAGAGAGCCAAATCATGAGTGAACTCCTATTCACAATTGCTTCAAAGAGAGTAAAATACCTAGGAATCTACCTTATAAGGGACATGAAGGACCTCTTCAAGGAGAACTACAAACCACTGCTTAATGAAATAAAAGAGGATACAAACAAATGGAAGAACATTCCATGCTCACGGGTAGCAAGAATCAATATCATGAAAATGTCCATACTGCCCAAGGTAACTTATACATTCAGTGCCATCGCCTTCAAGATACCAATGACTTTCTTCACAGAATTGGAAAAAACTACTTTAAAGTTCATATGGAACCAAAAAAGAGCCCGCATCGCCAAGTCAATCCTAAGCCAAAAGAACAAAGCTGGAGGCATCACGCTACCTGACTTCAAACTATACTACAAGGCTACAGTAACCAAAACAGCATGGTACTGGTACCAAAACAGAGATATAGATCAATGGAACAGAACAGAGCCCTCAGAAATAATGCCGCATATCTACAACTATCTGATCTTTGAGAAACCTGACAAAAACAAGCAATGGGGAAAGGATTCCCTATTTAATAAATGGTGCTGGGAAAACTGGCTAGACATATGTAGAAAGCTGAAACTGGATCCTTTCCTTACACCTTATACAAAAATTAATTCAAGATGGATTAAAGACTTAAATGATAGACCTAAAACCATAAAAACCCTAGAAGAAAACCTAGGCATTACCACTCAGGACATGGACATGGGCAAGGACTTCCTTTCTAAAACACCAAAAGGAACACTTTTACAGTGTTGGTGGGACTGGAAACTAGTTCAACCATTGTGGAAGTCAGTGTGGTGATTCCTCAGGGATCTAGAACTAGAAATACCATTTGACCCAGCCATCCCATTACTGGGTATATACCCAAGGGATTATAAATCATGCTGCTATAAAGACACATGTACACGTGTGTTTATTGCGGCACTGTTCATAATAGCAAAGACTTGGAACCAACCCAAATGTCCAACAACGATAGACTGGATTAAGAAAATGTGGCACATATACACCACGGAATACTATGCAGCCATAAAAAATGATGAGTTCATGTCCTTTGTAGGGACATGGATGAAACTGGAAACCATCAGTCTCAGCAAACTGTCACAAGGATGAAAAACCAAACACCACGTGTTCTCACTCATAGCTGGGAATTGAACAATGAGAACACATGGACACAGGAAGGGGAACATCACACTCCGGGGATCATTGTGGGGTGGGGGGTGGGGGGAGGTATAACATTAGGAGATATACCTAATGCCAAATGACGAATTAATGGGTGCAGGACACCAACATGGCACATGTATACATATGTAACAAACCTGCACGTGTGCACATGTACCCTAAAACTTAAAGTATAATAATAATAAAATAAAAAAGTGAATAGACAAAAAAAGAATGCTGATATCATCTTTAATTTCTTCTTTTCCTTTATAAACCAGTCCTAATCTTTTGACATATAGACTAAGTTGCTGTTTCAATCCACAGAAATATAGGGTGCTGCTGCCTCTTCACATTGCTGTGAGAGAAAATAAAAAAGACTAAGTGATATTTTCTATCCCCAAGGAGCTTACTGTCCAATTGTAGAAATACAATTAACAAATAGAAAATTAGACTCTCTTAAGATAAATTTAGTATAATGTTTCCAGAGAAGGATAAATATCCATATGGATTGGAGGAGTTAGAAGCTTCAGAGAGACTGGAGGACTTGTGTTAGGTCTTCAGAAATAAAGATGATTCAATTACCAAAACAGAGAAAGAAGTAGGGCTTTGCAGGCAAAAATAGCAACATAAACAGTTATAGGGTGTGAAAATGAGTGTGATGTGTTCTGGGAATTGTGTGACAACATACATGGTACAGTGGAGTATATATGTAAAAGAGTAGAAAATAAAGTTGTGCAAAGAGGTTGGAATTATGGAAAGTTATGAATGCCAGGCTAAGAAGTTGAGACAACTGAAAAAATTTAAGGAGGAAGGTAAAATGATCAGAGGTAGGTTTTAGAAAGATTATTCTTGCATTAAAAACCAAATGGAGGTGAAGACTAGGGCCAGGTGATAACTTTGAGAATGAAGTAACACTCCTTGAGGTATGCCATAACCAGTTTAAACAATATTTGACCTTTCCAACAAGTATATGGAGATACAACTCTTTTCTTACTTTTAATGATGGGTGTAATAACTTATATTGCAGATTTTATTCCTTGTTTCACCACCTGCTCATCTGTTCCCATCAATAGTTGTCTCCACCTCCATAAACAGAAATCTTGAGGCTTCCCACTCATGATTACCTCATATAAACATGCATCATTATCCCAATACTGGTGCCTCTCTTTGTCATTGAAAAGGTTTCCAGAATTATCTTTCAAGTCCTCTTGACAAACATTGTATTGAGTGGCGGGAAAATAGGGAAGAAAAAAGCAACTCTTTATCCCATCCTTTGATACTGCAAACATATTTTATATCCTCTTTTTTTCCTATATAATTAAAGAAGCATAATGCGGAAAAAGTCCCAGCAAAGGAACTGCTAACAGAATGTCTTTACACTTAGTTTAATGTGATTTTTTTTTTTTTTTTTTTTTTGAGACGGAGTCTCTCTCTGTCACCCAGGCTGGAGTGCAGTGGCGCAATCTCCGATCACTGCAAGCTCTGTCTCCCGGGTTCATGCCATTCTCCTGCCTCAGCAGTGGTCAGAAAGATAGCTATTTTGTGCAGTTGATCTTAATCCTTTGGGGTCCATGGATCCATTTAAGAATCTGGGCCAGGTGCGGTGGCTCAGCCTATAATCCCAGCACTCTGGGAGGCCAAGGCCGGTGGATGACCTGAAGTCAGGAGTTCAAGACCAGCCTGGCCAACATGGTGAAATCCCGTCTCTACTTAAAATACAAAAAATTAGCTGGGTGTGGTGGTACACACCTGTAATCCCAGCTACTCAGGAGGCTGAGGCAGGAGAATTGCTTGAACCCTGGAGGCAGAGGTTGCAGTGAGCCGAGATTGCGCCGTTGCACTCCAGACTGGGGGACAAAAGCGAGACTTCATCTCAAAAAAAAAAAAAAAAAGTAGAATCCGATGAATGCTGAGGAAACTCTCTCTATAAAAACGCACATATCCTACATGCATAAGCACAAAGATTTTTGCAGGCAATTTCAGAGGATTACAAAAATCTACAGAATTCTAAATACTTCTAATTAAGAAGTAATTGAGAATATTCTAATTAAGAACCACTGTTATGGTAAATTCTCAGAAAATATGACTGAATAAAACAAGAAAATAAACCTCAGGATGATCCAGTTGTAACAATTCTATTTCTTCCATGTTATGCTGAAAGGAATTTATTTGTTGTTGCTCTACGTAATCTTCCAATAATGTTATCTGTACTATAGATATTATATGGCAGAAACCCTGTGGTATAGATTGCAACATGGTTAAACTCAACTTATTGCAACTTCATAGCCTTTAGAAAAAAACAAAGCAACACAAATGATATCAAAAATAAGGTTGAAAAATAAATTAACTTGGAAGAATATTTGCAACACATATTATAAACAAAGAGTTAATTTCCTGGTACAGAAAGATTTAAAATAAATTTTCCTCCATAATTCGTTTCTATTTTTAATTGATGCATAATACTTGTACATATTAATGGAGTACAGATAATATTTTGATACATATATACAATGTAATGATCAAATTAGAATAATTGGAATATCCATTACCTCAAACATTTATCAATTCTTTGTGTTGAGATAATTCAGAATCTTCTGGATTTTTTTTTTTTTTTTTTGAGAAAGGGTCTCACTCTCTCACCCAGGCTAGAGTACAGTGGCAAAATCATGGCTTACTGCAGCCTCAACCTCCCAGGCTCAAGCAGTACTTCTGCCTCAGCCTCCCAAATAGCTGGAACCATAGGCATGTGCCACCATGCTGAGCTAATTTAAAATGTTTTTTTTTTTTTTTTTGTAGAGATGAGGTCTCGCTGTGTTGCCCAGGCTAGTCTTAAACTCCTAGGCTCAAAGGATTCTCCTATCTTGGCCTTCCAAATGTGTTGGGGCTGCAGGAATGAGCCACGATGACCAATTTCTTCTAGCAATTTTGAAACATACAATAAATTATTGTTAACTATAGTCACTCTACTGTGCTATAGAATACTAGAATTTATTCCCCTATTTAGCTGTAATTTTCTATCTGTTAAGCAACTTCTCACTATTCCTCTTCCCCGCTACCCTTCTCTGCCTCTACCAAGCACCATTCTCTCTACTTCTATGAGAGCAACTTTTTTAGCTACCAAATGTGAGTGATACCATGTGCTACTTTACTTTCTGTGTTTGGCTTACTTCGCTTAATATAATGTCCTCCAGGCTTATCCATATTGCCACAAATGATGCATAAAAAATGATACTTAAAATCATTTTTAAAAATTAAAAATGAGTGAAGACTTTCCATACCTAATAATACCACATAGCGGGAAACAACTGCAAAAGGAATAATGCACTGTAGTCCCTCAGACCTGGAAATACTCTCCATTTATCATTGGCAGATGGTATCCTGAAATAACAAGTACCAGGTCAGACTGCTGCTGAAACCACACCCCAGAAAAGTAGGTTGGTGCCTGCATGCCAAATTTAAACAGAGTGACTTCCAGTTAAAATAAAAAATTAAATAAAATTTAGATTATCCTAACTTATATCAATGACACAATTTAAAAAGTCACCCATAATAACAAGGACAGGAAAACTAAATCTTGAATGAGAAAAGACAACCGATGCTAACAGTGAAATGAATCAGATACTAGAATTATCTGACAAGAATTTCAAAGCAACAATCATAAAAATAATTCAATAAGACATCGTGAATTCACTTGAAATAAATAAGAATAAAACAATCAGCAAAGAAATATAAGAAAATTACAGAAATTATAAAATGAAGAAATACAATAACCTGAAACAAATAACATGCTAGATGTAGTAGAGTGAAATTGACAGAGAAAAGAATTAGTGAACTTGAAAACAGATCAGTAGAATTAAACTAATTTGAAAAACATAAATAAATAAGCTTGAAAAAATATCAAAACCTCAGGGCAGGACGCGGTGGCTCACGCCTGTAATCCCAGCACTTTGGGAGGACGAGGTGGGTGGATCACGAGGTCAGGAGATCGAGACCATCCTGGCTAACATGGTGAAACCCCGTCTCCACTAAAAATACAAAAAATTCTCCGGGCGTGGTGGTGGGTGCCTGTAGTCCCAGCTACTCGGGAGGCTGAGGCAGGAGAATGGCGTGAGCCTGGGAGGCAGAGCTTGCAGTGGGCGGAGATTGCACCACTGCACTCCAGCCTGGGGGACAGAGCGAGACTCTGTCTCAAGAAAAAAAAAAACTTCAGGAAGCAGTGGAACAGTGACAAAAGATGTAACATTCATATTATCAGAGTTTCAGAAAGAGAGAAGAGAGAGAATGGGACTGAAATCTGAAGAAATAATGGCTGAAAACTTCCTTAACGTGGCAGAAGACACAAAATCACAGATTCAAGAAGCAAAGTGAGCCCCAAAGTTAGCTCCTCTAAATCTGTGCCAACACCGCCACCAACACAAGGGCACACACAGTTTCTAGCAGCCCCTTCCATCCTCCCTAGACACATAGCTTCCACCACTGTGATAAATGCCTGCACAGAGGCAGGCACCCTGGCACCTACCAGCACCCTACTGTAGCTGATGAGCATGAATCCTGCCATGCTCCCTCTGCTGCTGGCATGTGCAAAGAAGGACAGATTTTACTTCTTTCACATGATAAAACTCTTTGGCTGACACTACCCATCAAAGTGTAGTGACCAACAGTCTGGGAGCACCTCATGCCCCTCCCACACCCAGTGCAGTAGATTTCCAACTTCGAGGAGCCAGAAAACAAGGATGGAGCTCAATGCAATTCCCTCAAAGTTACAGCATGCAACCCAGGAATTGGGAGCTGAGCACTGGCTTCCTAAAATCTTCCAGAAATGAAGCCAGTTGGCTGAATGCACCTTATAACTCAATAGAATCCTCAAGGTCATCAAATAGGATAAAAGAAAAAAAAACCTCACCCAATGGTCAGTAACTTTGAAGATTAAAGAAACATGAGCCCACAAAGATGAGAAAGAATGAGCACAATAACCCTGACAACTAAAAAAGCCAGAGTGCCTTCTTACCTCCAAATGAACATATCACCTCTCTAGCAAGGGCTCTGAACTGGGCTAAGATGACTGAAATGACAAAAATAGAATTCAAAATATAGATACAAATAAAGATTATTGGGATGCAGGACTACATTGAAACCCAATCCAAGGAAGATAAGAATCACAATAAAATGACACAGTAGCTGCAGACAAAATAGCCGGCATAGAAAACTATGTAACTGTAACGATAGAGTGGAAGAACACACTGAAATAATTCTATAATTCAATCACAAGTATTAATAGCAGAATAGACCAAGTGGAGGGAAGAATCTAAGAGCTTGAAGACCGGCTTTTTAAAATAAGACAGTCAGACAAGAATAGAAAAAAAAAAGAATGAAAAGGAACCAAAAAAAACCCTCCAAGAACTGACATGATAGACCTGAAGAACACACTGAAATAATTTTATAATGCAATCACGAGTATTAAAAGCAGAATAGACCAAGTGGAGGAAAGAGTCTAAGAGCTTGAAGATTGGCTTTTTGAAATAAGACAGTCAGACAAGACTAGAAAGAAAAGAATGAAAAGGAACCAAAAAAACCTAAAAGAAATATGGGATTATGTAGAAACCAAACCTATGACTCACTGGTTTCCCTGAAAGAGATGGGGAGAGTGGAAGCAACTTGGAAAAAAAATTTCAGAATATCATTCATGATAACTTCCCAAACCTAGCTAGAGAGGCCAACATTCGAATTCAGAAAATGTAGAGAACCTCAGTCTCAGTAAGATACTTCATGAGAAGGTCATCCCCAAGACACATAATCATCAGATTCTCCAAGGTTGAAATGAAAGAAAAAATGTTGAAGCCAGATAGAGAGAAAGGTCAGGTTAACTACAAAGGGAAGCCCATTAGAATAACAGCAGAACTCTCAGCAGAAACCCTACAAGCCATAAGAAACTGGGGGTCAATATTTAACATTCTTAAAGAAATTCCAACCCAGAATTTTATAATTGGCCAAACTAAGCTTTTTTTTTTAAAATACTTTAAGTTCTAGGGTACATGTGCACAATGTGCAGGTTTGTTACATATGTATACATGTGCCATGTTGGTGTGCTGCACCAATTAACTCATCATTTACATTAGGTATATCTCCTAATGCTATCCCTCCCCACTCCCCCAACCCCACAACAGGCCCCGGTGTGTGGTGTTCCCTACCCTGTGTCCAAGTGTTCTCATTGTTCAATTCCACCTATGAGTGAGAACATAGGGTGTTTGGTTTTCTGTCTTTGTGATAGCTTGCTGAGAATGATTGTTTCCAGCTTCATCCATGTCCCTACAAAGACATGAACTCATCCTTTTTTATGACTGCATAGTATTCCATGGCGTATATGTGCCACACTTTCTTAATCCAGTCTATCATTGATGGACATTTCGGTTGGTTCCAAGTCTTTGCTATTGTGAATAGTGTCGCAATAAACATACATGTGCATGTATCTTTATAGCAGCATGATTTATAATCCTTTGGGTATATACCCAGTTATGGGATGGCTAGGTCAGATGGTATTTCCAGTTCTACATCCTTCAGGAATTGCCACACTGTCTTCCACAATGGTTGAACTAGTTTAGAGTTCCACCAACAGTGTAAAAGTGTTCCTATTTCTCCACATCCTCTCCAGCATCTGTTGTTTCCTGACTTTTTAATGATTGCCATTCTAACTGGTGTGAGATGGTATCTCATTGTGGTTTTGATTTGCATTTCTCTGATGGCCAGTGATGATGAGCATTTTTTCATGTGTCTTTTGGCTACGTAAATGTCTTCTTTTGAGAAGTGTCTGTTCATATCCTTTGCCCACTTTTTATGGGGTTCAAACTAAGCTTCTTAAGTGAAGAAGAAATAAGGTTCTTCTTAGACAAGCAAAGGCTGAGCAAATTTTTTTCAAATTTTGATAAAATTGTTTATTAATCTGTTCTTTTACGGAGTACAATTTTGTGTCATTATTTAAGAAATCTTTAAGTAAGTCGAGGTCACAGGGATTTTTCTCTTATGTTCTCATCTAGAAGTTTTATAATTTTAGGTTTTACATTTAGATCTAAGATTACTTTTGAGTTAATTTTTTTCCCTTTATATTTCTTCTAAAAAAAAAAAAAACAAGATGCATATGCAGAAGGTGCAGGGTTGTTACATAGGTATGTGTGTGACATGGTGGTTTGCTGCACCTATTGACCCATTCTCTAAGTTCCTCCCCCTAACTCTCCACTCCCCAACAGGCCCCAGTGTGTGTTGTTCCCGTCTCTGTGTCCATGTGTTCTCAAAGTTCAACTCCTATTTATGTGTGAGAACATGCGGTGTTTGGTTTTCTGTTCCTGTATTCGTTTGCTGAGGAAGACGGCTTCCAGCTTCATTCATGTCCCTGCAAAGGACATAATCTCATTCTTTTTTTGTGGCTGTATAGTATTTCAAAATGTATATGTACTACATTTTCCTTTTTTTTCTATTATTATACTTTAAGTTTTAGGGTACATGTGCACAATGTGCAGGTTAGTTACATATGTATACATGTGACATGCTGGTGCACTGCACCCACTAACTCGTCATCTAGCATTAGGTATAACTTACAGTGCTGTCCCTCCCCCATCCCCCTACCCGACAACAGTCCCTGGTGTGTGATGTTCCCCTTCCTGTGTCCATGTGCTCTCATTGTTCAATTCATACCTATGAGTGAGAACATGTGGTGTTTGTTTTTTTGTTCTTGCGAGAGTTTACTGAGAATGATGATTTCCACTTTTATCCATGTCCCTACAAAGGACATGAACTCATCATTTTTTATGGCTGCATAGTATTCCACGGTGTATATGTGCCACATTTTCTTAATCCAGTCTATCATTGTTGGACATTTGGGTTGGTTCCAAGTCTTTGCTATTGTGAATAGTGCCGCAATAAACATACGTGTGCATGTGTCTTTATAGCAGCATGATTTATAGTCCTTTGCGTATATACCCAGTAATGGGATGGCTGGGTCAAATGGTGTTTCTAGTTCTAGATCCCTGTGGAATCGCAACACTGACTTCCACAATGGTTGAACTAGTTTCCAGTCCCACAAACAGTGGAAAAGTGTTCCTATTTCTACACATCCTCTCCAGCACCTGTTGTTTCCTGACTTCTTAATGATTGCCATTCTAACTGGTGTGAGATGATACCTCATTGTGGTATTGATTTACATTTCTCTGATGGCCAGTGATGGTGAGCATTTTTTCGTGTGTTTTTTGACTGCATAACTGTCTTCTTCTGAGAAGTGTCTGTTTATATCCTTCACCCACTTTTTGATGGGGTTGCTTTTTTCTTGTAAATTTGTTTGAGTTCATTGTAGATTCTGGATATTAGCCCTTTGTCAGATGAGTAGGTTGCAAAAATTTTCTCCCATTTTGTAGGTTGCCTGTTCACTCTGATGGTAGTTTCTTTTGATGTGCAGAAGCTCTTGAGTTGAATTAGATCCCATTTGTCAATTTTGGCTTTTGTTGCCATTGCTTTTGGTGTTTTAGACATGAAGTCCTTGCCTGTGCCTATGTCCTGAATGGCAATGCCTAGGTTTTCTTCTAGGATTTTTATTGTTATAGGTCTAACGTTTAAGTCTTTAATCCATCTTGAATTGATTTTTGTATAAGGTGTAAGGAAGGGATCCAGTTTCAGCTTTCTACATATGGCTAGCCAGTTTTCCCAGCACCATTTATTAAACAGGGAATCCTTTCCCCATTGCTTGTTTTTCTCAGGTTTGTCAAAGATCAGATTGTTGTAGACAGTCAGCGCTATTTCTGAGGGCTCTGTTCTGTTCCATTGATCTATATCTCTGTTTTGGTACCAGTACCATGCTGTTTTGGTTTCTGTAGCCTTGTAGTATAGTTTGAAGTCAGGTTGCATGATGCCTCCAGCTTTATTCTTTTGGCTTAGGATTGACTTGGTGATGCGGGCTCTTTTTTGGTTCCATATGAATTTTAAAGTAGTTTTTTCCAATTCTGTGAAGAAATTCATTGGTAGCTTGATGGGGATGGCATTGAATCTATAAATTACCTTGGGCAGTATGGTCAGTTTCATGATATTGATTCTTCCTACACATGAGCATGGAATGTTCTTCCATTTGTTTGTATCCTCTTTTATTTCATTGAGCAGTGGTTTGTAGTTCTCCTTGAAGAGATCCTTCACATCCCTTGTAAGGTGGATTCCTAGGCATTTTATTCTCTTTGAAGCAATTGTGAATGGGAGTTCACTCATGATTTGGCTCTCTGTTTGTCTGTTATTGGACTATAAGAATGCTTGTGATTTTTGTACTTGATTTTGTATCCTGAGACTTTGCTGAAGTTGCTTATCAGCTTAAGGAGATTTTGGGCTGAATCAATGGGTTTTTCTAGATATACAATCATGTCATCTGCAAACAGGGTCAATTTGACATCTTCTTTTCCTAATTGAATACCCTTTATTTCCTTCTCCTGTCTAATTGCCCTGGCCAGAACTTCCAACACTATGTTGAATAGGAGTGGTGAGAGAGGGCATCCCTGTCTTGTGCCAGTTTTCAGAGGGAATGCTTCCAGGTTTTGCCCATTCAGTATGATATTGGCTGTGGGTTTGTCATAGATAGCTCTTATTATTTTGAGATACGTCCCATCAATACCTAATTTGTTGAGAGTTTTTAGCAAGAAGGGTTGTTAAATTTTGTCAACGGCCTTTTCTGCATCTATGGAGATAATCATGTGGTTTTTGTCTTTGGTTCTGTTTATATAGTGGATTACATTTATTGATTTGCATATATATTGAACCAGCCTTGCATCCCAGGGACGAAGCCCACTTGATCATGGTGGATTAGCTTTTTGATGTGCTGCTGCATTCGGTTTGCCAGTATTTCATTGAGGATTTTTGTATCAATGTTCATCAAGGATATTGATCTAAAATTCTCTGTTTTGGTTGTGTCTCTGCCCGGCTTTGGTATCAGGATGATGCTGGTCTCATAAAATGAGTTAGGGAGGATTCCCTCTTTTTCTATTGATTGGAATAGTTTCAGAAGGAATGGTACCAGTTCCTCCTTGTACCTCTGGTAGAATTTGGCTGTGAATCCATCTGGTCCTGGACTCTTTTTTGTTGGTAAGCTATTGATTATTGCCAAATTTCAGCTCCTGTTATTGGTCTATTCAGAGATTCAACTTTTTCCTGGTTTAGTCTTGGGAGATTGTATGTGTCGAGGAATTTATCCATTTCTTCTAGATTTTCTAGTTTATTTGCATAGAGGTGTTTGTAGTATTCTCTGATGGTAGTTTGTATTTCTGTGGGATTGGTGGTGATATCCCCTTTATCATTTTTTATTGCGTCTATTTGATTCTTCTCTCTTTTTTTCTTTATTAGTCTTGCTAACAGTCTATCAATTTTGTTGGTCCTTTTAAAAAACCAGCTCCTGGATTCATTAATTTTTTGAAGGGCTTTTTGTGTCTCTATTTCCTTCAGTTCTGCTCTGATTTTAGTTATTTCTTGCCTTCTGCTAGCTTCTGAATGTGTTTGCTCTTGCTTTTCTAGTTTTTTTAATTGTGATGATAAGGTGTCAATTTTGGATCTTTCCTGCTTTCTCTTGTGGGCATTTAGTGCCATAAATTTCCCTCTACACACTGATTTGAATGTGTCCCACAGATTCTAGTATGTTGTGTCTCTGTTCTTGTTGGTTTCAAAGAACATCTTTATTTCTGCCTTCATTTCGTTATGTACCCAGTAGTCATTCAGGAGCAGGTTGTTCAGTTTCCATGTAGTTGAGCAGTTTTGAGTGAGTTTCTTAATCCTGAGTCGTAGTTTGATTGCACTGTGGTCTGAGAGAGAGTTTTTTATACTTCTGTTCTTTTACATTTGCTGAGGAGAGCTTTACTTCCAACCATGTGGTCAATTTTGGAATAGGTGTGGTGTGGTGCTGAAAAGAATGTATATTCCGTTGATTTGGGGTGGAGAGTTCTGTATATGTCTATTAGGTCCGCTTGGTGCAGAGCTGAGTTCAATTCCTGGGTATCCTTGTTGACTTTCTGTCTCATTGATATGTCTAATGTTGACAGTGGGGTGTTAAATTCTCCCATTATTAATGTGTGGGAGTCTAAGTCTCTTTGTAGGTCACTCAGGACTTGCTTTATGAATCTGGGTGCTCCTGTATTGGGTGCATATATATTTAGGATAGTTAGCTCTTCTTGTTGAATTGATCCCTTTACCATTATGTAATGGCCTTCTTTGTCTCTTTTGATCTTTGTTGGTTTAAAGTCTGTTTTATCAGAGACTAGGATTGCAACCCCTGCCTTTTTTTGTTTTCCATTTGCTTGGTAGATCTTCCTCCATCCTTTTATTTTGAGCCTATGTGTGTCTCTGTATGTGAGATGGGTTTCCTGACTACAACACACTGATGGGTCTTGACTGTTTATCCTATTTGCCAGTCTGTGTCTTTTAATTGGAACATTTAGTCCATTTACATTTAAAGTTAGTATTTTTATGTGTGAATTTGAACCTGTCATTATGATGTTAGCTGGTTATTTTCCTCGTTAGTTGATGCAGTTTCTTCCTAGTCTCTATGGTCTTTACATTTTGGCATGATTTTGCAGCGGCTGGTACCTACCGGTTGTTCCTTTCCATGTTTAGTGTCTCCTTCAGGAGCTCTTTTAGGGCAGGCCTGGTGGTGAGAAAATCTCTCAGCATTTGCTTTTCTGTAAAGTATTTTATTTCTCCTTCACTTCTGAAGCTTAGTTTGGCTGGATATGAAATTCTGGGTTGAAAATTCTTTTCTTTAAGAATGTTGAATATTGGCCCCCACTCTTCTGGCTTCCAGAGTTTCTGCCGAGAGATCCGCTGTTAGTCTGATGGGCTTCCCTTTGTGGGTAACCCGACCTTTCTCTCTGGCTGCCCTTAACATTTTTTCCTTCATTTCAACTTTGGTGAATCTGAAAATTATGTGTCTTGGAGGTGCTCTTCTCGAGGAGTGTCTTTGTGACGTTCTCTGTATTTCCTGAATCTGAATGTTGTCTTGCCTTGCTAGATTGCGGAAGTTCTCCTGGATAATATCCTGCAGAGTGTTTTCCAACTTGGTTCCATTCTCCCCGTCGCTTTCCGATACACCAATCAGACATAGATTTGGTCTTTTCACATAGTCCCATATTTCTTGAAGGCTTTGTTCATTTCTTTTTATTCTTTTTTCTCTAAACTTCCCTTCTCATTTCATTTCATTCATTTCATCTTCCATCGCTGATACCCTTTCTTCCAGTTGATCGCATCAGCTCCTGAGGCTTCTGCATTCTTCACGTAGTTCTCGAGCCTTGGCTTTCAGGTCCATGAGCTCCTTTAAGCACTTCTCTGTATTGGTTATTCTAGTTATACATTCGTCTAAATTTTTTTCAAAGTTTTTAACTTCTTTGTCTTTGGTTTGAATTTCCTCCTGTAGCTCGTAGTTTGATCGTCTGAAGCCTTCTTCTCTCAACTCGTCAAAGTCATTCTCTGTCCAGCTTTGTTCCATTGCTGGTGAGGAACTGCGATCCTTTGGAGGAGGAGAGGTGCTCTGCTTTTTAGAGTTTCCAGTTTTTCTGCTCTGTTTTTTCCCCATCTTTGTGGTTTTATCTACTTTTGGTCTTTGATGATGGTGATGTACAGATGGGGTTTTGGTGTGGATGTCCTTTCTGTTTGTTAGTTTTCCTTCTAACAGACAGGATCCTCAGCTGCAGGTCTGTTGGAGTTTGCTAGAGGTCCACTCCAGACGCTGTTTGCCTGGGTATCAGCAGTGGTGTCTGCAGAACAGTGATTTTTCGTGAACCACGAATGCTGCTATTAGATCGTTCCTCTGGAATTTTTTTCTCAGAGGAGTACCTGGCCGTGTGAGGTGTTAGTCTGCCCCTATTGGGGGTGCCTCCCATTTAGGCTGCTCATGGTTCAGGGGTCAGGGACCCACTTGAGGAGGCAGTCTGCCCATTCTCAGATCTACCTGACCCCTGAACCATGAGCAGCCTAAATGGGAGGCACCCCCAATAGGGGCAGACTAACACCTCACACGGCCAGGTACTCCTCTGAGAAAAAAATTCCAGAGGAACGATCTAATAGCAGCATTCGTGGTTCACGAAAAATCACTGTTCTGCAGACACCACTGCTGATACCCAGGCAAACAGCGTCTGGAGTGGACCTCTAGCAAACTCCAACAGACCTGCAGCTGAGGATCCTGTCTGTTAGAAGGAAAACTAACAAACAGAAAGGACATCCACACCAAAACCCCATCTGTACATCACCATCATCAAAGACCAAAAGTAGATAAAACCACAAAGATGGGGAAAAAACAGAGCAGAAAAACTGGAAACTCTAAAAAGCAGAGCACCTCTCCTCCTCCAAAGGATCGCAGTTCCTCACCAGCAATGGAACAAAGCTGGACAGAGAATGACTTTGACGAGTTGAGAGAAGAAGGCTTCAGACGATCAAACTACGAGCTACAGGAGGAAATTCAAACCAAAGACAAAGAAGTTAAAAACTTTGAAAAAAATTTAGACGAATGTATAACTAGAATAACCAATACAGAGAAGTGCTTAAAGGAGCTCATGGACCTGAAAGCCAAGGCTCGAGAACTACGTGAAGAATGCAGAAGCCTCAGGAGCTGATGCGATCAACTGGAAGAAAGGGTATCAGCGATGGAAGATGAAATGAATGAAATGAAATGAGAAGGGAAGTTTAGAGAAAAAAGAATAAAAAGAAATGAACAAAGCCTTCAAGAAATATGGGACTATGTGAAAAGACCAAATCTATGTCTGATTGGTGTATCGGAAAGCGACGGGGAGAATGGAACCAAGTTGGAAAACACTCTGCAGGATATTATCCAGGAGAACTTCCGCAATCTAGCAAGGCAAGACAACATTCAGATTCAGGAAATACAGAGAACGTCACAAAGACACTCCTCGAGAAGAGCACCTCCAAGACACATAATTTTCAGATTCACCAAAGTTGAAATGAAGGAAAAAATGTTAAGGGCAGCCAGAGAGAAAGGTCGGGTTACCCACAAAGGGAAGCCCATCAGACTAACAGCGGATCTCTCGGCAGAAACTCTGGAAGCCAGAAGAGTGGGGGCCAATATTCAACATTCTTAAAGAAAAGAATTTTCAACCCAGAATTTCATATCCAGCCAAACTAAGCTTCAGAAGTGAAGGAGAAATAAAATACTTTACAGAAAAGCAAATGCTGAGAGATTTTCTCACCACCAGGCCTGCCCTAAAAGAGCTCCTGAAGGAGACACTAAACATGGAAAGGAACAACCGGTAGGTACCAGCCGCTGCAAAATCATGCCAAAATGTAAAGACCATAGAGACTAGGAAGAAACTGCATCAACTAACGAGGAAAATAACCAGCTAACATCATAATGACAGGTTCAAATTCACACATAAAAATACTAACTTTAAATGTAAATGGACTAAATGTTCCAATTAAAAGACACAGACTGGCAAATAGGATAAACAGTCAAGACCCATCAGTGTGTTGTAGTCAGGAAACCCATCTCACATACAGAGACACACATAGGCTCAAAATAAAAGGATGGAGGAAGATCTACCAAGCAAATGGAAAACAAAAAAAGGCAGGGGTTGCAATCCTAGTCTCTGATAAAACAGACTTTAAACCAACAAAGATCAAAAGAGACAAAGAAGGCCATTACATAATGGTAAAGGGATCAATTCAACAAGAAGAGCTAACTATCCTAAATATATATGCACCCAATACAGGAGCACCCAGATTCATAAAGCAAGTCCTGAGTGACCTACAAAGAGACTTAGACTCCCACACATTAATAATGGGAGAATTTAACACCCCACTGTCAACATTAGACATATCAATGAGACAGAAAGTCAACAAGGATACCCAGGAATTGAACTCAGCTCTGCACCAAGCGGACCTAATAGACATATACAGAACTCTCCACCCCAAATCAACGGAATATACATTCTTTTCAGCACCACACCACACCTATTCCAAAATTGACCACATGGTTGGAAGTAAAGCTCTCCTCAGCAAATGTAAAAGAACAGAAGTATAAAAAACTCTCTCTCAGACCACAGTGCAATCAAACTACGACTCAGGATTAAGAAACTCACTCAAAACTGCTCAACTACATGGAAACTGAACAACCTGCTCCTGAATGACTACTGGGTACATAACGAAATGAAGGCAGAAATAAAGATGTTCTTTGAAACCAACAAGAACAGAGACACAACATACTAGAATCTGTGGGACACATTCAAATCAGTGTGTAGAGGGAAATTTATGGCACTAAATGCCCACAAGAGAAAGCAGGAAAGATCCAAAATTGACACCTTATCATCACAATTAAAAAAACTAGAAAAGCAAGAGCAAACACATTCAGAAGCTAGCAGAAGGCAAGAAATAACTAAAATCAGAGCAGAACTGAAGGAAATAGAGACACAAAAAGCCCTTCAAAAAATTAATGAATCCAGGAGCTGGTTTTTTAAAAGGACCAACAAAATTGATAGACTGTTAGCAAGACTAATAAAGAAAAAAAGAGAGAAGAATCAAATAGACGCAATAAAAAATGATAAAGGGGATATCACCACCAATCCCACAGAAATACAAACTACCATCAGAGAATACTACAAACACCTCTATGCAAATAAACTAGAAAATCTAGAAGAAATGGATAAATTCCTCGACACATACAATCTCCCAAGACTAAACCAGGAAAAAGTTGAATCTCTGAATAGACCAATAACAGGAGCTGAAATTTGGCAATAATCAATAGCTTACCAACAAAAAAGAGTCCAGGACCAGATGGATTCACAGCCAAATTCTACCAGAGGTACAAGGAGGAACTGGTACCATTCCTTCTGAAACTATTCCAATCAATAGAAAAAGAGGGAATCCTCCCTAACTCATTTTATGAGACCAGCATCATCCTGATACCAAAGCCGGGCAGAGACACAACCAAAACAGAGAATTTTAGATCAATATCCTTGATGAACATTGATACAAAAATCCTCAATGAAATACTGGCAAACCGAATGCAGCAGCACATCAAAAAGCTAATCCACCATGATCAAGTGGGCTTCGTCCCTGGGATGCAAGGCTGGTTCAATATATATGCAAATCAATAAATGTAATCCACTATATAAACAGAACCAAAGACAAAAACCACATGATTATCTCCATAGATGCAGAAAAGGCCGTTGACAAAATTTAACAACCCTTCTTGCTAAAAACTCTCAACAAATTAGGTATTGATGGGACGTATCTCAAAATAATAAGAGCTATCTATGACAAACCCACAGCCAATATCATACTGAATGGGCAAAACCTGGAAGCATTCCCTCTGAAAACTGGCACAAGACAGGGATGCCCTCTCTCACCACTCCTATTCAACATAGTGTTGGAAGTTCTGGCCAGGGCAATTAGACAGGAGAAGGAAATAAAGGGTATTCAATTAGGAAAAGAAGATGTCAAATTGACCCTGTTTGCAGATGACATGATTGTATATCTAGAAAAACCCATTGATTCAGCCCAAAATCTCCTTAAGCTGATAAGCAACTTCAGCAAAGTCTCAGGATACAAAATCAAGTACAAAAATCACAAGCATTCTTATAGTCCAATAACAGACAAACAGAGAGCCAAATCATGAGTGAACTCCCATTCACAATTGCTTCAAAGAGAATAAAATGCCTAGGAATCCACCTTACAAGGGATGTGAAGGACCTCTTCAAGGAGAACTACAAACCACTGCTCAATGAAATAAAAGAGGATACAAACAAATGGAAGAACATTCCATGCTCATGTGTAGGAAGAATCAATATCATGAAACTGACCATACTGCCCAAGGTAATTTATAGATTCAATGCCATCCCCATCAAGCTACCAATGAATTTCTTCACAGAATTGGAAAAAACTACTTTAAAATTCATATGGAACCAAAAAAGAGCCCGCATCACCAAGTCAATCCTAAGCCAAAAGAATAAAGCTGGAGGCATCATGCAACCTGACTTCAAACTATACTACAAGGCTACAGAAACCAAAACAGCATGGTACTGGTACCAAAACAGAGATATAGATCAATGGAACAGAACAGAGCCCTCAGAAATAGCGCTGACTGTCTACAACAATCTGATCTTTGACAAACCTGAGAAAAACAAGCAATGGGGAAAGGATTCCCTGTTTAATAAATGGTGCTGGGAAAACTGGCTAGCCATATGTAGAAAGCTGAAACTGGATCCCTTCCTTACACCTTATACAAAAATCAATTCAAGATGGATTAAAGACTTAAACGTTAGACCTATAACAATAAAAATCCTAGAAGAAAACCTAGGCATTGCCATTCAGGACATAGGCACAGGCAAGGACTTCATGTCTAAAACACCAAAAGCAATGGCAACAAAAGCCAAAATTGACAAATGGGATCTAATTCAACTCAAGAGCTTCTGCACATCAAAAGAAACTACCATCAGAGTGAACAGGCAACCTACAAAATGGGAGAAAATTTTTGCAACTTACTCATCTGACAAAGGGCTAATATCCAGAATCTACAATGAACTTCAACAAATTTACAAGAAAAAAACAAACAACCTCATGAAAAAGTGGGCAAAGGGCATGAACAGACACTTCTCAAAAGAAGACATTTATGCAGCCAAAAAACACATGAAAAAATGCTCATCATCACTGGCCATCAGAGAAATGTAAATCAAAACCACAGTGAGATATCATCTCACACCAGTTAGAATGGCAATCATTAAGAAGTCAGGAAACAACAGCTGCTGGAGAGGATGTGTAGAAATAGGAACACTTTTCCACTGTTTGTGGGACTGGAAACTAGTTCAACCCTTGTGGAAGTCAGTGTTGCGATTCCACAGGGATCTAGAACTAGAAATACCATTTGACCCAGCCATCCCATTACTGGGTATATACGCAAAGGACTATAAATCATGCTGCTATAAAGACACATGCACACGTATGTTTATTGCGGCACTATTCACAATAGCAAAGACTTGGAACCAACCCAAATGTCCAACAATGATAGACTGGATTAAGAAAATGTGGCACATATACACCGTGGAATACTATGCAGCCATAAAAAATGATGAGTTCATGTCCTTTGTAGGGACATGGATAAAAGTGGATATCATCATTCTCAGTAAACTATCGCAAGAACAAAAAACCAAACACCGCATATTCTCACTCATAGGTGGGAATTGAACAATGAGAACACATGGACACAGGAAGGGGAACTCCATGCTCTGGCGACTGTTCTGGGGTGGGGTGAGGGGGCCGGGATAGCATTAGGAGAAATACCTAATGCTAGATGATGAGTTAATGAGTGCAGCACACCAGCATGTCACATGTATACATATGTAACTAACCTGCACATTGTGCACATGTACCCTAAAACTTAAAGTATAATAATAATAAAAAAAATGAAAACCAGCACAAGACAAGGATGCCACCTCTTACCACTCCTATTCAACATAGTATTGGAAGTTCCGACCAGGGCAATCAGGGAAGAGAAAGAAATAAAGCATATTCAAATAGGAAGGGAGGAAGTCAAGTTGTCTCTGTTTGCAGACAACGTGGTTTTATATTCAGAAATCCCCATCATGTCAGCCCAAAATCTTTTTGCACTGATAAGCAATTTCAGGAAAGTCTCAGAATACAAAATCAGTGTGCAAAAATCACAAGCATTCTTTTATACCAACAATAGGCAGGCAGAGAGCCAAATATGAATGAACTCCAATTTACAATCACTACAAAGAGAATAAGATATCTAGGAATATGTCTAACACAGGATGTGAAAAACTTCTTCAAGGAAAACTACCAACCACTGCTCAAGGAAACAAGAGAGGACACAAACAAATGGAGAAACGTTCCATCCTTATGGGTAGGAAGAACCTATATTATGAAAATGGCCATACGGCTCAAATTAATTTCTACATTCAATGCTATTCCCATCAAACTACCATTGACAATCTTCACAAAATTAGAAAAACTATTTTAAATTTTATATGGAATCAAAGAAGTCCCCATATAACCAAGAGAACACTCAGCAAAAAGAACAAAGTTGGAGGCATCATGCTACCTAACTTCAAACTATAGTACAAGCATACAGTAACCAAAACAGCATGGTACTGGTACCAAAACATGGAGGAGAACTGAGACCTCAGAAATAACACCACACATCTACAAACATCTCATCTGTGACAAATTTGACAAAAACAGGCAATGGGGAAACTATCTCCTTTTCAGCAACCACAAAATCAAGTCTGCATAAAAACCCGCTAAATTCATGATGACAGGATCAAATCCATACATATCAATGTTAACATTGAATGTAAAATGGGCTATATGCCCCCAATTAAAAGGCATTGAGTGGCAAGATGGATAAAGAACCAATGCAGAGAGTAAGTACTAGATGGCCAAATAGGAACAGCTCTGGTCTCCACCGCCCAGCATGATCAATGCAGAAGAGAGGTGATTTCTGCATTTCCAACTGAGGTATATAATTCATCTCATTGGGACTGGTTGGACAGTGGGTGCAGCTCACAGAGGGTGAGCTAAAGCAGGGCGGGGAGTTGCCTCAACTGAGAAGTGCAAGGGGTCAGGGGATTTCCCTTTCCTAGCCAAGGGAGGCCTTGACAAACCATACCTGGAAAAATGGGACACTCTCAGGCAAATACTGTGATTTTCCCACAGTCTCAGCAACCAGCAGAGCAGGAGATTTTCTCCCAAGCCTGGCTTGGTGGGTCCCATGCCCACGGATCCTTGCTCACTGCTAGCACAGCAGTCGGAGATCAACCTGTGAGGCTGCAGCGTGGCTGGGGGAGGGGCATCTGCCATTGCTGAGGTTTTAGTAGGTAAACAAAGCAGCCTGCAAGCTCCAACAGGGAGGAGCACACCACAGCTCAGCAAGGCCTAATGCCTCGATAGAACCCACCTCTGTGGGCAGGCTATAGCTGAACAAAAGGCAGCAGAAACTGCTGCAGACTTAAACGTCCCTGTCTGACAGCTCTGAAGAGAGCAGTGGTTCTCCCAGCACAGCGTTTGAGTTCTGAGAACAGACAGACTGCCTCCTCAAGTGGGTCCCTAACCCCCATGTAGCCTAACTGAGAAACACATTCAAATAGGGGCCGACAGACACCTCATACATGCGGGTGCCCCTCTGGGACAAAGCTTCCAGAGGAAGGATCAGGCAGCAATATTTACTGTTCTGCAATATTTGCTGTTCTGCAGCCTCTGCTGGTGATACTCAGGCAAATGGTCTGGAGTGGACCTCCAGCAAACTCAAACAGACCTGCAGCTGAGGGACCTGACTGTTAGAAGGAAAACTAACAAACAGAAAGGAATAACATTAACATCAATAAAATGGACATCTACTCCAAAACCCCATCTGTAGGTCACCAACATCAAAGACGAAAGGTAGATTAAACCACAAAGATGGGGAGAAACCAGAGCAGAAAAGCTGAAAACACTAAAAACCAGAGCACCTCTTCTCCTCCAAAGGACTGTAGCTCTTCACCAGCAATGGAACAAGGCTGGATGGAGAATGAATTTGATGAGTTGACAGAAGTAGGCTTCAGAAGGTCGGTTATAACAAACTTCTCTAAGCTAAAGAAGCATGTTTGAACCCATCTCAAGGAAACTGAAAACCTGGAAAAAAGGTTAGAAAAATGGCTAAGAAGAATAAACTGTGCAGAGAAGACCTTAAATGACCTGATGGAGCTGAAAACCATGGCACGACAAGTTCGTGATATATGAAAAAGCTTCAATAGCTGATTCAATCAAGTGGAAGAAAGTGTATCACTGACTGAAGATGAAATTAATGAAATAAAGCTAGAAGACAAGGTTAGAGAAAAAAGAGTAAAAAGAAATGAACAAAGCCTCCAAGAAATATGGGACTATTTGAAAAGACCAAATCTACATTTGATTGGTGTACCTGAAAGTGATGGGGAGAATGGAACCAAGTTGGAAAACACTCGGCAGGATATTATCCAGGAGAACTTCCCCAACCTAACAAGGCAGGCCAACATTCAAATTCAGGAAATACAGGGAACACCACAAAGATACTCCTCAAGAAGAGCAACCCCAAGACACACAATTGTCAGATTCACCAGGGTTGAAATGGAGGAAAAAATGTTGAGGACAGCCAGAGATATGCTGGGATACCCACAATGGGAAGCCCATCAGACTAAAAGCAGATCTCTCGGCAGAAATGCTACAAGCCAGAAGAGAGTGGGGACCAAAATTCGACATGCTTAAAGAAAAGAATTTTCAACCCAGAATTTCATATCCAGCCAAATCTTCATAAGTGAAGGACAAATAAAATCCTTTACAGACAAGCAAACACTGAGAGATTTTGTCATTACCAGGCGGGCCTTACAAGAGCTCCTGAAGGAAGGACTGAACATAGAAATAAACAATCATTACCAGCCACTGCAAAAACATGCCAAATTGTAAAGACCATCAATGCTAGGAAGAAACTGCATCAATTAATGGGCAAAACAACCAGCTAACCTCATAATGACAGGATCAAATTCACACATAAAAATATTAACTTTAAATGTAAATAGGCTAAAAGCCCCATTTAAAAGACACAGACTGGCAAATTAGATAAAGGGTCAAGACCCATCAGTGTGCTGTATTCAGGAGACCCATCTCACGTGCAGAGACACACGTGGGCTCAAAATAAAGGGATGGAGGAAGATCTACCAAGCAAATGGAAAGCAAAAAAATGCAGGGGTTTCAATCCTAGTCTCTGATAAAACAGACTTTAAACCAACAAAGATCAAAAGAGACAAAGAAGGCCATTACATAATGGTAAAGGGATCAATTCAACAAGAAGAGCTAACTATCCTAAATATATATGCACCCAATACAGGAGCACCCAGATTCATAAAGCAAGTCTTTAGAGACCTACCAAGAGACTTAGACTCCAACAAAATAATAATGGGAGACTTTAACACCCCACTGTCAACATTAGACAGATCAATGAGACAGAAGGTTAAGAAGGATATTCAGGACTTAATCTGAGCTCTGCACTGATCCGACCTAACAGACATCTACAGAACTCTCCACCCCAAATCAACAGAATATACATTGCTCTCAGCACCACATCACACTTATTCTAAAATTGACCATATAATTGGAACTAAAGCATGCCTCAGCAAATGTAAAAGAACAGAAATCAAAAGAAACTGTCTCTCAGACCACAGTGCAATCAAATTAGAACTCAGGAATAAAAAACTCCCTCAAGACAGCACAACTACATGGAAACTGAACAACTTCATCCTGAATGAATACTGGGTAAAAAATGAAATGAAGGCAGAGATAAAGATGTTCTTTGAGACCAATGAGAACAAAGACACAATGTACCAGAATCTCTGGGACACATTCAAAGCAGTGTGTAGAGGGAAATTTATAGCACTAAATGCCCACAAGAGAAAACAGGAAAGATCTAAAATTGACATGCTAACATCACAATTGAAAGAACTTGAGAAGCAAGAGCAAACAAATTCAAAAGCTAGAAGAAGGCAACAAATAACTAAGATCAGAGCAGAACTGAAGGAAATAGAGACACAAAAAACCCTTCAAAAAATCAATGAATCCAGGAGCTCGTTTTTTGAAAAGATCAACAAAATTGATAGTCCACTATAAAAACTAATAAAGAAGAAAAGAGAGAAGAATCAAATAGATGCAATAAAAAATGTTAAAGAGGTTATCACAATTGATCCCAAAGAAATACAAACTACCATCAGAGAATAGTATAAACTCCTCTATGCAAATAAACCAGAAAATCTAGAAGAAATGGATAAATTCCTTGACACATACACCCTCCCAAGACTAAATTAGGAAGAAGTTGAATCTCTGAATAGACCAATAACAGGCTCTGAAATTGAGGCAATAATTAATAGCCTACCAACAAAAAAATTTCAGGAACACATGGATTCACAGTTGAGTTCTACCAGAGGTACAAGGAGGAACTGGTACCATTCCTTCTGAAACTATTCCAATCAATAGAAAAAGAGGGAATCCTCCCTAACTCATTTTATGAGGCCAGCGTCATCCTGATACCAAAGCCTGGAAAAGACAAAACAAAAAAAGAGAATTTTAGACAAATATCCCTGATGAACTTTGATGTGAAAATCCTCAATAAAATACTGGCAAACCGAATCCAGCAGCATATCAAAGAGCTTATCCACCATGATCAAGTGGGCTTCATCCCTGGGATGCAAGGCTGGTTCAACATACACAAATCAATAAATGTAATCCATCGCATAAACAGAACCGAAAACAAAAACCACATGATTATCTCAATAGATGCAGGAAAGGGCCTTCAACAAAATTCAACAGCCCTTCATGCTAAAAACTCTCAGTAAACTAGGTATTTATGGAACGTACCTCAAAATAATAAGAGCTATTTATGACAAACCCACAGCCAGCCAATATCATACTGAATGGGCAAAAATGGGAAGCATTCTCTTTGAAAACTGGCACAAGATAAGGATGGCTTCTCTCACCACTCCTATTCAACATAGTGTTGGAAGTTCTGGTCAGGGCAATCAGGCAAGAGAAAGAAATAAAGGGTATTCAATGAGGAAAAGAGGAAGTCAAATTGTCCCTGTTGGCAGATGACATGATTGTATATTTAGAAAACCCCATCATCTCAGCCCAAAATTTCCTTAATCTGATAAGTAACTTCAGCAAAGTCTCAGGATACATCAATGTGCAAAAAATCCCAAGCATTCCCATACAACAATAACAGACAAACAGAGAGCCAAATCATGAGTGAACTCCCATCCACAATTTTTACAAAGAGAATAAATACTTAAGAATCCAACTTACAAGGAATGCGAAGGACCTCTTCAAGGACAGCTACAAACCACTGCTCAAGGAAATAAAAGAGGATACAAACAAATGGAAGAAAATTCCATGCTCATGGATAGGAAGAATCAATATCGTGAAAATGGCCATACTGCCCAAGGTAATTTATAGATTCAATGCCATCCCCATCAAGCTAGCAAAGACTTTCTTCACAGAATTGGAAAAAACTACTTTAAAGCTTATACCGTACTAAAAAGGAGTCCACATAGCCAAGACAATCCTAAGCGAAAAGAACAAAGCTGGAGGCACCACGCTACCTGACTTGAAACTATACTACAAGGCTAAAGTAACTAAAACAGCATGGTACTTGTACCAAAACAGAGAAATAGAACAATGGAACAGAACAGAGGCCTCACAAATAACACCACACATCTACAACCATCTGATCTTTGACAAACCTGACAAAAAAAGAAGTGGGGAAGGGATTCCCTATTTAATAAATGGTGCTGGGAAAACTGGCTAGCCATATGTAGAAAGCTGAAACTGGATCCCTTCCTTACACCTTGTACAAAAATTAATCAAAGGTGGATTAAAAATTTAAATGTCAGCCCTAAAACCATAAAACCCCTAGAAGAAAACCTAGGCAATACCATTCAGGACATAGGCATGGGCAAGGACTTCATGACTAAAACACCAAAAGCAATGGCAACAAAAGCCAAAATAGACAAATGGGATCTAATTAAACTAAAGAGCTTCTGCACAGCAAAAGAAACTACCATCAGAGTGAACAGGCAACCTACAGAATAGGAGAAAATTTTTGCAACCTACCCATCTGACAAAGGGCTAATATCCAGAATCTACAAAGAACTTTAACAAATTTACAAGAAAAAAACAAACAACCCCATCGAAAAGTGGGCAAAGGATATGATCAGACATTTCTCAAAAGAAGACATTTATGCAGCCAACTGACACATGAAAAAATGCTCATCATCACTGGTCATCAGAGAAATGCAAATGAAAACCACAATGAGATACCACCTCACGCCAGTTAGAATGGTGATTAAAATGTCAGGAAACAACAGATGCTGGAGAGGATGTGGAGAACTAATAACCCTTTTACACTGTTGGTGGTAGTGTAAATTAAGTCAACCATTGTGGAAGACAGTGTGGTGATTCTTAAAGGATCTAGAACTGGAAATACCATTTGACCCAGCAATCTCATTACTGGGTATATACCCAAAGGGTTGTAAATCATTCTACTATAAAGACACATGCCCATGTATGTTTATCATGGCACTCTTCATGATAACAAAGATTTGAAACCAACCCAAATATCCATCAACGATAGGCTGGTTTAAGAAAATATGGCACATATACTCAATGGAATACTATGCAGCCATAATAAAGGATAAGTTCATGTTTTTTGCAGGGACATGGATGAGGCTGGAAACCATCATTCTTAGCAAACTATCACAAAGACAGAAAACCAAACACTGCAAGCTCTCACTCATAGGTGGGAATTGAACAATGAGAACACTTGGACACAGGGCAGGGAATATCACACACTGGGGCCTGTCAGGGGGTGGGGGCCTGGGGAAGGGATGGCATTTGGAGAAATACCTAATGTATATTACGAGTTAATGAGTGCAGCAAACCAACATGGCACATGCGTGCCTATGTAACAAATCTGCATGTTGAGCACATGTACCCTGGAACTTAAAGTATAATTAAAAAAAAAAAAAGTAATCAATGTACATTGGTATGCTGCCTTCAAGAGACCCATCTTGCATGCAATGACACCCATAGTCTCAGAATAAAGGGGTGGAGAAAAACCTTCCAAGCAAATGGAAAACAGATAAAAGCACATGTTGCAATCCTAATCTCAGACAAAACAGACTTTAAGCCAAGAAAGATCAAAAAGCACAAAAAAGGGCACTACATTAATGGTAAGGGTTCAATTTAACAAGAATACCTAACTATTTTAAATATATATGCACCCACCACAGGAGCACCCAGATTAATAAAGCAAGTTCTTAGAAATCTACAGAAGACTTATATTTTCATACAATAATTGTGGGAGACTTTAATACCCCACTGATAGCATTAGACAGATCATTGAGACAGAAAATTAACAAAGAATTTAAGACCTCAACTCAGCACTTGATTAAATAGACCTGATAGACATCTACAGAACTCTCCATCCCAAAACAACAGAATATACATTCTTCTCATTTCCACATGACCCATACTCTACATTCATTTACATAATCAGGCATAAGGCACTCCTTAGCAAATTATAAAAACTGAAATCCTAACAACCACTCTCTCAGACCACAACCCAAATTAGAAATCAGCACTAAGAAATTCACTCACAACTACAATTACATGGAAATTGAATAACCTGCTCCTGAAAGACTACTGGGTAAATGAAATTAAGGCAGAAATCAAGTTCTTTGAAACTAATGAGAACAAAGATACAACATACTGAAATCTCTGGGACACAGCTAAGGCAGTGTTAAGAGGAAAATTTATAGCAGTAAAATGCCCCAATCAAAAAGTTAGAAATATCTCAATTTAACAACCTAACATAACAAATGATAGAACTACTAGACAGAAAACGAGAAAGCTATAGAAGATCTGAAAAATGGAATCATCTAACTGGAAATAATTGACATATGTAGAACACTTCACCCCATAGCAGCAGAGTATATAGTTTTTTTCAACAACCCATAAAACATGCAACAATAGAGACCATACCTTGAGTCCTAGGAAAAAAAAATTTGAAATAGTTGAAATCTTACAGAGTATATTCTCTGACTGTAATAAAATCACTAGAAATCAATAATTGAAAGACAACAGGAAAATCTTTAAACACTTGGAATTTAAGTGACATATATAGAAATAATTCATAGGTCTAAGAGAAAATATTAAAGGAAATAAGAATGCATCGAATTGAATAACAATTAAAATGTCATAACAAAATTTGGAAGAGGTGGCTAATGCAATGCTAAGAGAGAAATTTATACTACTAAATTCTCACACTAATCTATAGTTGGGATGTTTGCTTTTCCAAACCTCATCTTGAAATTTGATTCCTAATGTTGAAGGTGGAGCCTAATGGAAGAAAAGTCATCGAGGGGAATCTCTCATGAATGGCTTGGTGCTGTCCTCTGCCCTCTTAGTAATGAGTAATTCCTTGCTATATTAGGTCCTAAGCAGCCTGAAGCTTTCACCAGATGCTCATTCTTTTAGCAAAAAGAAAAAAAGTGTGAGTAAAGTAAAGGTTTTTTCTTTATAAATTACCAAGCGTCGGGTATTCCTTTATAGCCACACAAATGGACTAAGACCCCCTAGAAAAGAAGAAAGGTCTTAAATCTGTAATCTATGTTCCTAACTCAATAAATTACATTAAAAAGAGCAAAATGAATTCAACAAGCAGCAAGATTAATAAAAGGCAGGACTAGAAACAAAATACATTTAAAAGAGTAACCAATAGAAAAATTAATAAAACAGTTAAAAATACAGTATTGTGCATTTCAAAATTGGTCAAGAGAGTAGATCCAATGTTAATTGATCTAACCACACACAAAAAAAGAGGGAGACACTAAGGCTAATTGTAAGGTGTTGAATATGATTATTACCTCTATTGTGGTGAAGGTATAATGAGTTTCACATGTGTTTAGACTCATTAAATGTATGCATTAAATATATGTAGTATGATGTATTTCAATTATACCTCAATATAGCAGTTAAATTTCTTAAAAATCTGTTTCTTCAAAAAATAGTAAAATTGATAAATCTCTAACAAGAAACACAAAGATAAAAGAAAAAAGACACACATCAGAATAACAAGAAAAAAAATAGGACTTGACTGCAGATCCTAAAAACATTTAAATTATAGTAAGGGACTAGTATGAGCAACTTTATTTTTATAAATTAGATAACATACAATAAATGACTAATTTCTCAAAAAAGGCAAACTGTGAGACCTCAACCAAGGTGAAATTGATGGCCTGGGGGGATGGAGCCAAGATGGCCGAATAGGAACAGCTCCAGTCTACAGCTCCCAGCGTGAGTGACACAGATGATGGGTGATTTCTGCATTTCCAACTGAGGTACCGGGTTCATCTCACTGGGGAGTGTCAGAGAGTGGGTGCAGGGGAGTGGGTGCAGTGCACCAAGTGTGAGCTGAAGCAGGGTGAGGAATCGCCTCACCCAGGAAGTGCAAGGGGTCCGGGAATTCCCTTTCCTAGTCAAAGAAAGGGGTGACAGATGGCACCTGGAAAATCGGGTCACTCTCACCCTAATACTGCACTTTTCCAATGGTCTTAGCAAACGGTACACCAGGAGATTATATCCCGTGCCTGGCTCAGAGGGTCCTACACCCACACAGCCTTGCTCATTGCTAGCACAGCAGTCTGAGATCAAACTGAAGGGCAGCAGTGAGGCTGGGGGAGGGGCATCCACCATAGCCAAGGCTTGAGTAGGTAAACAAAGCAGCTGGGAAGCTCGAAATGGGTGGAGCCCACCGCAGCTCAAGGAGGCCTGCCTGCCTCTGTGGACTCCAGCTCTGAGGGCAGGGCATAGCCAAACAAAAGGCAGCAGAAAACTCTGCAGACTTAAATGTCCCTGTCTGACAGCTTTGAAGAGAGTAGTGGTTCTCCCAGCACGCAGTTGGAGATCTGAGAACAGACAGACTACCTCCTCAAGTGGGTCCCTGACCTCTGAGTAGCCTAACTGGGAGGCACCCCACAGTAGGGGCAGACTGACACCCCACACGGCCAGGTACTCCTCTGAGACAAAACTTCCAGGGGAACGATCAGGCAGCAACATTTGCTGCTCACCAATATCCGCTGTCCTGCAGCCTCTGCTGTTGATACCCCAGCAAATAGGGTCTGGAGTGGACCACCAGCAAATTCCAACAGAACTGAGGCTGAGGGTCCTGGCTGTCAGAAGGAAAACTAACAAATAGAAAGGACGTCCACACCAAAACCCCATCTGTATGTCACCATAATCAAAGACCAAAGGTACATAAAACCACAAAGATGGGGAAAAAACAGAGCAGAAAAACTGTAAACTCTAAAAATCAGAGCACCTCTCCTCCTCCAAAGGAATGCAGCTCCTCACCAGCAGTGGAACAAAACTGGATGGAGAATGACTTTGACGGGTTGAGAGAAGAAGTCTTCAGACAATCAAACTATTCCGAGCTAAAGGAGGAATTTCGAACCCATGGCAAAGTAGTTAAAAACCTTGAAAAAAGATTAGATGAATGGCTAACTAGAATAACCAATGCAGAGAAGTCCTTAAAGGACCCGATGGAGCTGAAAACCATGGCACCAGAACTATGTGATGAATGCACAAGCCTCAGTATCTGATTCGATCAACTGGAAGAAAGGGTATCAGTGATGGAAGATCAAATGAATGAAATGAAGCAAGAAGAGAAGTTTGGAGAAAAAAGAATAAAAAGAAATAAACAAAGCCTCCAAGAAATATGGGACTATGTGAAAAGACCAAACCTACATCTGATTGGTGTACCTGAAAGTGATGGGGAGAATGGAACCAAGTGGGAAAACACTCTGCAGGATATTATACAGGAGAACTTCCCCAATCTAGCAAGACAGGCCAATATTCAGATTCAGGAAATACAGAGAACACCACAAAGATACCCCTCGAGAAGAGCAACTCCAAGACACATAATTGTTACATTCACCAAAGTTGAAATGAAGGAAAAAATTGTAAAGACAGCCAGAGAGAAAGGTCGGGTTACCCACAAAGGGAAGCCCATCAGACTAACAGCTGATCTCTTGGCACAAACTCTATAAACTATAAACTCTATAAGCCAGAAGAGAGTGGGGGCCAAAATTCAACATGCTTAAAGAAAAGAAATTTCAACCCGTAATTTCATATCCAGCCAAACTAATCTCCAGAAGTGAAGGAGAAATAAAATAAATAAAATAAAATAAAATAATAAAATAAAATAAATAAAATAAAATAAAATCCTTTACAGAGAAGCAAATGCTGAGAGATTTTGTCACCACTAGGCCTGCCCTAAAAGAGCTCCTGAAGGAAGCACTAAACATGGAAAGGAACAACCGGTACCAGCCACTGCAAAAACATGCCAAATTGTAAAGACCATCGAAGCTAGGAAGAAACTGCATCAACTAACAAGCAAAATAATAACTAAATAACTAAATAACTTTGGGAGGCTGAGGTGGGCGGATCATGAGGTCAGGGGATTGAGATCATCCTGGCTAACACAGTGAAACCCCGTCTCTACTAAAAATACAAAAAAATGAGCCGGGCATGGTGGCAGGCGCCTGTAAGTAGGTGGAGCTTGCAGTGAGCCGAGATCACGCCACCACCCTCCAGCCTGGGTGACAGAGCGAGACCCTGTCTCAAAAAAAAAAAAAAAGATTGAAAATTATTTAATTGGGCATTTAACTTAAGAAGTTTATGAAAGAACAATGCATTAACCTCTAAGCACAAAGAACATAGGGGAAAGTAATGAAGATATAGAAATTAATAAAATAGAAATTATAAACATAATAAAGTTGTTCAATAAGTTCAAAAGCTGGTTCTTTAAAAATACCAATACAATAGTAAAACCTGTTTAAAAAAATAGGACCCTATAAGAAGCATCATGGTCAACAAGAGTCTTATAGCAAAATATACAGAAAAAGTTTTCAAATATACAAGAGAGTGATATACCCATTATCATATTAATAAGTTTGAATACCAAGGTGAAATAATTGAGTTTTTTTTTGAGATAGAGTTTAGTTATTGTTGCCCAGGCTGGAGTGCAATGGCATGATCTTGGCTCACTGCAACCTCTGCCTCCCAAAGTGCCGGGATTAGAGGCATGAGCCACCGCACCTGGCCAATTTATTGAATTTTTATGTCAAACCTTCCAGCATGTTGAGGAAATTTTCATGAACAATATCCTTCAGTATATTTTCTAATTTGCTTGCTCTCTCTTAATGTCTTTCAGGAATGCAAGTGAGTCATAAGTTTGATCTGTTTCCATAATCCTTTATTTATCAGAGGTTTTGTATTTTAAAACATTTTTTGAAAAAATTTTGTCTGCCTATGTTGACTCAAAAGATCATTCTTTGAACTCTGAGATTCTTTCCTCAGCTTAGTCTGATCTGTTGTTAATGCTTCCAATTGCATTTTGAGATTCCTATAGTAAATTTTTCATTTCCAGAAGTTCAGTTTGGCTTTTTATTAAAATAGCTATGTCATCTTTCAACCCTTGGAATATTTTACTGTGCTCCTTGGACAGTTTTAACCTTCTCATATATCTCAATATATCTCAATGAGCTTCCTTCCCATTCAGATTCTGAATTCTATGCCTGTTATTTCAGTCATTTCAGTTTGGTTGAGGACCACTGTTGGGAAGCTAGCAGAGTCATTTGGAAGAAAGAAGACACTCTGGCTTTTAGAGTTGCCGGAGTTCTTGCACTGGGTCTTTCTCATCTGTATGGGCTGATGCTCCTTTAAACTTTGAAGCTGCTGTCCTTTGGATGGGGCTTTTTGCTTTTCTATTTGTTGATGCCCTTGAGGGTTTGGCTGTGGTGTAAGATGGGTTTAGTCAATTGACTTTATTTCTGGATGCTGTCAGTGGAACTTTCAGCTTAGCACTCCTGGGGTGCATGCTCTAACCCTGGGGGTTGGGTGGGGGGTGGAGTGCTGGAACCAAGCCTGTGGCTTTGTTCTCCTGTTCCTTGAAGTTAAACACCTGCTGCGTTGAAGGGGTCAGGGTGTCCCCAGTCTGTTAGCAACAACATTCTGCTAGGGGCTGCTGGCAAAATCACTTTGGCAAGGGGTCATAGGTCTGCAAGTGCATGAGCACCAGCACAGCTGCTGCATTTTCTCTTCAAATGCATTGGGAAAGCTTTTGCCCTATGACCTTTGGAGGAGTTTATATAACATGAGAATTATCTGGTAAAATTCAACAGAAAAACTACATGATACTGGTCCCTTTTTTAAAAGTTAGATTGTTGGTCACCTTTTAAATTTTTTCTATGATTATTGGTCTTTTCAGTTTCTCTGCTTTTTGAGTAACTTTTGATCGCTTATAGTTTCCCTTAAAATCAATTATTGCTGGGCACAGTGGCTCATGCCTGTAATCCCAGCACTTTGGGAGGCTGAGGCGGGTAGATCATCTGAGGTCAGGAGTTCAAGACCAGCCTGACCAACATGGAGAAACCTCATCTCTTCTAAAAATACAAAATTAGCCAGGCATGTTGGTGCATGCTCGTAATCCAGCTACTCAGGAGGCTGATGCAGGAGAATCACTTGAAATTGAGAGGCAGAGGTTGCGGTGAGCCGAGATTGCATCACTGCACTCCAGCCTGGGCAAAAAGAGCAAAACTCAGTCTCAAAAAAAAAAAATAAAAATAACAAAAAGAAATTCGGAGAACCCCTGTGAGATACTACAATGGCTATCCTTAAGATGCATACTACTCGGATTCTGAAAGATAAACACAAAAGAAAAAGTAGAGAAAAAAAGAAAGGTAGCAAGAGAGAAAGAGAAAATCATGTACAAAGTGAATCCTATCAGGCTAACTGCAAACATTTAACAGAAACCTTACAAGTCAGAAGAGATTGGTGGTTTATATTAAGCAACTTTAAAGAAAAGAAATTTCAACCAAGAATCTCATATCCAACCAAAACAAGTTTCATAAGCAAAGGAGAAATAAAATTCTTTTTAGACAAACAAATAATAAGGGATTTCCTTACCATCAGACCTGCCTTAAAGCAACTATACAACCAAGTCCACATAACAGCCACCTAACAAAACAATGACAGGATCAAATATTCACATATCAATATTAACCTTTAAAGTAAATCGGTTAAACACCCCATGTGAAAGACACAGAGTGGCAAGTTGGATAAAGAAGCAAGACCCAACTGTATGTTGTCCTTAAGAAACTAATCTCACATGCAGTAACACACATAGGTTCAAATTAAAGGAATAGAGAATGATCTATTGAGCAAACAGAAAACAAAAAAAGCAAGGGTTGCTATTTTTATTTCAGGCAAAACTGACTTTAAACCAACAACGGTCAAAAAAGACAAAGAAGGGCATTACATAATGGTAATGCCATTATGTAACTATCCTAAATATATATGCACTCAAAACTCAGGGACTTTGATTCATAAAACAAGTTTTCAGAGACCTATGAAGAGATTTAGATAATCACACAATAATGGAGGGAGACTTCAACACCCCAATGACAGTGTTAGAAAATTGAGGCAGAAAATTAACAAAGATATTCAGGCCCTAAACTTGACATTTCATCAAATAGACCTAACAGACATCTACAGAACACTTTACTCAACTAAAACAGAATATACATTATTCTCATCTGCACACAGTGCATATTCTAAGATCAACCACATGCTTGGCCATGAAGCAATTCTCAAAAAATTAAAAAAAAAATAATAGCAACCACACTCTTTGACCACAGTGGAATAAAAATAGAAATCAATATGAAGAAAGTCTTTCAAAACTATACAATTAAACAGAAAATAAACCATATGCTCCTGACTTACTTTTCAGTAAATAATAGAATTAAGGCTGAAATAAAAAATTATTTGAAAATTACGAAAATGAAGACACAATACACCAGAATCTAAGACACAGCTAAAGCAAAGTGAAGAGAAATGTTCATAGCACAAAATGTCTACATCAAAAAGTTAGAAAGATCTCATATTAACAACCTAAGATCACACTGAGAAGAAATAGAAAAATAAAAAAAAACAAACTGCAAAGCTAACAGAAGAAAAAAAAAATCAGAACTGAACTGAAATAAATTGAGATGCATAAATTAATATAAAAAATCAACAAAACAAAAAGTTGGTGTTTTGAAAGAGTAAATAATAATAGATCACAGTTTATATTAATTTAAAAAAAGAAAAGATGTAGATGAGCACAACCAGAAATGACAAAGAGGACCACCAAACCCAAAGAAATTACAAAAATCCTTCAGAGACTATTATGAATACTCTTCTGCACATAAACTAGAAAACCTAGCAGAAATGGATAAATTCCTAAAAATATACAACCTCCCAAGATTGAACCAGGAAGAAATTGAAGTCCTGCATAGACTAAAAAATTCTGAAATTCAATCAGTAATAAAAAATCCTGAAAAATCGCCAGACCAGAAAAAAATACTGAAAAATCCCTGGACCAGAAAAATTTATAACCACATTGTACCAGACATATAAAGAACAGCTGGTACCAATCCTACTGAAGTTATTTCAAATAATTGATGATGAAGGACTCCTTTATAACTCATTATATAAGGCCAGCATCATTCTGATACCAATCCCTGGCAGAGACACATAGATATAACAACTTCAGGCCAATATCCTCGGTGAACATAGACACAAAATTCTTCAACAAAATACTAGCAAATCAAATCCAGTAGCACATCAAAAAGCTACTCCACCATAAGCAAGTAAGCTTTACTCATGGGATGAAATGTTGGTTCAACATATGCAAATCAATAGATATAATTCACCCTATAAACAGAACTAAAAACAAAAAAAAAGACCATTATTAGATACAGAAAAGGCTTCTGATAAAATTCAACATTGCTTTATGTTAAAATTCCTCAACAAACTTGGCACTGAATGAACATACCTCAAAATAATAAGACACCTATTCTATTGAAAAAATATTTAAAAATATAAATTAAAAGGAATAAATAAATAAATAAAATAGAAATAAAAAATTGAAATAGACCTATTTCTTCTAGGTGTGTTCTTAGGTTGTTAATTTGAGATATTTCTAACTTTTTGATGTAGATATTTTTTGCTATGAACATTCCTCTTCACCTTGCTTTAGCTGTGTCTTTTAGAGTCTGGTATATTTTATCTTTGTTTTCATTATTTTCAAATAATTTTTTATTTCAGCCTTAATTTTATTATTTACTGAAAAGTAATTCAGGAGCAGGTTGTTTATTTTCTGTTTAATTGTACGGTTTTGAAAGGATTTCTTGGTATTGATTTCTATTTTTATTCCACTGTGGTCAAAGAGTGTGGTTGCTGTTATTTTGTTGTTGTTGTTTTTTAATTTTTTGAGAATTGCTTCATGGCCAAGCATGTGGTTGATCTTAGAATATGCACTGTGTGCAGATGAGAATAATGTATATTCTGTTTTAGTTGAGTAAAGTGTTCTGTAGATGTCTGTTAGGTCTATTTGATGAAATGTCGAGTTTAGGGCCTGAATATCTTTGTTAATTTTCTGCCTCAATTTTCTAACACTGTCATTGGGGTGTTGAAGTCTCCCTCCATTATTGTGTGATTATCTAAATCTCTTCATAGGTCTCTGAAATAGGCAAACCCACAGCCAACATTGTAATGAGTGGGCAAAAGCTGGAAGCATTACCGTTTAGAATTATGACAAGTCAAGGATGCCCAATCTCACCACTTCTATTCAACATAATACTGGAAGTCCTAGCCAGTGCAATCAAGCAAGAGAAAGAAATAAAGGGCATTCATATAGTAAGAGAAGAAGTCAAATTATCTCTCTTCACAGAAGATAAAATTCTATACCTCAAGAAACACCACATTCTCTGGCCAAAGGCTCCTAGACCTGATAAACAACTTCAACAAAGTTTCAGGATACAAAATCAATGTACGAAAATTAGTACCATTTCTATATGCCAGCAGCATCCACCCTGAGAGCCAAATCAAGAACACAGTTTCATTCTCAATAGCCAAAACACAATAAAGTACCTAGGAATACAGCTAACCAGAGAGGTGAATTATCTTTACCGTAAGAATTAATTACAAAACACTTCTGAAAGAAATCGGAGATGACACAAAAAAATGGAAAATCATCATATTCACAGATAGAATAAATATTGTTAAATTGGTGTTACTACCCACAGAAATATACAGATTCAATGCATTTCTATCAAACTGCCAATATTATTTTTCACAGTACTAGAAAAAACTATTCTAAAATTCATATGGAACAAAAAATAGACCAAATAGTCAAGTAATTCTTAGTGAAAAGAACAAAGCAAGAGGCATCACACTACCGTACTTCAAAGTATACTACAAGGTTTGAATAACCAAGACAGCATGGTATTTGCATTGAAACAGACACATAGACCTACGTAACAGAATAAAGAACCCAGAAATAAAGCTCCACACCTACAACCATTTGATGTTTGACAAAGCTGACAGAAATGAACAATGGGAAAGAACTCCCTACTCAATAAATGATGTCTGGATAACTGGCCAGCCATATGTAGAAGATTGAAAGTGGACCCCTTCCTGTCATCATATACAAAAATCATCTCAAGATGGGTTAAAACTTTAAATGTGAGACCTAAAACTTAAAAAAAAAACTAGGAAAAACCTAGCACATACCATTCCAGACTTAGACCTTGGCAAAGATTTCATGACAAAGTCTCCCAAAATAATCACAATAAAAACAAAAATTAACAAGTGGGATCTAATTAAATAAAAAGTTCTACATAGCAAACAACAACAAAAAGAATCAACAGTGCAAAAAACAACTTACAGAATGAGAGAACATATTCACAAAATATGCATCCAACTAAGGTCTAATATCCAGAATCTATAAGGAAGTCAAACAAATCAACAAGCAAAAAACAACCCCATTAAAAAACAGGGAAAAGCATGAACAAACACTTTCAAAAGAAGACATACACATAATAAGCATTTGAAAAAATGCTCAACATCACTAATCTTTAGAGAAATGCAAATCAAAACCACAATGTGATACCATTTCAAATAGGTCAGAATGGCTATTAAAAATTCAGAAAATATCAGACGTCAGCAAGGTTGAAGAGAAAAGGGAATGCCTATATTCTGCTGGTGGGAATGTAAATTGTTCTCAATGAACTTAAAATGGAATTACCATTCAATCCAGAAATCCCCTTACTGGATATATACCCAAAGGAACATAAATCATTCTACCAAGAAGACACATGCACTCATATATTTATCACAGCTCTATTCATAATTGCAAAGACATGAAATCAACCTAGATACTCATCAATGGTGAACTGGATAATGAAAATGTGGTGCACATATACCATGGAATACTACAGGCCATTAAGAAAAAATGAGATCATGTCCTTCACAGCAAAATGGATGTGGCTGAAGACCATTATCCTAAGTGAATTAATGCAGAAGCAGAAAACCAAACACCACATCTTCTCACTTATAAGTGGGAGCTAAACACTGAGTACACATGGACACAAAGAGGGGAACAATAGACACTAGGGCCTACTTTAGGGAAGAGGATGGGCAAAGGGGAGGATCAAAA
Organism: Homo sapiens; assembly: GCF_000001405.40. Classification (NCBI taxonomy): domain Eukaryota; kingdom Metazoa; phylum Chordata; class Mammalia; order Primates; family Hominidae; genus Homo; species Homo sapiens. Next base: position 56,412,485 of record NC_000023.11, on the reverse strand, counting down.
AGTTACTTATGGGGTGCTATGCTCACTGCCTGGGTGATGAAATTATTTGTACACCAGTCCCCAGGGACATGTAATTTACCCATGTAACAAACCTGCACGTATGCCCCCTGAACTTAAAATAAAAGTTGGGAAAGAGAAAACAGAAAAAAAAACATAGTCCTGATACCAAAATCAAATGAGAAGCGTGCACAGCAAAAGAATTATATGCCAATCTCACTGATGAATACATTTTTAAATATCCAAACACCCCAAATATTTACTTGATTTCAGTAAAGAATTCAAAGAATAATACAGCTAACATCTATTAATGTAATTCACTATATTAAAAATTTAAAGCATGTACCTTCTCCGCAACAAAATGCAGTACCCATTCCTGAGTCATCCCTCCCTCTCCAACATACAAAGAAAACTGGAATGAAAGGAAACTTATTTAACTAAAGGGAATCTACCAGAAACTTACTGTAAACATCATATTCTATAGTGCCATATCCTAAAGGTGACTCTAGTTTCTATCCGTATAATCAAGAGGACTTATTAAAACACAGATTGCTGGGACAGATGCCCAAAGTTTCTATGTAGTTAAACAGGATTGGGATGGGATGAAGGAATTTTTATTTCTGTCAAATTCTTGGGACATGCAAATGTTGCTGCTCCAGGGACCATATTTTGAGAACCATTGACTTAGAAATATACTGTTGTGTGGGCCCAGTTACTAGGCTTTCTGTGTTCTCAGCAATATGCACTGCTGAGGAAGAGAAGAAACCAGAATCATATAGGGATGGGAAAAACAGTAGTCAGTAGTCCTAGCAAATGTGATATAGCTATTGGGATGGATCTTAGTATTATAAACAAGTATAATTATAGGGCCAAAATGGAATAGCACTCTCAGAAGTTATGCAGGCATTATTATCCGAAGGGAACAAATACATTGAGTAATATTGCTGCAGAAGGATCTTGGCAATAGGTGTTACTCTGACTCAAAAGAACCATTGTGGAGGGTAGCTGGCAAGATGACCGAATAGGAACAGCTCCCGTCTGTAGCTCCCAGTGAGATCAAGGCAAAAGCTGGGTGATTTCTGCATTTCCAACTGAGGTACCCAGCTCATTTCATTGGGACTGGTGAGACAGTGAGTACAGCCCACGGAGGGTAAGTCAAAGCAGGGTGGGGCATTGACTCCCCCGGGAAGTGCAAGGAGTCAGGGAACTCCCTTCACTAGCCAAGGGAAGCCATGAGGGACTGTGGCATGAGGGATGGTGCATTCTGACTCACATACTGTGCTTTTCCCATGGTCTTCACAATGCACAGACCAGGAGATTCCCTCAAGTGCCTACACAACCAGGGCCCTGGGTTTCAAGCACAAAACTGGGTGGCTGTTTGGGCAGACACCGAGCTACCTGCAGGAGTTTATTTTTCATACTCCAGACGTGCCAAGAAAGCCAGTGAGACAGAACTCTTCACTCCCTTGGAAAGGGGGCTGAAGCCAGAAAGCCAAGTGATCTAGCTCAAAGGATCCTAACCCCATGGAGCCCAGCAAGCTAAGATCCACTATCTTGAAATTCTTGCTGCCAGCACAGCAGTCTGAAGTCGACCTGGATGCTCTAGCTTGGTAGGGGGTAGGGCATCACCATTACTGGGGTTTCAGTAGACGATTTTCCCCTCCCAGTGTAAACAAAGCTGCCAGAAGTTCGAACTGGGTGGAGTCCACCATAGCTCAGTAAAGCTGCTGTAAACAGACTGCCTCTTAGATTCCTCCTCTAGGGACAGGGCATCTCTGAAAGAAAGGCAGCAGACCCAGTCAGGGGCTTAGAGATAAAACTCCCATCTCCCTGGGACAGAGCACCTGGGGAAAGGGGTGGCTGTGGGTACAGCTTCAGCAGACTTAAATATTCCTGCCCGCCAGCTCTAAAGAGCAGCGAATCTCCTAGCACAATGCTCAAGTTCTGCTAAGGGACAGACTACCTCTTCAAGTGGGTCCCTGACTCCTGTGCCTCCTGACTGGGAGACACCTCCCAGCAGGAGTTGACAGACAACTCATACAGGAGAGCTCTGGATGGCATGTGGCAGGTATCCCTCTGAGATGAACCTTCCAGAGGAAGAAACAGGCAACAATGTTTGCTGTTTTGCAGCCTCTGCTGGTGATACCCAGGCAAACAGGGTCTGGAGTGGACCTCCAGCAAACTCCAACAGACCTGTAGCAGAGGGACCTGACTGTTAGAAGGAAAACTAACAAACAGAAAGAAATAGCATCAACATAAACAAACAAACAAAAAAAGTCCACACAAAAACCCCATTTGAAGGTCACCAACATCAGAGACCAAAGGTAGATAAATCCATGAAGATGAGGAAAAACCAACACAAAAAGGCTGAAAATTCCAAAAAGCAGAATGCCTCTTTTCCTCCAAAGGATCAGAACTCCATGCCAGCAATGGAACAAAACTGGACGGAGAATGAGTTTGATGAATTGACAGAAGTAGGCTTCAGAAGGTGGGTAATAACAAACTCCTCCGAGCTATTGGAGCATGTTCTCATGCAATGAAAGGAAGCTAAGAACCTGGAAAACAGGTTAAAGAAATTGCTGACTAGAATAACCAGTTTAGAGAAGAACATAAATGACCTGATGGAGCTGAAAAACACATGATGAGAACTTCGTGAGACATGCACAAGTATCAATAACCATATCGATCAAGCAAAAGACAGATATCAGAGATTGAAGATCAACTTAATGAAAAAAAGCATGAAGACAAGATTAGAGAAAGAAGAATGAAAAGGAATGAACAAAGCCTCCATGAAATATGGGACTATGTGAAAACACCAAACCTACATTTGATTGATGTAAGTGGAAGTGATGGGGAAAATGGAACCAAGCTGGAAAACACTCTTTTATCCAGAATTTCCCCAACCTAGCAAGACAGGACAACATTCAAATTCAGGAAATACAGAGAACATCATGAAGATACTCCTCGGAAGATCAACCCCAAGACACATAATCGTTAGATTCACCAAGGTTGAAATGGAGAAAAAAATGTTAACACAGCCAGTGAGAAAGATCACATTACCCACAAAGGGAAGCCCATCAGACTAACAGTGTATCTCTCTGCAGAAACCCTACAAGCCAGAAGAGAGTGGAGGCCAATATTCAACATTCTGAAAGAAAAGATTTTTCAACCCATAATTTCATATCCAGCCAAACTCAGCTTCATAAGTGAAGGAGACATAAAATCCTTTACAGACAAGCAAAGCATAAGAGATTTTGTCACCATCAGGCCTGCCTTACAAGAGCTCTTGAAGGAAGCACTAAATATGGAAAGGAAAAACTGGTACCAGCCACTGCAAAAATATACCAAATTGTAAAGACCATCAACACCATGAAGAAACTGCATCAACTAATGGGCAAAATAACCAGCTAGCATCATAATGACAGATTCAAATTCACACATAACAATATTAACCTTAAATGTAAATGGGCTAAATGCCCCAATTAAAAGACACAGAGTGGCAAATTGGATAAAGAGCCAAGACCCATCAGTGTGCTGTATACAGGAGACTGATCTCCCATGTGAAGACACATATGGGATCAAAATAAAGGGATGGAGATATATGGAAATCAAAAAGTAGCAGGGGTTGCAATCCTAGTCTCTTATAAAACAGACTATAAACCAACAAAGATCACAAAAGAAAAAGAAGGGCATTACAAAATGGTAAAGGCATCAATGCAAAAAGAAGAGCTAATTATCATATATATATGCACCCAATATGGGAGCACCCAGATTCATAAAGGAAGTTCTTAGAGACCTACAAAGAGAATTAGACTCCCACACAATACTAGTGGAAGACTTTAACTCTTCACTGTCAATATTGGACAGATCAATGAGACAGAAAATTAACAAGGATATTCAGGACTTTAACTCAGCTCTGGACCAAGCAGACCTAATAGACATCTACAGAACTCTCCACCCCAAATCAACAGCATATACATCCTTCTCAGCACTACATCACACTTGTTCTAAAATTGACCACATAATTGGAAGTAAAACACTCCTCAGCAAATGCAAAAGAACAGAAATTATAACAAACAGTCTCTTGGACTACAGTGTAATCAAATTAGAACTCAGGATTAAGAAACTCACTCAAAACTGCACAAATACATGGAAACTGAACAACCTGCTCCTGAATGACTACTGGGGAAATAATGAAATTCAGGGAGAAATAAATCAATTCTTTGAAACCAATGAGAACAATGACACAACATACCAGAATATCTGTAGAACAGCTAACGCAGTGTTTAGAGAGAAATTTAAAACGTTAATGCCCACAGAAGAAAGCAGGAAAGATCTAAAATCAATACCCAACATCAAAATTAAAAGAACTAGAGAAGCAAGAACAGACAAATTCAAAAGCTAGCAAAAGCCAAAAAATAACTAAGATCAGAGCAGAAATGAAGGAGCTAGAGACATGAAAAACCCTTCAAAAATATCAATAAATCCAGGAACAGGTTTTTTGAAAAAATTAAAAATAGACCACTAGCCAGACCAAATAAAGATGAAAAGACAGAAGAATCAAATAGACACAATAAGAAATGATAACGGAGATATCACCAGTGATCCCACAGGACTACAAACTACCATCAGAGAATACTATAAACACCTCTATGCAAATAAACTAGAAAATCTAGAAGAATTGTATAAATTCCTGGACACATACACCCTCCCAAGACTAAATCAGGAAGAAGTCAAATCCATGCACAGACGAATAACAAGTTTGAAAGTTGAGGCAGGCCGGGCATGGTGGCTCATGCCTGTAATCCCACCACTTTGGGAGGCTGAGGCAGGCAGATCATGAGTTCAGGAGATTGAGAGCATCCTGGCTAACACAGTGAAACCCTGTCTCTACGAAAAATACAAAAAAAAATTAGCCAGGAGTGGTGGTGGGCACGTGTAGTCCCAGATACTCAGGAGGCCGAGGCAGGAGAAAGGCTTGAACCCAGGAGGCAGAGCTTGCAATGAGCCCAGATTGTCCCACTGCACTCCAGCCTGGGCAACAGAGCGAGACTCTGTCTCAAAAAACAAAAACAAAAACAAAAACAAAAAAAAAAGAAAGTTGGGGCAGTAATTAATAGCCTACCAACCAAAAAAAGCCCAGGACCAGACAGATTCACAGCCAAATTCTGCCAGAATTACAAAGAGGAGCTGGTGCCATTCCTTCTGAAACTATTCTAAACAATGGAAAAAGAGGGACTCCTCCCTAACTCATTTTATGAAGCCAGCATCTCCTGATTCCAAAACCTGGCAGAGATACAACAAAAAAAGAAAATTTCAGGCCAATATCCCTGGTCAACATCGAGGCAAAAATCCTCCATAAAATACTGGCAAACTGAATCCAGCAGCACATCAAAAAGCTTATCCACCATAATCAAGTGGGCTTCATCCCTGAGATGCAAAGCTGGTTCAACATATGCAAATCAATAAACATAATCCATCACATAAACAGAACCAATGACAAAAACCACATGATTGTCTCAATAGATGTAGAAAAGGCTTTCAATAAAATTCAACTCTTCTTCATGTTAAAAACTCTCAATAAACTAGGCATTGATGGAACATACCTCAAAATAATAAGAGCTATTTATGACAAACCCACAGCCAATATCATACTGAATGGTCAAAAGCTGGAAGCATTCCATTTGAAAACCAGAACAAGACAAGGACGCCCTCTCTCACCACTCCTATTCAACATAGTATTGGAAGTTCTGGCAAGGGCAATCAGGCAAGAGAAAGAAATAAAGCATATTCAAATAGGAAGAGAGGAAGTCAAGTATGTCTCTGTTTGCAGATGACGAGATTGTATATTTAGAAAACCCCATTGTCTCAGCCCAAAATCTTCTTATGCTGATAAGCAACTTCAGTAAAGTCTCTGAAAACAAAATCAATGGCAAAAATCACAAGCATTCCTATACACCAATAATAAAAAAGAACTACAAACCACTGATCAAGGAAATAAGAGAGGACACAAACAAATGGAAAATTAGAAAAACTACTTTACATTTCATATGGAACCAAAAAAAGAGCCTGTATAGCCAAGACAATCCTAAGCAAAAAGAAAAAGCTGGAGGCATCACACTACCTGACTTCAAACTACACTGTAAGGCCACAGTAACCAAAACAGCATGGTACTGGTACCAAAACAGATATCTAGACCAGTGGAACAGAACAGAGGCCTCAGAAATAATGCCACACATTTACAACCATCTGATCTTTGAGAGACTCGACCAAAAAAAGCAATAAGGAAAGGATCCCTTATTCGATAAATGGTGTTGGGAAAACTGGCTAGCCATAGGCAGAAAACTGAAACCGGACTCCTTCCTTACACCTTATACAAAAATTAACTCAAGGTGGGTTAACGACTTAAACCTAAAACCTAAAACCATAAAAACCCTAGAAGAAAACCTAGGCATTACCATTGAGGACATAGGCATGGGCAAAGATTTCATGACTCAAACACCAAAAGCAAAGGCAACAAAAGCCAAAATTGACAAATGGGATCTAATTTAAAGGACTTCAGCACAACAAGAGAAACTATCATCAGAGTGAACAGGTAACCTAGAGAATGGGAGAAAATTTTTGCAATCTGTCCATCTGACAAAGGGCTAATATCCAGAATCTACAAGGAATTTAAACAAATTTACAAGAAAAAAAAATCCCATCAAAAAGTGGGTGAAATATATTAACAGACACTTCTCAAAAGAAGACATTTATGCAGCTAACAAACATATGAAAAAAAGCTCATCATCACTGGTCATTAGAGAAATGCAAATCAAATCCACAATGAAATACCATCACATGCCCGTTAGAATGGTGATCTTCAAAAAGTCAGGAAACAACAGATGCTGGAGAGGATGTAGAGAAATAGGAATGCTTTCACACTGTTGGTGGGAGTGTAAATTAGCTCAACCATTGTGGAAGAAAGTGTGGCGATTCATCAAGGATCTTGGACCAGAAATACCATTTGACCCATTACTGGGTGTATACCCAAAGGATTATAAATAATTCTACTATAAAGACACATGCACATATATGTTTATTACAGCACTATTCACAATAGCAAAGACTTGGAACCAACCCAAATGCCCATCAATGATAGACTGGATAAAGAAACTGTGGCACATATACACCATGGAATACTATGTAGCCATAAAAAAGGATGAGTTCATGTCCTTTGTTGGGACATGGATGAAGCTGGAAACCATCATTCTCAGCAAACTAACACAAGAGCAGAAAACGAAACACCACATGTTGTCACTTATAAGCGGGAGTTGAACAATGAGAAAATGGGGATACAAGGAGGGGAATATCACACACCAGGGCCTTTGGGGGGGTGGAAGCTAGAGGAGGGACAGCATTAGGAGAAATACCTAATGTAGATGACAGGTTGATGGGTGCAGGAAACCACCATGCCGTGTGTACACCTATGTAACAAACCTGCAGTTTCTCCACATGTATCCCAGAACTTAAATTATAAGAACAACAACAAAAAAGAACTATTGTGGCTATCCACACCACTCCTCCACATCCCTATATGCCAAACTACCTCTAAACTCTTATGGAACAAATGGACATCTAGTGTTTTAGAATAATCTTTTCAACTACTACACATCACCTGCTTGTACTTTACTTTGTTATCTATGTAACATTCTTTGTTTAATACCAACCTAGTGTCCAGTCATACTTAGCTTTGTTTGTTTTGATGCATGTGTCTACTACTTTCCAGCCCTTAACCCTATCACAGTCCACTAAACTTGTGTTATACCGAATTTATTTCAAAAATGCTGATCTAAATAATCTAGTTTTCTCATCTGTGGTAGGCAAAATAATGACTCTCCCTCCCATGACACCTGAAGATGTCCACACCCTAATCCCTGGAACCTATAAACATGCTACCTTACATGGCAAAAGAGACTTTGCAGGCATGTTAAAGTTATGTGTTTTGAAATGGAAAGATTGTCCTGGATTATCCCTGTGAGTTCAATCTAATCATATATACCAAGAGAAGCTTTCTTAGCTGAAGTCAGAGAGATGGTACTGAAGAAGATGTAAGGAAGATTGGAAGCATGAAAGAGACTTAACTTGGATTTGTTAGTTTTGAAGATTGAGAAGAGGGGCACAATCCAAGGAATATAGGTGACATCTAGTAATTGGGAAAAGCCCTCGGCTGACAGCCAGCAAGGAAACAGAAACTTCAGTTATACAACCACATGAATTAGATTCTTTAAAATCCTAGATGAGCAAAGTAACAGATTCTCTTCCAGAGCTTCCAGAAAAGAAAACACTCTTGCAAACAACTTGATATTAACCTAATGAGACCTGTGCTGGACTTCTGACCTCCAAAATTGTTACTTTAAGCCAATAAATTTGCGGTAATTTTCTATGGCAGCAATAGAAAATTGCTACATTATTTTACAGATAAGGAGGCAGACCCAGTGAACAGGAATGACTTCCCCAGGGTTACATTACTTGACAAAAGCAGATCTGGGAGTAAAACATTTGAAATATTTTCTACTTAATAGGTATTGCTGTATTTCAGCCATGGTAAATCTGTTTCACATATTGACTATTGCAATTCTCATCTAAGGTAATAATTTCTGGTCATTTATAATGATAAAGGTCTTTAAACAGGAATTTAAATCAAGGATTGTAACACTCACTCTACAAATTGTTCAAACAATTTAAAGAACTAATTTGAGCTAAACTCAACATGCAGCACTGAGCTTGCTGGAATTTGGTGGGAACCCCTCAAATTATGCCTGTTAATAGCCTCAATGCTAGGCAGAAATCAGGAATATGCTAATATTCCTGATCTCAATTAGTTGTCATTTCATTGGCCAATTAGAAACAACTAAAGAGGCTTTTGAGTGTCCATAGAAATTCATACAGATGTGTGCTTCATGTGTTCAGGGACTACAGGACAACAAGATAATGCACAGATACATTCCTAAGGCAATACAGGCTTGTGCATAATGTCTCCGCTTTTTTGTGTAAACAATTGGAAACACACACATAAGTACACATTTAATGCTGCAAACATTGGAGTGGGAACAAAAGAGCTGAGCTGATAATCAGGATTCATTGACTCAGTACATGCATGTGGGCACTCATTCATTCCCCAATACTGGTTCTACCCGTGCACACATACTGTAAGCTTAGGTTTCCTTGCTAGCTTCAGCTGTGGGGTTTAAGCATTTCAGAGGGAAGAAATGGTCAGCAATAGCGTGGGAAGTTCTCTCAGAATGAAGACCAATATCTAAATAAAAGTTTTCTTCCTTAGTGAAAAATAATGACGTTTTTACTACCAGTCATTAGGATTATTACTTGGCATTTTCTATTCAGAAAGGTAAAACTATAACTCATAAAATGATTCAGTCCATCAGGATTTAAATTCAGTGTGTCCAAGACCTGCAAGGGGACATGTCCCTTCTAAATAGCATTACAACTCTTTAAAGATATTAACAAATGTTTAAATTTAAAAAATAGCAAATTCCTATAGAAGTTATTGTTACCAGCAGATAAGCAGCCTAGGTAAGATCAGCCCCAGCAAGGCTTAGTTGGCAATCATGAAGCTGATCTCACACATTCAAAAATAAAAGAGCTTTCCACTGCTCCTACACCTCCCTTTTTCTCAAGACATGATGGCAGGACAACTTCAAACAATGGAACTAATTGACATTGACCCCTGAGAGGTGGGCAAAAGAGAGCTGTATTACATAATTAACCTCACTGGTGTAGACACATGGTGGTTCAGCAGAGATTAACTTCTGGTCCCTAACAATAATAAAATTGAAGTTCATAGGGGCTTTTCCCAGGAATAAAGGCAGGGCTTTTCTGGTCTTTCTGTATCCCATGATCAAGAGATGACTATTCTAGCTTGGACTCAGGAGAATTGGCAATTATTAGAACAACAATGAGAGTAATTAACTTTCATTAAATTTTTTCTATGTGCCAGATACTATACTAGGTACCTTACATAGATTATCTCATGTAATCATCACAATACAGTATGATGTAGATACTACTAGTATCCAGATTATACTGATAATGAAACTGAGCCACAGAGAGGTCCAAGCACTCACAACACATAAACTGTTCAGAATTCAAAACCAGAAACTTGATTCCACTAAATATATGCCTCTCAATACAACCTCTCAAGATATGATTATACTACAACTTTATAATGAAGTATCATTAGATTGATGGCGATGATGACAATAATAAATTTTTATCTTTCTATAAAACTCTTCAGTTTACAAAGGTTTTTTTTTGCATTTCTTTTTGTTGCTTTATTATTTTATTTTCTCAACAATCCTAGGGTTTAGGAGCTATTATCCACATTCATTTCACAAATGAAAAAAAAAATGTTGTTCAGGAAGGTTAAGTACTTTACCCAAAATCATATAGCTAGGCAAGGGCCAAGATAAACTTTGAACTCAAATTGTCTACCTCCCTAACCTGCCTTCTTAACCACTATGCTCTCTGAGCTGAGAAATTTTATCATTGTCACTCTTCTTTCCTGAAGCTGCATCACTGTGCTGCTTCCAATGTAGAAGTAAAATTGGGTAGATTTGGGATCAGCATATTTAAACTCAGAGAGCAAAACGATCTTTAAATGAGAGCAGCAGGAGGAAGACAAATGCCCAGACAGACAGGGGCAGGTCCTCAGTGAAAGACCACCTTCAAGTTGAAGACAATTTAAAGCACAGCTACAAGCCCCAGGTAAATTTATGGACCAGATAGAGAACTTCTCTTTTCATTTGGCACACTTTCCTCTAACTGATCTCCACGATTTACCTATTTTATATACACCTATCTTTCCCCAATTTTTTTACACTGCCCTGCACACTTTTCGGTGGTGCCTTTGTTTTAACTTTTTTTACTTACTCACAAACCTGTCAGCACACACTCCCCTAATCTCAACCCATAAAATCCCCAGACCTAGCCACACTGGGAGAGAAACTACCCAACTTTGGGTGGGGTCCTCCCCGGCATCTCTTCGCTGCTGAGAGCTGTTCTGTCACTCAATGAAATTCGTCTCTGCCCTTCTTACCCTTCAATTGTCAGTGTATCATCATTCTTCTAGGGAGTGGGACAAGAACTCGGAAACCATGAAACGTGGGTGTGAGCTATAACACAGGTGGGCTGGGGCATGCCAAGCTGTGGGCTGAGCTGGCATGCAAGCCAGGCATGACCCAGCTGGGCTGAGTGGGTGGGCCATCTTCTGCAGCATGTAGTGTGCCCAAGCAAGGCTCAGGCAGAGATGTCACCAACCAGAGGTCACCAGCTGGCAGGGTGACCAAGAAAAATCCTGTGTCACATCTATGTGCCTGTCCAGGATTCATCAGTGAGTGTGGACTTAAAACCTCTTTTACTTTTGTTTCCAAGCCTTCTTATCCTCAGACTTTTTCTGAAAACAGATGGAGCACCAGGTCTGTGTTAGCCAATTAAAAGCAAATGGCACAGCTGCATCAGAGGCCACCACTCGTCACCCATCACTGTCAGGAGTTGAAAATGTCAGCTACAAACACCTCTATGCAAATAAACTAGAAAATCTAGAAGAAATGGATAAATTCCTCGACACATACACTCTCCCAAGACTAAACCAGAAAGAAGTTGAATCTCTGAATAGACTAAAAACAGGAGCTGAAATTCTGGCAATAATCAATAGCTTACCAACCAAAAAGAGTCCAGGACCAGATGGATTCACAGCCGAATTCTACCAGAGGTAAAAGGAAGACCTGGTACCATTCCTTCTGAAACTATTCCAATCAATAGAAAAAGAGGGAATCCTCCCTAACTCATTTTATGAGGCCAGCATCATCCTGATACCAAAGCCTGGCAGAGACACAACCAAAAAAGAGAACTGTAGACCAATACCTTTGATGAATATTGATGCAAAAATCCTCAATAAAATACTGGCAAGCCGAATCCAGCAGCACATCAAAAAGCTTATCCACCATGATCAAGTGGGCTTCATCCCTGGGATGCAAGGCTGGTTCAATATACACAAATCAATAAATGTAATCCAGCATATAAACAGAACCAAAGACAAAAACCACATTATTATCTCCATAGATGCAGAAAAGGCCTTTGACAAAATTCAACAACACTTCATGCTAAAAACTCTCAATAAATTAGGTATTGATGGGACGTATTTCAAAATAATAAGAGCTATCTATGACAAACCCACAGCCAATATCATAATGAATGGGTAAAAACTGGAAGCATTCCCTTTGAAAACTGGCACAAGACAGGGATGCCCTCTCTCACCACTCCTATTCAACATAGTGTTGGAAGTTCTGGCAAGGGCAATCAGGCAGGAGAAGGAAATAAAGGGTATTCAATTAGGAAAAGAGGAAGTCAAAATGTCCCTGTTTGCAGATGACATGATTGTATATCTAGAAAACCCCATTGTCTCAGCCCAAAATCTCCTTAAGCTGATAAGCAACTTCAGCAAAGTCTCAGGATACAAAATCAATGTACAAAAATCACAAACATTCTTATACACCAATAACAGACAAACAGAGAGCCAAATCATGAGTGAACTCCCATTCACAATTGCTTCAAAGAGAAAAAAATATCTACGAATCCAACTTACAAGGGATGTGAAGGACCTCTTCAAGGAGAACTACAAACCACTGCTCAAGGAAATAAAAGAGGATACAAACAAATGGAAGAACATTCCATGCTCATGGGTAGGAAGAATCAATATCATGAAAATGGCCATACTGCCCAAGGTAATTTACAGATTCAATGCCATCCCCATCAAGCTACCAATGACTTTCTTCACAGAATTGGAAAAAACTACTTTAAAGTTCATATGGAACCAAAAAAGAGCCCACATCAACAAGTCAATCCTAAGCCAAAAGAACAAAGCTGGAGGCATCACACTATCTGACTTCAAACTATACTGCAAGGCTACAGTAACCAAAACAGCATGGTACTGGTACCAAAACAGAGATATAGACCAATGGAACAGAACAGAGCCCTCAGAAACAATGCCACATATCTACAACTATCTGATCTTTGACAAACCTGAGAAAAACAAGCAATGGGGAAAGGATTCCCTATTTAATAAATGGTGCTGGGAAAACTGGCTAGCCATATGTAGAAAGCTGAAACTGGATCCCTTCCTTACACCTTATACAAAAATCAATTCAAGATGGATTAAAGACTTAAAAGTTAGACCTAAAACCATAAAAACCCTAGAAGAAAACCTAGGCTTTACCATTCAGGACATAGGCATGGGCAAGGACTTCATGTCTAAAACACCAAAAGCAATGGCAACAGAAGCCAAAATTGACAAATGGGATCTCATTAAACTCAAGAGCTTCTGCACAGCAAAAGAAACCACCATCAGAGTGAACAGGCAACCTACAAAATGGGAGAAAATTTTCGCAACCTACTCATCTGACAAAGGGCTAATATCCAGAATCTATAATGAACTCAAACAAATTTACAAGAAAAAAACAAAGAACCTCATCAAAAAGTGGGCAAAGGACGTGAACAGACACTTCTCAAAAGAAGACATTTATGCAGCCAAAAAAACATGAAAAAATGCTCACCATCACTGGCCATCAGAGAAATGCAAATCAAAACCACAATGAGATACCATCTCACACCAGTTAGAATGGCGATCATGAAAAAGTCAGGAAACAACAGGTGTCGGAGAGGATGTGGAGAAATAGGAACACTTTTACACTGTTGGTGGGACTGGAAACTAGTTCAACCATTGTGGAAGTCAGTGTGACGATTCCTCAGGGATCTAGAACTAGAAATACCATTTGACCCAGCCATCCCATTACTGGGTATATATGCAAAGGACTATAAATCGTGCTGCTATAAAGACACATGAACACGTATGTTTATTGTGGCATTATTCACAGTAGCAAAGATTTGGAACCAACCCACATGTCCAACAATGATAGACTGGATTAAGAAAATGTGGCACATATACACCATGGAATACTATGCAGCTATAAAAAATGATGAGTTCATGTCCTTTGTAGGGACATGGATGAAATTGGAAATCATCATTCTCAGTAAACTATGGCAAGAACAAAAAACCAAACACTGCATATTCTCACTCATAGGTGGGAATTGAACGATGAGAACACATGGACACAGGAAGGGGAACATCACACTCTGGGGCCTGTTGTGGGGTGGGGGGAGGGGGGAGGGATAGCATTGGGAGATATACCTAATGCTAGATGACGAGTTAATAGGTGCAGCACACCAGCATGGCACATGTATACATATGTAACTAACCTGCACATTGTGCGCATGTACCCTAAAACTTAAAGTATAATAATAAAAATAAAATAAAATAAAAGTCCTCAGTAATCATAAAAAAAAAAGAAAATGTCAGCTTTGTTCCAATCCCGTATTTTTTAATGGCATTTTTATTCTTTCTTTTATGGCACGTATCTGTTCTTTATATACAATATTAAGGGTGTTGTTGCAAACTACAGAAATATTACTGGGTAGAATGGGCACTTTCCCAGTCCTCAGAAATGTAATTCAGAGCAATGTGGTTTCTGTCTATTCTTAGAACTGGGGAGGATGTAGTGATTTCAAGGCTTTTTTACCCTGTTAAAGGAAACCATTTGCATAGAGCAAGTGGCTTTTTCCCTGAGGTGGCTCCCCCTCCTCTGCACCTATGCTGTTTTCTTCTCTTTTCTCCACCATGTCAGGAGTTCATATAGCCTTGTAAATACAGGGAGCTTTTTAATGAAGTTTCTTTTTTTCTCTTTGGGAGGCACCTTACTAGACCAGGTCCCAAATTTACAGGACTTCCCTTCTCTCTCTAGTTTGAGGAGGGTCTGGCTCCACAGCTTCACCTTAGCACTCTTATTATGAAAAGGAAGCAATGGAGGAGAAGCCCTGCTGGCTGCTGGCTGCTGGCTGCAAATCTGGTGAGGGCAACTTGGGACTTAATTTAAATGAATCCATGCACCCTCCGGAGGCACCTTTTTATCCCAAACTCAATTCCAAGCTTCATGTTTAAGCCTTAGTAAGGAAAACTAGATCTGAGGGATCCAAAGGCAGGCAACAACGGAAGTCAAATGGCGCAGTGAGTATTTATTAGTTTGTTATCACGCTGCTAATAAAGACACACCCAAGACTGGGTAATTAATAAAGAAAAAGATGTTCAGTGGACTCACAGTTCCACATGGATAAGGAGGCCTCACAATCATGGTAGAAGGTGAAGGAGAAGCAAAGACACGTCTTGCGTGGTGGCAGGCAAGAGAGCATGTGCAGTGGAACTGCCCTTTTATAAAGCCATCAGTTCTCATGAGACTTATTTACTATCACAAGAACAGCATGGGAAAAACTTGCACCCATGATTCAATTACCTCTGACCAGGTCCCTCCCACAACACGTGAGGATTTGGGGAGCTACAATTCAAGATGAGATTTAGGTGGGGACACAGCCAAACCATATTAGGTGGTACAGGGAATGAACAAGACTAATTTCTGCTGATTGGGTTCCCACTTCATGGAGGAAGGCCACGATCATATTCATGGCATAGATGAAGTCTAGGAAACTCAAAAGTTACTTGTAGAAGAGAGGATAGGCCAATGTGTAAGAGAGTGCAGATATTTCTGACTTATACACCTCTGTGTTACATGGGCGAAGGCTGCATTGTCACCCATCGTCGGCACCTGCCAAGGTCGCTGGGACTCAGAGATATAAGGACAGAAGAAAAAAGGAAGGCCTTTTTCCTCTCCCTTCTACACCCTGTGTATTTTCTGGGAAGGGAAAGGAACTAAGGGACATCTTTTTTTCCCCTCTTTCCAGATGGGTAACCAGCCATCTTCAGTCTGTACTTCTCTCAAATGCATTCTGAATCACCAGGACACCTTTGGGGGAAAAAAAAAAAGCACGTTGTTTTTCCTGTTTTTTCCTCCCTCTGTCCTATCTTCGTGGATGGGTAATTGAGCCTCCATACCGCAGGACACTCCCCTCGAATGCATCCCCCCAAACTGGGAAAGTTTAATTTTCCCAAACCTTAAAATGCTTGGCTTAAAATTGAATTGGGAAGAAATTACAATTCTACCCGAGCAATCTGCTGAGGAAGGTATGCTGATAACCTCTTCGTCTGCTCCCACTTCACAGGACTCCAGGGTCAATAGGACTCCATAGCTCAGGGGAAGGGAACACAGAAGCCTGACATAGCAGCAAATGTGTAAACATTTTTACCAGTCAGGCTTCTGGCCTCTCTCTGCGCAAGCCTATTGAATGAATGGTATAAATCACTGCTTATATCTATTACAAAGTTTGATTAATGGTATAAAAGGATTTATGAGGCTAGTCATAAGCTATAGCCAATCTGGTGTCCTTTGTGTGTCTTTCTGTATGATTCTCTTACAAGGAGAAATACCTTAGGATAGAACACAGGCTTAGGACCCCATAAGCCCACTAGCAAACTGGTCAGTAACAAACTTTGCTGAAGGTCTCTGAAACAAAAAACTGGAAGAGGTTTCCCTCTTGTATGTCCTTGGGAGCTTGACCTTGTCACCACATGGTAGTGCTTTCTTTTGGTCTCTGTCACTTTACAAAGGTGGCCCAGGTTCAATCCTGGCTTAGGAAATGAGTACTTTCTGGTTAAAAACTGTGTGACTTTTGCCATTTGCTGATTTTTTCCCCTCCATAAACAGCTTTTGGCTTCCTTTTTAAAATCTTCCTTTCTTTGAGCTATCTTTAAAGATTCTAGATTTTGTAAAAACTGCTTACCACCTCTTTGCAAATACCTTGTACAGTCATGGTTAATTTATAACCCTAGTTGAGACTTATTGGTTTCACCTGTATGGTTACTTTTGGTAAAGTTCAAAAGCCAGAAAT
This sequence comes from Homo sapiens, assembly GCF_000001405.40. Classification (NCBI taxonomy): domain Eukaryota; kingdom Metazoa; phylum Chordata; class Mammalia; order Primates; family Hominidae; genus Homo; species Homo sapiens. Next base: position 56,395,598 of record NC_000023.11, on the reverse strand, counting down.
ATGGGCCCCTTGACATGGCTAAAGTTGGGTAATAAGGAATTTAAAAGGATGTTTTTAAGAGCACTATGGTTAAAAGTCAGCTTAATTAAAAGGTATATCTGAGCTATAGGTATATTTAAAAGGGCTTTATGTCTTTTATCTTCTTGGATATTTTTTGCTTGGAAAAGTTTTTTTCTTCTCAGTCGACTGAATTATTTTTTGCCATTTTGTCTTGCCACTCTTAATGCACACATGAGATAACTTCTGATGGCCCGGGGCTGCTTGAGAAAAACAGAAGGTGTCATAGGCCCCATTTTGGAAAAAAAAAAACCCTCTGTTTTACTCATGGAATACTAAGAATTAAAAGTGGATAGATCCCTCTCAAAAATAGTTTTTGTTTTCCAGCTAAACCTGCTTATTAGGCTCTGGAAACCGGATGTTTTCCTAGCCCTGTTTCTTGAAGGTCTCCACCCTGAGGCCAGTAATCCAATTAAGAGATTGGCAAATGAAAAATCTCATAACTACTAGATCTTCTGCTGTCTGTCTCTGTAGTTGTATATTTGTTATGTATGTAATGTTTATATAAAAAAGCTCTAATTAATTGGCTTAGAGAAAAATAAGTGATTAGATCAAATATTTTTAAAGGAAAAACAGAAGCTGCAGTACCTTTTAGTTCACATAACTTTAATCTCTGAGAAACAAAAGCAGTTTTAAAGATTATTGGCAGGGGTGGAGCCAAAATGGCCTAATAGGAACAGCTCCAGTCTACAGCTCCCAGTCTGAGCAACGCAGAAGATGGGTGATTTCTGCATTTCCAATGGAGGTACCAGGTTCATCTCACTGGGGAGTGTCAGAAAGTAGATGCAGGACAGTGGGTGCAGTGCACCAAGCATGAGCTGAAGCAGGGCGAGGCATCACCTCAACTGGGAAGCACAAGGAGTCAGGGAATTCCCTTTCCTAGTCAAAGAAAGGGGTGACAGATGGCACTTGGAAAATCGGGTCACTCCCACCCTAATACTGCATTTTTCCAATGGTCTTAGCAAATGGCACACAAGGAGATTATATCCCACACATGGCTCAGAGGGTCCTATGCCCACAGAGCCTCCCCCATTGCTAGCACAGGAGTCTGAGATCAAACTGCAAGGTGGCAGCAAGGTGGCAGCAAGGTTGGGGGAGGGGCGCCCACCATTGCCCAGGCTTGAATAGGTAAATAAAGTGGCCGGGAAGCTCAAACTGGGTGGAGCCCACTGCAGCTCAAGTAGGCCTGCCTGCTTCTGCAGACTCCACCTCTGGGGGCAGGGCATGGCCAAACAAAAGGCAGCAGAAACCTCTGCAGACTTAAATGTCCCTGTCTGACAGCTATGAAGAGAGTAGTGGTTCTCCCAGCACACAACTGGAGTTCTGAGAATGGACAGAATGCCTCAAGTGGGTCCCTGACCCCTGAGTCGCCTAACTGGGAGGCACCACACAGTAGGGCCAGACTGACAGCTCACACAGCCGGCTACTGCTCTGAGACTAAACTTTCAGAGGAGCAATCAGGCAGCAACATTTGCTGTTCACAAATATCTGCTGTTCCGCAGACTCTGCTGCTGATACCCAGGCAAACAGGGTCTGGAGTGGACCTCCAGCAAACTCCAACAGACCTTCAGCTGAGGGTCCTGACTGTTAGAAAGAAAACTAACAAAAAGAAAAGACATCTACACCAAAACCCCATTTGAATGTCACCATTATCAAAGACCAAAGGCAGATAAAACCACAAAGATGGGGAAAAAACAGAGCAGAAAAACTGGAAACTCTAAAAATCAGAGCACCTCTCCTCCTCCAAAGGAACACAGCTCCTTATCAGAAATGGAACAAAGCTGGAAGGAGGATGACTTTGATGGGTTGAGAGAAGAAGGCTTCAGATGATCCAGCTACTCTGAGCTAAAGGATGAAGTTCGAACCCATAGCAAAGAAGTAAAAAACCTTGAAAAAAAATTAGACAAATGGTTAACTAGAATAACCAATGCAGAGAAGTCTTTAAACGACCTGATGGAGCTGAAAACCATAGCACCAGAACTACGTGACGATTGCACAAGCCTCAGTAGCTGATTCAATCAACTGGAAGAAAGGGTATCAGTGATGGAAGATGAAATGAATGAAAAGAAGCGAGAAGAGAAGCTTAGGAAAAAAAGAATAAAAAGAAACAAACAAAGCCTGCAAGAAATATGGGACTATGTGAAAAGACCAAATCTATGTCTGATTGGTGTACCTGAAAGTGACGGGGAGAATGGAACCAAGTGGGAAAACAATTTGCAGGATATTATCCAGGAGAACTTCCCCAATCTAGAAAGGCAGGCCAGCATTCAGATTCAGGAAATACAGAGAATGCCACAAAGATACTCCTCGAGAAGAGCAACTCCAAGACACATAATTGTCAGATTCACCAAAGTTGAAATGAAGGAAAAAATGTTAAGGGCAGCCAGAGAGAAAAGTCGGGTTACCCACAAAGGGAAGCCCATCAGACCAACAGCTGATCTCTCGGCAGAAACTCTACAAGCCAGAAGAGAGTGGGGGCCAATATTCAACATTATTAAAGAAAAGAATTTTCAACCCAGAATTTCATATCCAGCCAAACTAAGCTTCAAAGTGAAGGAGAGGCCGGGTGCGATGGCTCACGCCTCTAATCCCAGCACTTTGGGAGGCCAAGGTGGGGGATCACAAGGTCAGGAGATCAAGACCATCCTCTAACGTGGTGAAACCCTGTCTCTACCAAAAATACAAAAAGTTAGCCAGGCGTGGTGGTGGGCACCTGTAGTCCCAGCTACTCGAGAGACTGAGGCAAGAGAATGGCATGAACCCTGGAGGCGGAGCTTGCAGTGAGTGGAGATCACCCCACTGCACTCCAGCCTGGGCAAAAGAGCGAGACTCCATCTCAAAAAAAAAAAAAAAAAAAAAAAAAACTCCAGTCCTGCCCTACAAGAGCTCCTGAAGGAGGCACTAAACATGGAAAGGAACAACTGGTACGAACCACTACAAAAACATGCCAAATTGTAAGGACTTTCGAGGCTAGGAAGAAACTGCATCAACTAACAAGCAAAATAACCAGCTAACATCATAAGGACAGGATCAAATTCACACATAACAATATTAACCTTAAGTATAAATGGGTTAAATGCTCCAATTAAAAGACACAGACTGGCAAATTACATAAAGGGTCAAGACCCATCAGTGTGCTGTATTCAGGAAACCCATCTCATGTGCAGAGACACACATAAGCTCAAAATAAAGGGATGGAGGAAGATCTACCAAGCAAATGGAAAACAAAAAAAGGCAGGGGTTGCAATCCTAGTCTCTGATAAAACAGACTTTAAACCAACAAAGACGAAAAGAGACAAAGAAGGCCATGACATAATGGTAAAGGGATCAATTCAACAAGAAGAGCTAACTATCCTAAATATATATGCACACAATACAGGAGCACCCAGATTCATAAAGCGAGACATTAGAGAACTACAAAGAGACTTAGACTCCCACACAATAATAATGGGAGAGTTTAACACCCCACTGTCAACATTAGACAGATCAATGAGACAGAAAGTTAACAATGATATCCAGGAACTGAATTCAGCTCTGCACCAAGTGGACCTAATAGACATCTACAGATCTCTCCACCCCAAATCAACAGAATATACATTCTTTTCAGCACCACACCATACCTATTCCAAAATTGACCACATAGTTGGGAGTAAAGCAATCCTCAGCAAATGTAAAAGAACCAAAATTTAACAAACTCTCTCTCAGACCACAGTGCAATCAAACTAGAACTCAGGATTAAGAAACTCACTAAAAACCACTCAACTACATGGAAACTAAACAACCTGCTCCTGAATGACTACTGGGTACATAACGAAATGAAGGCAGAAATAAAGATGTTCTTTGAAACTAATGAGAACAAAGACACAACATACCAGAATCTCTGGGACACATTCAAAGCAGTGTGTAGAGGGAAATTTATAGCACTACATGCCCACAAGAGAAAGCAGGAAAGATCTAAAATTGACACCCTAACATCACAGTTAAAAGAACCAGAGAAGCCACGCAAACACATTCAAAAGCTAGCAGAAGGCAAGAAATAACTAATATCAGAGCAGAACTGAAGGAAATAGAAACACAAAAAAACCCTTCAAAAAATCAAGGAATCCAGGAGCTGGTTTTTTCAAAACATCAACAAAATTGATAGACTGCTAGCAAGACTAATAAAGAAGAAAAGAGAGAAGAATCAAATAGATGCAATAAAAAAATGAGAAAGGGGATATCACCACCGATCCCACAGAAATACAAACTACCATCAGAGAATACTACAAACACCTCTATGCAAATAAACTAGAAAATCTAGAAGAAATGGATAAATTCCTCAACATGTACAGCCTCCTAAGACTAATCCAGGAAGAAGTTGAATCTCTGAATAGACCAATAACAGGCTCTGAAATTGAGGCAATAATTAACAGCTTACCAACCAAAAAAGGTCCAGGACCAGATGGATTCACAGACGAATTCTACCAGAGGTACAAGGAGGAGCTGGTACCATTCCTTCTGAAACTATTCGAATCAACAGAAAAAGAGGGAATCCTCCCTAACTCATTTTATGGGGCCAGCATTATCCTGATACCAAAGCCTGGCAGAGACACAACAGAAAAAGAGAATGTTAGACGAATATCCCTGCTGAACATTGATGCAAAAATCCTCAATAAAATACCTGCAAACCAAATCCAGCAACACATCAAAAAGCTTGTCCACCATGATCAAGTGGGCTTCATCCCTGGGATGCAAGGCTGGTTCAATATACACAAATCAATAAATGTAATCCAGCATATAAACAGAACCAATGACAAAACCACATGATTATCTCAATAGATGCAGAAAAGGCATTTGACAAAATTCAACAACGCTTCATGCTAAAAACTCTCAATAAATTAGATATTGATGGGACATATCTCAAAATAATAAGAGCTATCTATGACAAACCCACAGTCAATATCACACTGAATGGGCAAGAACTGGAAGCATTCCCTTTGAAAACGTCACAAGACAGGGATGCCCTCTCACCACTCCTATTCAACACAGTGTTGGAAGTTCTGTCCAGGGCAATCAGGCAGGAGAAGGAAATAAAAGGTATTCAATTAGGAAAAGAGGAAGTCAAATTATCCCTGTTTGCAGATGACATGATTGTATATCTAGAAAACCCCATCATCTCAGCCCAAAATCTCCTTAAGCTGATAGGCAGCTTCAGCAAAGTCTCAGAATACAAAATCAATGTGCAAAAATCACAAGCATTCTTACACACCAATAACAGACAAACAGAGAGCCAAATCATGAGTGAACTCCCATTCACAATTGCTTCAAAGAGAAAAAAATACCTAGGAATCCAACTTATAAGGGATGTGAAAGACCTCTTCAAGGAGAACTACAAACCACTGCTCAATGAAATAAAAGAGGATACAAACAAATGGAAGAACATTCCATGCTCATGCGTAGGAAGAATCAATATCGTGAAAATGGCCATACTGTCCAAGGCAATTTATAGATTCAATGCCATCCCTATCAAGCTACCAATGACTTTCTTCACAGAATTGGAAAAACTACTTTAAAGTTCATATGGAACCAAAAAAGAGCCCACATTGCCAAGTCAATCCTAAGCCAAAAGAACAAAGCTGGAGGCATCCCTCTACCTGACTTCAAACTGTATATACTACAAGTCTACAGTAACCAAAACAGCGTGGTACTGGTACCAAAACAGAGATACAGACCAATGGAACGGAACAGAGCCCTCAGAAATAAGGCCGCATATCTACAACTATCTGATCTTTGACAAACCTGACAAAAACAAGAAATGGGGAAAGGATTCTCTATTTAATAAATGGTGCTGGGAAAACTGACTAGCAATATGTAGAAAGCTGAAACTGAATGTCTTCCTTACACCTTATACAAAAATTAATTCAATATGGATTAAAGACTTAAATGTTAGACCTAAAACCATAAAACCCCTAAAAGAAAACCTAGGCAATACCATTCAGGACACAGGCATGGACAAGGACTTCATGTCTAAAACACCAAAAGCAATGGCAACAAAAGCCAGAATTGACAAATGAGATCTAATTAAACTAAGGAGCTTCTGCAGAGCAGAAGAAACTATCATCAGAGTGAAGAGGCATCCTACAGAATGGGAGACAATTTTTGCAATCTACTCATCTGACAAAGGGCTAATATTCTGCATCTACAATGAACTCAAACAAATTTACAAGAAAAAAACAACCCCATCAAAAAATGGGGGAAGGGTCTGAACAGACACTTCTCAGAAGAAGACATTTATGCAGCCAAAAGACACATGAAAGAATGCTCGTCATCACTGGCCATCAGAGAAATGCAAATCAAAACCACAATGAGATACCATCTCACACCAGTTAGAATGGTGATCATTAAAAAGTCAGGAAACAACAGGTGCGGAGAGGATGTGGAGAAATAGGAACACTTTTACACTGTTGGTGGGATTGTAAACTAGTTCAACCATTGTGGAAGTCATTGTTGTGATTCCTCAGGGATCTAGAACTAGAAATACCATTTGACCCAGCCATCCCATTAATGGATATATATCCAAAGGATTATAAATTATGCTGCTGTAAAGACACATGCACACATATGTTTATTGCAGCACTGTTCACAATAGCAAAGACTTGTAACCAACCCAAATGTCCAACGATGATAGACTGGATAAATAAATGTGGCACATATACACCATGGAATACTATGCAGCCATAAAGAAGGATGAGTTCATGTCCTTTGTAGGGACATGGATGAAGCTGGAAACCATCATTCTCAGCAAACTATCACAAGGACAAAAAAACCACACACCGCATGTTCTCACTCATAATTGGGAATTGAATAATGAGAACACATGGACACTGGAAGGGAACATCACACACACCGGGGCCTGTTGTGGGGTGGGGGGAGGGGGGAGGGATAGCATTAGGAGATATACCTAATGTTAAATGACGAGTTAATGGGTGCAGCACACCGACATGGCACATGTATACATATGTAACAATCTTGCCCATTGTGCACATGTACCCTAAAACTTAAAGTATAATAAAAAAAGATATTGGTAAAATTCAATTATCTTCAAAATGTAAATACGTCATCTAAATTATGCAGGTTCAAAACTAAGTTTACTATATGTTTTAAGGTTGTAAACTCCTTATTTGACTTTTGAAAACTGTTAGACTTGCCTGCTTAACAATTTGGTAAGGACTGGGGGCATATAGAGGTAACCACAACACTAACTATGCTGGGAAGAGTCAGATCCTATCTACATCTAGTACATAATTACAATATCTTACCAGGTTTTACACCAAAATGAAAAATTGCTAAGAGTTACCGTTGTAACATGTAATTGAGAGTACTGAAATTGGAGTTTCAGGCAAGGTGTTTAAGGAAAGTAAAATGTGTTTTTAGTATATTATAAGAAGGCAGGGCAATGTAAATTGTTGCTTAGTTTGGAGGGTTATAAGATGGTTTTAAATTAAATAAGATAAAGCTAAAGGTTTGAACAAATTGTGGAAGGTTTGTAAAAATTAATCTTGTAAAAAAAATTGTGCGTGTGAACATATTGAGTAAATTCAAAAGAATACTACTTGGTTTTTCCATAAATTGAGCACTGTAATAAAAACACAACAAAGTTTTTTTAAGGCACTGATCTGCTTTTTAACAAAAAGTTGTAAAGGATTATAAAAGTTTATAAGAATCTCACCTCATGGTCAAACTGGTTAAGATTGGATTGAATTGACTGTGAGATTTCATTAAAAAATTGGGGTTGACATTAATAGTAGAATAATGTAAGGGTGAAATTTGGCTTTCTCTCTTTTGAGAAAGATTTCCTGTAAAAAGATTTTTGCAAGATTTTCATGTAATATTAAAGGATAATGAATGATTTTTGTTTGCCTTGCAAATAAACTACCAAAAAAGGAAGAGAAAGACAAGAGACAGGTTGTTTGGAAAGCCAAGTCTTCCCTCTTAATAAGTAAAGTTTGAAGAAATTTTTTGAGCCATCATTTTTCCTAAATAAGTGACTTATGATAATCTGGAATTCAATTTCACAATATCAAGGGTTTTAATCTTTTAACATGTTTAGTTAAATGGCATTGTCAAAATAAAAATAATGTTTAACTTTCTTTAGGTTATTTTTTAGTGAATAAAATTAATATATGCTCCAAAATTTTATGAGATTTCTAAAATCCTAATGTCTGAGTATATGCTATCAATCATAATTAGGGTTACTATGTTAAGTTATTGTAAACCACAGAAATGACCAAATTCCTTTGTCAATCGTGTTTTTAACTGTGACTGCCCAAAAACATTTTGTCATTCACAGAAGATTGTTGTCTTGTTTGATCTTGTTCAAAAGATGGTTTATAATCAGTTATGGAGCTTTGAGGGGTGCTCTTAAATGCAGGTTTCTGATAACTTTGCATATTGTGACATTGAAATAAAGGAAAACATTCAAGACTCATGAAGAACTAAAATGTTCATGAATATCAATCAGAACAAGAGTTAACTGGATGCACTGAACTAGTAGAAAGCTAAAGTAATCTTTTCTAACCTTTTTAAAATGTTGCTAATCCTTCAGTTTTTCAAAGTCAGGAAAACTTATTTTGATCTATTTACAGCATTTAAAAATTGAGTAAGGTATACTTCTATGAACAAAATTTGGAGCATATTCATTTCTCTATGCCTGTTTTCTCCAGAATTTGAAAACTACTTGTGAGTGTTCTCAACTTATGGCAATATAGTTATTTGAAAAGTGCAGTAAAAATTTATTTTCTTTTCCAACAAGACACAATTGGAGAAACTGGTTGTTTTACCAAGGCTTTGACTGGTAGAGTGTGCTTTCCCTTAAGGAATCAAGCTTGACTTAGCCAATAAAAGCCCCTTGGGAAAACTGGCCTAATATCTTGTCTATACAGTCCCTGTACAGGGTTCCTAACCTGTGGTGAGTGAGGAAGGTCACTTTCTAACAGGCCAAATGGATACACACACTTTTCCAAAGTAACCAAGACAGGGTCAAAACCTTTACTGATTGGTTTCCAAAACCATCTGGCTTCTTGCATTCCTTGGGCCTTTATTCATTGTCATTTTTCTTTTAATATTTGGTCTCTGCCTTTTTAATTCTCTCATTAAGGTTATACCTTCCATCCTACAACAATTCCATCTACAGATGATTATGCAATCCTAATACTGGCCTGCAACTGCAACTTCAATTTATATGGGGACTCTTAATGGAATCTGGCCTTCCCACCCATAAATGAGTTTTTCATGACACTTCATTCCTTTCATGAAAGAGAGCAAGAAAGGGAAAAACACAACCTATTCTATCAATGCCCCCTTTCATCAGGAAGTAGTCACAAAGACTTGATGCTCCTCTTCACTGTGCTGCTTTCCCCTTCTTGAGACCACAATAGGTAGCAGGTAAACATGATCGTGGGGGAATATAAAGGGTCAAAAATTTTGCCAAGATACCTATTGGGGGAAAATGAGGATAGCAAAAATCACCTGCTGACCATCAAGCAGGCCATCCAGAGACACAACTCCTTATCTGAGGAATTTAGAAGCATAATGAAGACAGCAAAAACTACCAGGTGACTATCAAGCAGGCCATCTGGAGACAAAAACTTCTTATGTGAAAAATTTATAAGTAATTAGACTTCCCCATTATCTAAAATTAGCACCTGGTCCTATGCCTCTTTCAACTTAAAATTTATAAGTAACTAGAATTTCTATACATCTCTGGAATGCATGCATGCCAAAACTCATTGTGCACACCCTTGCTGACATTAAGGTACCAAAATGTCTACAACTGTAATCATTTATGATGCAAATTACCATTCAGCTCCCACTGTAAGGTCCATAGATGCTCCTAAGGAAAATCCACCATGGTGTGCTCAGTCTTCTCTTGCTGAGGCACCCAGCTGCTCTCTTCTGCAGCATTCTTTCTTTCCAATAAATCTTTCCTTTTTCAAACCTATACTGTCATCGGTAAATTCTTCTTACCAACACACAAGTCAACCACTTCCTGATGCCAGGGCTGTGGCACCTTGCCCAGCAATGCCTACATCAGAAAAGCATGAAATCTTCAAATAAACAACCTAACAATACATCATAAAGAACTAGAAAAGCAAGAGTAAACCAAACTTAAAATTAGTAAAAGAAAAGGAATAATAAAGACTAGAGTGTAAATAAATGAAATTGAAATAAATAAAAATACAAAAAATCAATAAAATGGAAAGTGTTTTTGAAAAGACAAAATTGACAAACCTTTAACCAGACTAAGAAAAAAAGAGAGAAGACTAAAAGAAAAGAAAATAAAATGAAAAGAGAGAAATTAAAACTGGCACTTGCAGAAACTTAAAGGATTATTAGAGGTTTTTATGAGCAAGTATACAACAATAAATAGAAAAACCTAAAACAAATGGATAAGCATATAATATACCATGATTGAACCATGAAAAAAATCCCAAACCTAAATACACCAATGACAAGTAACAAGATTGAAGCCATAATAAAAAGTTTCCCATCAAAGAAAAACCTCAGACCTGATGGCTTCCCTGCTAAATTCTACCAAACATTTAAATAAGAACTAATGTCAACTGTACCCAAACTATTCCCAAAAAATTGAGGAAGAGGGAATACTTCTAAACTCCTTCTATGAGGTCAATATTGACCTGATATCAAAACCAGACAAAGACACAATAGAAACAGGAACACAAAAAGAAAAGAAAGATACAGGCTGTAAACCAAAAATAAAATTGAAGGCCCTCTGCAACCATCTGAATGGACTCCCTCCTCAGCCAGGGCACCCAAAAATTCATCCTGAAAAACTGGCCATGACAGGAAATGGGAGTTAAACACACCTCATAATACCCCTCCAGCATTAACATCGACACAGACCTTAAGTCTGATAAGAAACATTTACAGTCTATTCTCTCTAAAGCCTACCACTTGAGGCTTCTTCTCCATGACAAATCCTAGTATTTTACAACCCTTTATCATAACCCATTCATTTTTATTGATAACTCTTTCAACCAATTGCCAATCAGGACAAGTTTAAATCTACATATGACCTGATATCCCCACCCCCTCACCCGACTCCTCACTTCAGCTTGTCCTACCTCTCCAGATTGAACCAATGTAAATCTTACATGTATTGTCTCCCTAAAATGTATAAAAGCAAGCTGTACCCTGACCACCTTGGGCACATGTCATCAGGACCTCCTGAGGCTGTGTCATGGGTGCATTCTTAACCTTGGCACAATAAACTTTCTAAATTGACTGAGATCTGCCTCAGATATTTTAGGTTCACAAATTGGTGACCAATGGAAGGACACTGAGTGGAGATCACCCTGACCTTTTTTTTTTTTTTGAGATGGAGTCTCGCTCTGTCACCTAGGCTGGAGTGCAGTGGCGTGAACTTGGCTCACTGCAAGCGCTGCCTCTTGGGTTCACATCATTCTCCTGCCTCTGCCTCTTGAGTAGCTGGGACTACAGGTGACCCCGCCATGCCTGGCTAATTTTTTGTATTTTCAGAAGAGACAGGGTTTCACCATGTTAGCCAGGATGGTCTCGATCTCCTGACCTCGTGATCTGCCCACCTTGGCCTCCCAAAGTGCTGGGATTACAGGCGAGAGCCACTGTGCCTGGCCGGCCCTGACCTTTAACAAATTCCCTATCAGTGCTTGGTACCAGCTTGAGCTATCTTTATGGCTCAAACCAATAGAACAATTTGCTGAGGCCTGGGAGCTTTGCTTCCTCCAGGGAATCCCTGATCTTCCAAAATTTGGTTCAGATCCAAAGTTTATTTTGCTGTGCAACTCATTTTCTGGAGTTTTACTTGCTTTCAACAAGAAAGGGAAGTTTTTCTGCTTTTATGACATAGAAGACAAGTAACTCCTTTCTGGGGTTTGAGTTTGCTTCCAATAAGGAAGGTAAGCTTGAGTTTTTTCCTGCTTTGAAAATGGTAGAGAACAGTCTTCAGTCTAGACCCATTCCTAGGTAAGTAGCTGAATTAGGGTTTTGTCTTGGCTAAAGTTACGATTAACAACCAGCTTGTCTTAATTTCTCCTTATTATTGGAACACTCAGTAATCATATTTTTGCATTATTTTGTCATTGTTTATTCTGGTCTTTCTTCCATCAGATTTCACCAACTCTACCTGACTTGGTCAAATCTGAATGAGGATTCCAAATTATGCGGTACAAGCCTCTGAATTTGGCTAAAATTTCTCACAGCTGCAAAAGAAACAAAACAACACAAAACAAAATCATGTACTTTCTGTGTTTGCTTCCTGTCTTAAAGATTTTTGTTTGTTTTCTTTGGTTCCACCTTATTTCTCCTTTCTCTTTTGCCATCTTTGGTACCAAGAAAATTCTAGAGAAGGCTTCTACTGAATTGAACCTCTTAAAGAACTAGGAACAAAGGTGTCAGTCACCTCTTTTTGGGGTGCTTTGTTTTCTCTGTGGAGTTTCAAGAGTCATGGGCAGATTCTTCTTAGAGCTAAACGGCTGCTTTCCTGTATTGTGTTACCTGACATCTTTGGCTTTTGGGGGTACCAGATATTACCTTGTACTGTGAGAGGATTTGTCCTTGGCATGTGTAATGGCAGAAAATTGCTACAAAGTTAGGGGTGGCTGAGGACAATTTACAGGAAGTAGTCTTAGCTGGTTTTTTTCCTTTTCTTTTCCTCCTAGGAAGTTGTTGTTTAGGATCCCAATTTTAATATAACGGTGCATTCTAAGGAGTCTTCTCCATTGCCTTCTCTCCTGAAATTAATATTGATTCACTTGTCTGAGCATTTGTGTGAGGAACCGAACTGTCATTTTTGTGGATAAAGAAAAGACTGAGTTTTCTCCAAAGAGAAAAGACATTTTGCTCCTCCCAGCCTAAAGGCATCTCTGGGTGAATGAAGGCCAAGTGGGTGTGTCTGGGTGTTGACTCCCCATGACTTGCAGTGACCCTACAGGAAACCCCCAACAAAATTCGTTTAAAAAGGCTCTTCCAGGAAGCACGTATAGGAGCTGGTCATTCTGTGCCTTGAGCCCTCTTGGAGGTGCTAGATCTTTGGAGAGAGAAACTGAGACACATAAGAGGGTAGAAATGACTCAATGGTGAAACAGTGTGGAGTCCCACCCACAGACAGCACACGTCAACCCACTCCACTAAACTCTAGGCCACAAATAATCTTCTAACAACAAAAAAAAAGAACAAGGAGAATGATCTTTCAGATACTATGTTGGTTTTATGGCACTTCTACTTGCAAGTGTTTGTGTAAAATGGACATATTATGGTCTTTTAGTGCACAATTACATCAAGGAAAATTCAGAGCCCAAAGGTTGACCTCCCACTATTAAGTTCATAAGTTCTCTATCTTTCTGCATTTTTTTTCTGTCTACTCTAAGTCTGTTGTTCCTTTTCTACTGAGATAAAATCCACTGTTTGCATCCATTTCTTTTTGTTATTGTTTTTGCAAACCAATGAGTTTTTATTAAAATCTCATGGCCATAATCCTAAAGTAAAGCTATAGAATCTTTGTATGAGTGTGTATTTGTGTGTTTATGTGCATATACATGCATTTTCTTACGTGCTTTTGGCAACAAGATACCAAATTTGGCTTAAACAGAGAGTACTCATAAATTAAATAATAAGCTTAAATGCTTTTCAAGTTCACATTACTTAAGTAAAATCTCCAATAATCTAGCTTTAAAATTATTGGTAAAGTAATATTAAAAATGTCTTAAGAATTTTTATTAATAGCATACATTTTTGTTTACATTTATTGATCAAGAGATTTTATACTTATCCCTGCCAAATACTATAAGGTGTCAAATTTGGCATAAGTGTTATTAAACTATAAGCCCAGCCCAAAACAGAATGTTCTTTGCTTGTGTAATGTTTGATAAATAAGAGATTAATATTAATTTAATGAAAATAGCTAAATCTTGAATTATTTGGCAAAATAATAATATATTTAATGTTAAGGCTCTTACTTAGGTAGACACCTGAAATTCATAGGCTATAAAATGATTGACAGGAAAAGAAATTTAAATAATGGTTATCACAGTTTTTATAAATAATTTAGGTAAACTATTGAAATAAAATAATTAGGTAAATCTAATGGGATAAGTACTTGTCCCATTAGATTTATATCTAATGGGATAAGCATTATAATCTAGAATCTAAAGTTAAATTAAATAATAGGTATTTCACTAAATATCTGGGTAATTTACAATTAAAAAAATATATTGTAGAAAAACATTCTAACATAATGTGTGTTCTTGTTAAAAGATGAATATTTTTTGTCTAATTAAAAGCTTATTTAGCTCTCCCTCTCCCTCTCCCTCTCCCTCCTCTCCCCACGGTCTCCCTCTCCCTCTCTTTCCACAGTATCCCTCTGATGCTGAGCCGAAGCTGGACAGTACTGCCGCCATCTCTGCTCACTGCAACCTCCCTGCCTGATTCTCCTGCCTCAGCCTGCCAAGTGCCTGTGATTGCAGGCGCGCGCCGCCACGCCTGACTGGTTTTCGTGTTTTTTTGGTGGAGATGGGGTTTTGCTGTGTTGGCCGGGCTGGTCTCCAGCTCCTAACCGTGAGTGATCCTCCAGCCTCGGCCTCCCGAGGTGCCGGGATTGCAGACGGAGTCTCGTTCACTCAGTGCTCAATGTTGTCCAGGCTGGAGTGCAGTGGCGTGAACTCGGCTCGCTACAATCTCCACCTCCCAGCCACCTGCCTTGGCCTCCCAAAGTGCCGAGATTTCAGTCTCTGCCTGGCCGCCACCCTGTCTGGGAAGTGAGAAGCATCTCTGCCCGGCCGCCCATCGTCTGGGATGTGAGGAGCCCCTCTGCCCGGCTGCCCAGTCTGGGAAGTGAGGAGCGCCTCTTCCCGGCCGCCTTCCAATCTAGGAAGTGAGGAGCGTCTCTGCCCAGCTGCCGATCGTCTGAGATGTGGGGAGTGCCTCTGCACCGCTGCCCCGTCTGGGATGTGAGGAGTGCCTCTGACAGGCGGCGACCCTGTGTGGGAACTGAGGAGTGTCTCTGCCCGACCGCCACCCCGTCTGGGAGATGAGGAGCGTCTCTGCCCAGCCGCCCCATCTGAGAAGTGAGGAGCCCCTCCTCCCGGCAGCTGCCCCATCTGAGAAGTGAGGAGCCCCTCTGCCCGGCAGCTGCCCCATCTGAGAAGTGAGGAGTGTCTCCGCCTGGCAACCACCCCGTCTGGCAGCCACCCCGTCTGGGAGGGAGGTGGGGGGCAGCCCCCGCCCGGCCAGCCGCCCCGTCTGGGAGGGAGGTGGGGGGCCAGCCCCCACCTGGCCAGCCACCCCATCCAGGAGGGAGGTGGGGGGCCAGCCCCCACCCGGCCAGCCACCCCACCCAGGAGGGAGGTGGGGGGTCAGCCCCTGCCCGGCCAGCCTCCCCGTCCGGGAGGGAGGTGGGGGGTCAGCCTCCGCCCGGCCAGCCGACCCGTCTGGGAGGTGGGTTGCGCCTCTGCCCGCCCGCCCCTTCTGGGAAGTGAGGAGCCCCTCTGCCCGGCCACCACCCCATCTGGGAGGTGTAACCAACAGCTCATTGAGAATGGGCCATGATGATGACGGCAGTTTTGTGGAATAGAAAAGGGGGAAAGGTGGGGAAAAGATAGAGAAATCAGATTGTTGCTGTGTCTGTGTAGAAAGAGGTAGACATGGGAGACTTCATTTTGTTCTGTACTAAGAAAAATTCTTTTGCCTTGGGATGCTGTCGATCTATGACCTTGCCCCCAACCCTGTGCTCTCTGAAACATGTGCTGTGCCCACTCAGGGTTAAATGGATTAAGGGCGGTGCAAGATGTGCTTTGGTAAACAGATGCTTGGAGGCAGCATGCTCGTTAAGAGTCATCACCACTCCCTAATCTCAAGTACCCAGGGACACAAACACTGCGGAAGGCCGCAGGGTCCTCTGCCTAGGAAAACCAGAGACCTTTGTTCACTTGTTTATCTACTGACCTTCCCTCCACTGTTGTCCTATGACCCTGCCAAATCCCCCTCTGCGAGAAACACCCAAGAATGATCAATAAAAATAAATAAATACATTAAAAAAAATAAAAGCTTATTTAAAGGTTTTGTATGAAACAAGGTAAGAGGAACCAGGAAATAAAAAAGATGTAAAGAAAGTTATGGAAATAAAGAAGTATTTTTGGTAAGAAAGCTTACAAGAAAAGTAATTTATATGAGAGACTTACATGGTGAATTTTTGTCCTAAAATAAAATGACTGAGTTGTTCAAGAAAGAGGGATATTTAGAACAAATTAGAAAGTCCAAGCATTTCATGAATGGTCTAAGTCATAATAAAGTTAGTATAAAAAGAATTTATAAAAATGTTCTGTGATTAATTGGCTATAATTTTTAAAAATTATAATAAATAGTTTTTCTAAATATTGGACTTTAGTATTAAAAATACACTTACACAAAATTAAAGAATTGGTTAAAACAAGATTTTATTTAAAAATATTAACTTGCTCTTAATGCAAAACGTTTTTAATTTTTAAATTCTATAATGTTTCCTTTTGAAATTACTCAGATTGATATCTCAGAAGCTGTACCCTGCTGCTTCGGCTCCTTCTCTCTTTTGGGAAGGCTTGGCATGGTAACTCTCTCCTTCAACTTTCAGGGTAACATTTTATTTATTAATAATCTAAAGTAAAGGAGAAGATTTTTGAAAACAACCAGATTAAAAATCTTTTGAATGTGCTTTTGTCTGCATGTCTGTTTTATCTCTATGTTTATATGTGTCATGCAGAATTAATTTTTACTATTAAACTATATGAAACAGCTCTAATCATTTGACTTAAAGAAAAGTAAGGGCTTATCAGACTGATAGAAGCTAGCTCAGATGCCTTTTAATTCACATGACTTTGGCAATGTTTGGTAATATTAATTTGGTAAATTTAATATCCAAATTTTCTCTAATAGTTTAAAATCTTAAAGTCATGTTAAGTAACCTCTGTTTTTTTTTCCACTGGGAATTTGGGTTACTAAGAGTTAAAATACTAGGAGCATAAAAGGTGTTTTGGGTGAAGTTTATAAAAAACAAGGATGTGGTTTTTGCTACAGAAAATGTAGTATTTCTTCTTAGTTCAGAGACTATTTAAGATTCACTTTAAAATAAAGAGAAATTATACAAATAAAACTAAATGGATAAAAATTAAAGTTAAGCCAGGGCAACAAAAGTTATCTCTGAGACCCGTGGTTACCAAAAAGATAGTCACTGTTGGGCAAGGACAAAACCAAGTAACTATTAAAACCAGAGGGTATAATGTAAAGGAATTGTTCCATTTTGTAGATTGGTGTCATCAGCTGCTTGAGAAACCTTTACTATAATGGATTGTAAAAGTAACCACTTCAGGGACAAAATCCTTAAATTTAAATGTTAAAAAATGAAAACTTGTTTGGGTTAATGCAGGACCCACTATTGAACAATCACTAATAAGTATATGTGATCCAAATGAACAGAAGGTTTTTCCTGAAAGAGCAGCCTAGTGGATCATATAAATGCCACTGTAAGGTCTGTTTGCCCTGAAAACAGGACTGTTCAACTCTTTCTATAAAATAACAAGTGGAACACCCAAGATGAAGCAATGATATGCTTCATATGCAAGTTATGTGGGAATGGCTTTATGATGACTGGGATATTCTCCCATCAAGTATGCCTATTACCCAGGTCATGGTAAATTTGGGGTTTAAGGGGGCCCCTTTTACATGGGTACCTCTCCCACAGAATCATGACTGTTTGAGAAGCCTTATAAAATTTGCTGTCCCTCATGGGTCTTACAGATGCTTAAAGAACATTGGGGTAATTAACAATGAAAAAAAATAGAAAGAAAAAAGGAGTCAAAGGACTCACCCCAGAAGGATGATAGAAATTTTTTTGATTGTTATTCACTATCTGCTCCTAATTGAAACATTTTTAAAAAAATCAGAAGGCAAAGGTTATCAAGAGAAACTGACATTGCCTGGAGCAATGGTGTGACAAATTAAAATAAAAAAATTGACAAAACAGCCTGAGTCCCTGGGCTCCTCTTGCTGCGAATCCAAACCCTTTTGCACCAGGAAAGGTAACATGATCTGGGGGTTGAAAGGAAAAGTTCCTGGAACCAGAACATTAAAATCACAGGTTAATAGAATTATGAAATTTGAGATATTTAAATAGATTTTATATAAGGTAGTGGCGACTCCTTTAACTAAATGTCTTATGAAAATGGGTATTGTATCTAACTGGGGGATATTTCCTCTGTTTAGTACTATAAAACTGAAGGCATGTCAATCTGCTCTTTGAGAAATGTTAGTGGGACACACTAAATGGGAACTAGTAAGATTGTTTGAGCCCACAAAATATAGGGCAGAAGTTGGGATGCTAGTTGGGACAAATTCTCCACTTTATAGCATTTTGTGGAATATTTATTGGGGTTTATGGCAAAAGACAGTGAGCTCTTCCCAAAAACAAATACTGGACTGGATGATTTCCACTTAAGGGGCATTTACTGCCATGCTATGGAATGTTCACTGAAGCTATTCCTATGCTAATGGAAATAATGATGTCCAAAAGAGTTCCATGATAAAATAAAAATGGTTTACATAGGATCGTACTACCTGGGGATACAAGGAGATGCTCCTGAGAAGCGAGCCTCTTTTTTCCCTTGGACTGATTCTATGTGAGGAGCTGCTATATTTTACAGTGCCTGATAGACAGCTCTCATGAGCTGTTTGGCATGTAAATGGCAATTTCAAGGTGAACAAACCTGTTGTTCAGAAGCCTGTTGCTATGGTTAAAGAAGGGTAAAAAATTTGCTTCTTTTAAGTTATTTAAATAAGTAGTTTAGATCATTTGGGTGGTGTGTTATTGTAAGCAAATTAATTTTTTTCTCAGAGTTCTCTAAAATTCAGATTGTGATTTTATGACAATATAGTTATTTGCATAAGTTTAGTAAGAGTCTTTTAGAACTGAACAATTGGAGACACTGACTATTTTACCAAGACTTTGACTGAAACAGCATATTTTTAGGTAAAGTTCCAGCAAAGCCAACGTAAAAGGAGCCTATTGAGAACTAAGCTCTGATTATTTATCTTGCCCAAATTCCTACCTAAGGGGTCTAGGGAGTCATGCCCTACAAACCATAAATTCTCATCAGATGGGTTTTATTTGGCCCTGTGTACTGTGACTTACTTTTCTTTTCTTTTTTTTTTTTTTAATTTTTTTGGGTTTGTTAATAACCATGCTTCTTTATTTTATTTTATTTTTTATTATTATACTTTAAGTTTTAGGGTACATGTGCACAATGTGCAGGTTAGTTACATATGTATACATGTGACATGCTGGTGTGCTGCACCCACTAACTCGTCATCTAGCATTAGTTATATCTCCCAATGCTATCCCTCACCCCTCCCCCCACCCTACAACAGTCCCCAGAGTGTGATGTTCCCCTTCCTGTGTCCATGTGTTCTCATTGTTCAATTCCCACCTATGAGTGAGAATATGTGGTGTATAGTTTTTTGTCCTTGCGATAGTTTACTGAGAATGATGATTTCCAATTTCATCCATGTCCCTACAAAGGACATGAACTCATCACTTTTTATGGCTGCATAGTATTCCATGGCGTATATGTGCCACATTTTCTTAATCCAGTCTATCGTTGTTGGATATTTGGGTTTGTTCCAATTCTTTGCTATTGTGAATAATGCTGCAATAAATATACGTGTGCATGTGTCTTTATAGCAGCATGATTTATAGTCCTTTGGGTATATACCCAGTAATGGGATGGCTGGGTCAAATGGTATTTCAAGTTCTAGATCCCAGAGGAATCACCACACTGAATTGCACAATGGTTGAACTAGTTTCCAGTCCCTCCAACAGTGTAAAAGTGTTCCTATTTCTCCACATCCTCTCCAGCACCTGTTGTTTCCTGACTTTTTAATGATCGCCATTCTAACTGGTGTGAGATGGTATCTCATTGTGGTTTTGATTTGCATTTCTCTGATGGCCAGTGATGGTGAGCATTTTTTCATGTGTTTTTGGCAGCATAAATGTCTTCTTTTAAGAAGTGTCTGTTCATGTCCTTTGCCCACTTTTTGATGGGGTTACTTGTTTTCTTCTTGTAAATTTGTTGGAGTTCATTGTAGATTCTGGATATTAGCCATTTGTCAGATGAGTAGGTTACAAAAATTTTCTCCCATTTTGTAGGTTGCCTGTTCATTCTGATGGTAGTTTCTTTTGCTGTGCAGAAGCTCTTGAGTTTAATTAGATCCCATTTGTCAATTTTGTCTTTTGTTGCCATTGCTTTTGGTGTTTTAGACATGAAGTCCTTGCACATGCCTATGTCCTGAATGGTAAAGCCCAGGGTTTCTTCTAGGGTTTTTATGGTTTTAGGTCTAATGTTTAAGTCTGTAATCCATCTTGAATTGATTTTTGTATAAGGTGTAAGGAAGGGATCCAGTTTCAGCTTCTGCATATGTCTAGCCAGTTTTACCAGCACCATTTATTAAATAGGGAATCCTTTCCCCATTGCTTATTTTTCTCATGTTTGTCAAAGATCAGATAGTTGTAGATATGCGGCCTTATTTCTGAGGGCTCTGTTCTGTTCCATTGAGCTATATCTCTGTTTTGGTATCAGTACCATGCTATTTTGGTAACTGTAGCCTTGTAGTATAGTTTGAAGTCAGGTAGCATGATGCCTCCAGCTTTCTTCTTTTGGCTTAAGATTGACTTGGTGATGCGGGCTCTTTTTTGGTTCCATGTGAACTTTAAGGTAGTTTTTTTCCAATTCTGTGAAGAAAGTCATTGGTAGCTTGATGGGGAGGGCATTGAATCTATAAATTACCTTGGACAGTGTGGCCATTTTCAAGATATTGATTCTTCCTACCCATGAGCATGGAATGTTCTTCCATTTCTTTGTATCCTCTTTTATTTCATTGAGCAGTGGTTTGTAGTTCTCCTTGAGGAGGTCCTTCATGTCCCTTGTAAGTTGGATTCATAGATATTTTATTCTCTTTGAAGCAATTGTGAATGGGAGTTCACTCATGATTTGACCCTCTGTTTGTCTGTTATTTGTGTATATGAATGCTTGTGATTTTTGTACATTGATTTTGTTTCCTGAGACATTACTGAAGTTGCTTATCAGCTTAAGGAGAGTTTGGGCTGAGACAATGGGGTTTTCTAGATATACAATCATGTCATCTGCAAAAAGGGACAATTTGACTTCCTCTTTTCCTAATTGAATACCCTTTATTTCCTTCTCCTGCCTAATTGCCCTGGCCAGAACTTCCAACACTATGTTGAATAGGAGCGGTAAGAGAGGGCATCCCTGTCTTGTGCCAGTTTTCAGAGGGAATGCTTCCAGTTTTTGCACATTCAGTATGATATTGGATGTGGGTTTGTCATAGATAGCTCTTATTATTTTGAAATACGTCCCATCAATACCTAATTTATTGAGAGTTTTTAGCACAAAGGGCTGTTGAATTTTGTCAAAGGCCTTTTCTGCATCTATTGAGACAATCATTTGGTTTTTGTCTTTGGTTCTGCTTATATACTAGATTACATTTATTGATTTGTGTATATTCAACCAGCCTTGCATCCCAGGGATGAAGCCCACTGGATCATGGTGGATAAACTTTTTGATGTGCTGCTGGATTCGGTTTGCCAGTATTTTATTGAGGATTTTTCCATCAATGTTCATCAAGGATATTGGTCTAAAATTCTCTTTTTTGGTTGTGTCTCTGCCAGGCTTTTGTATCAGGATGATGCTGGCCTCATAAAATGAGTTAGGGAGGATTCCCTCTTTTTCTATTGATTGGAATAGTTTCAGAAGGAATGGTACCAGTTCCTCCTTGTACCTCTGGTAGAATTCGGCTGTGAATCCACCTGGTCCTGGACTCTTTTTGGTTGGTAAGCTATTGATTATTGCCATAACTTCAGAGCCTGTTATTGGTCTATTCAGAGATTCAACTTCTTCCTGGTTTAGTCTTGGGAGGGTGTATGTGTTAAGGAATTTATCCATTTCTTCTAGATTTTCTAGTTTATTTGCATAGAGGTGTTTGTAGTAGTCTCTGATGTTAGTTTGTATTTCTGTGGGATCTGGGGTGATATCCCCTTTATCATTTTTTATTGCATCTATTTGATTCTTCTCTCTTTTCTTCTTTATTAGTCTTGCTAGCGGTCTATCAATTTTGTTGGTCTTTTCAAAAAAAACAGCTCCTGGATTCATTAATTTTTTGAAAGGTTTTTTGTGTCTCTATTTCCTTCAGTTCTGCTCTGATTTTAGTTATTTCTTGCCTTCTGCTAGCTTTTGAATGTGTTTGCTCTTGCTTTTCTAGTTCTTTTAATTGTGATGTTAGGGTGTCAATTTTGGATCTTTCCTGCTTTCTCTTGTGGGCATTTAGTGCTATAAATTTCCCTCTACACACTGCTTTGAATGTGTCCCAGAGATTCTGGTATGTTGTGACTTTGTTCTCGTTGGTTTCAAAGAACATCTTTATTTCTGCCTTCATTTCGTTATGTACCCCGTAGTCATTCAGGAGCAGGTTGTTCAGTTTCCGTGTAGCTGAGCGGTTTTGATGAGTTTCTTAATCCTGAGTTCTAGTTTGATTGCACTGTGGTCTGAGAGACAGTTTGTTATAATTTCTGATCTTTTACATTTGCTGAGGAGAGCTTTACTTCCAACTATGTGGTCAATTTTGGAATAGGTGTGGTGTGGTGCTGAAAAAAATGTACATTCTGTTGATTTGGGGTGGAGAGTTCTGTAGATGTCTATTATGTCCACTTGGTGCAGAGCTGAGTTCAATTCCTGGGTATCCTTGTTAACTTTCTGTCTCATTGATCTGTCCAATGTTGACAGTGGGGTGTTAAAGTGTCCCATTATTATTGTGTGGGAGTCTAAGTCTCTTTGTAGGTCACTCAGGACTTGCTTTATAAATCTGGGTGCTCCTGTATTGGGTGCATATATATTTAGGATAGTTAGCTCTTCTTGTTGAATTGATCCCTTTACCATCATGTCATGGCCTTCTTTGTCTCTTTTGATCTTTGTTGGTTTAAAGTCTGTTTTATCAGAGACTAGGACTTTAACCCCTGCCTTTTTTTGTTTTCCATTTGCTTGGTAGATCTTCCTCCATCCTTTTATTTTGAGCCTAAGTGTGTCTCTGCCTGTGAGATGGGTTTCCTGAATACAACACACTGATGGGTCTTGACCCTTTATCCAATTTGCCAGTCTGTGTCTTTTAATTGGAGCATTCAGTCCATTTACATTTAAAGTTAATATTGTTATGTGTGAATTTGATCCTGTCATTATGATGTTAGCTTGTTATTTTGCTCGTTATTTGATGCAGTTTCTTCCTAGCCTCGATGGTCTTTGCAATTTGGCATGATTTTGCAGTGGCTGATACCAGTTGTTCCTTTCCATGTTTAGTGCTTCCTTCAGGAGCTCTTATAGGGCAGGCCTGGTGGTGACAAAATCTCTCAGCATTTGCTTGTCTGTAAAGAATTTTGTTTCTCCCTCACTTATGAAGCTTAGTTTGGCTGGATATGAAATTCTGGGTTGAAAATACTTTTCTTTAAGATTGTTGAATATTGGCCCCCACTCTCTTCTGGCTTGCAGAGTTTCTGCCGAGAGATCAGCTGTTAGTCTGATGGGCTTCCCTTTGTGGGTAACTCGACCTTTCTCTCTGGCTGCCCTTAACATTTTTTCCTTCATTTCAACTTTGGTGAATCTGACAATTATGTGTCTTGGAGTTGCTCTTCTCGAGGAGTATCTTTGTGGCATTCTCTGTATTTCCTGAATCTGAATGCTGGCCTGCCTTTCTAGATTGGGGAAGTTCTCCTGGATAATATCCTGTAGAGTGTTTTCCAACTTGGTTCCATTCTCCCCATCACTTTCAGGTACACCAATCAGATGTAGATTTGGTCTTTTCACATAGTCCCATATTTCTTGGAGGCTTTGTTCATTTCTTTTTATTCTTTTTTCCCTAAATTTCCCTTCTCACTTCATTTCATTCATTTCATCTTCCATCACTGATACCCTTTCTTCCAGTTGATTGCATCGGCTCCTGAGGCTTATGAATTCTTCACGTAGTTCTCGAGCCTTGGTTTTCAGCTCCATCAGCTCCCTTAAGCACTTCTCTGTGTTGGTTATTTTAGTTATACATGCGTCTAAATTTTTTTCAAAGTTTTTAACTTCTTTGCCTTTGGTTTGAATTTCCTCCTGTCACTCGGAGTAGTTTGACCGTCTGAAGCCTTCTTCTCTCAACTTGTCAAAGTCATTCTCCGTCCAGCTTTGTTCTGTTATTGGTGAGGAACTGCATTCCTTTGGAGGAGGAGAGGCACTCTGCTTTTTAGAGTTTCCAGTTTTCTGCTCTCTTTTCTCCCCATCTTTGTGGTTTTATCCACTTTTGGTCTTTGATGATGGTGATGTACAGATGGGTTTTTGGTGTGGATGTCCTTTCTGTTTGTTAGTTTTCCTTCTAACAGACAGGACCCTCAGCTGCAGGTCTGTTTGAGTTTGCTAGAGGTCCACTCCAGAGGCTGTTTGCCTGGGTATCAGCAGCAGTGGCTGCAGAACAGCGGATTTTCATGAACTGTGAATGTTGCTGTCTGATTGTTCCTCTGGAAGTTTTTTCTCAGAGGAGTACCTGGCCATGCAAGGACTTCATGAGTAAAACACCAAAAGCAATGGCAACAAAAGCCAAAATTGACAAAAGGGAACTAATTAAACTCAAGAGCTTCTGCACAGCAAAAGAAACTACCATCAGAGTGAACAGGCAACCTACAAAATGGGAGAAAATTTACACAACCTACTCATCTGACAAAGGGCTAATATCCAGAATCTACAATGAACTCAAACAAATTTACAAGAAAAAAACAAACAACCCTGTCAAAAAGTGGGTGAAGGACATGAACAGACACTTCTCAAAAGAAGACATTTATGCAGCCAAAAAACACATGAAAAAATGCTCATCATCACTGGCCATCAGAGAAATGCAAATCAAAACCACAATGAGATACCATCTCACACCAGTTAGAATGGCAATCATTAAAAAGTCAGGAAACAACAGGTGCTGGAGAGGATGTGGAGAAATGGGAACAGTTTTATACTGTTGGTGGGACTGTAAACTAGTTCAACCCTTGTGGAAGTCAGTGTGGCGATTCCTCAGGGATCTAGAACTAGAAATACCATTTGACCCAGCCATCCCATTTAGTATATACCCAAAGGACTATAAATCATGCTACTATAAAGACACATGCACACGTATGTTTATTGCGGCATTATTCACAATAGCAAAGACTGGGAACCAACCCAAATGTCCAACAATGATAGACTGGATTAAGAAAATGTGGCACATATACACCATGGAATACTATGCAGCCATAAAAAGTGATGAGTTCATGTCCTTTGTAGGGACATGGATGAAATTGGAAATCATCATTCTCAGTAAACTATCGCAAGAACAAAAAACCACACACCACATATCCTCACTCATAGGTGGGAATTGAACAATGAGAACACATGGACACAGGAAGGGGAACATCACACTCTGGGGACTGTTGTGGGGTGCGGGGGAGGGGGGAGGGATAGCATTGGGAGATATACCTAATGCTAGATGACGATTTAGTGGGTGCAGTGCACCAGCATGTCACATGTATACATATGTAACTAACCTGCACACTGTGCACATGTACCCTAAAACTTAACATATAATAATAATAAAAAAAAGAATGTTGAATATTGGCCCCCAGTCTTTTCTGGCTTGTAGAATTTCAGGCAAACACTTTCAAAACTCAAATGTGAATTTGCACTAGCTTCCAGTTTTCCTTCTACTCTTAAAGAGCATTTTCTTAGGGGAAAATGTTTAATTAAAAATACTTTAAAATTCCATCCTCCATAATGTTTTATTTTCTAAGTCTTTTCACCACAATAATCATTTGCTTGCAGAGAAAAGTGTCAAAGAAAAAGTTTGTGACTTATATATGCCAGTCTATATTCAGTATCCAAGGTCCTGATAGCACATCTGAGATCCTCAAAATTGAAAATGTTTCTACATCTCTCTCCAGACATTGTGATAGATTTCAACAGGTTAAGCACTATAATAGCCTCTGGAGTTGAAGTAGTTAGAATGAGGCTCTCACCATTCTTATTTGTACAACTGGCTCTTTTTGCCTATCATCTTTCTTCCTTCTGCTACATTTAAAATGCAAGTTAAAAATGTAAAAACAATAGGTTTAAGAGACCGGGTCTTAACACTGTTGGAGCAAAATAAAACTCACTCAACCCTTCTTACTAATCCTTAGGAATCCAGGTGTGCTATGACCTTAAGATGTCTGATCTGTTAAGTCTTACTTGACTTGAAGCTTCAGTGACAGGTAGTCAGTCTTAGCCAATCTGGCAGGAGTTAGAGTTACTCTAGCCAATAATCAGCAGATTATCCTTAGGGCACAAAATGATAAAAGAAATACAGAAAGCAGCCAAAATTATGCAATATTGTATCTGTATCCAGCTGCTGTTTCCTGTGCAGTTGAACTCCCTGACATTCTGAATATTACATTGGGGGAAATAGCATAAACCAGATGAGATGGAAATCATTTTTTAAATGGCTATGATGGTGAAATCCTGAAACAGAAAGTCACAAATATGTGTAAAAGTGTGTGTACATTCACAGGAAGTGGGAGAGTAGAGAACTTCCTAAGAAATAGAAATTCAAACCGCTGAATTGTACTCCTTTGCAATTAGTTTTTCTGAACACAGGCAGGTGAAGAATTTATCCCTGGAAATCACCATGTTAAATACTGTCCATGGTACCCACAGAGGTCTTTACACAGTTTTCCAATTGATACTATTGATGCAAAAGTAGTTTCACAAAAAGGGACAATATTCTTATTACCTGTCTGAGGACTCAGGTATCAGAGCAGAGGGTTCAGTTGGTTAGAGAAAAACTTAGTTCAGAGAAGTTTTGAATTTGTCAATGTGAGAGGCTACTCAGGAGTCAGAGGAAGTTAAAAGGAGACCACAGGCTGGGCATGGTAGCTCACACTTGTAATCTCAGAAGTTTGGGAGGCCAAGGTGGGTGGATCACCTGAGGTCAGGAGTTTGAGACCAGCCTGGCCAATATGGTGAAACCCCGTCTCTACTAAAAATACAAAAATTGGCCAGGCGTGGTGGTGGGTGCCTGTAGTCCCAGCTACTCAGTAGGCTGAGGCATGAGAATTGCTTGACCCCAGGAGGTGGAAGTTGCAGTGGGCTGAGATCGCACCACTGCACTCCAGCCTGTGCAGCAGAGTGAGACTCCTTCTAAAAAAAAAAATGGGCGACAGCGTGAGACTCCATCTTAAAAAAAATGTCTCTGGACTAGGCTTGAGATAGATAGAAGGATTCTACGCACTCAAAGAGAATGAGTCAATACTGTTTTCTAAAGCTGAACTCAGCATTTGCTCTGTGGTCCTGTGAGTGTCAGCTTTCCAGGCAACCTCTGAGACTTGGGAAATTTTTATTTAAAATTTCAGCATTCACTTAAAACATCAAATTGGGGAACTAGAGGATCATAGTGGAGGGGAGGCAGAACTAGATTGCAGCTCCTGTCAGAGCAGCACGTGGAGGCTTGCATTGTAAATTTTAGCTCCAGATTGACTCAAGAACAAACCGGGAATCATGAGAGGACCCACAGACCCTCTAAAGAAAGCAGACTGCTCCCACAGGACCCAGGAGATACCCAAAATACTGTGAGTGCCCCAACAGTGGAAGTGAGAAAGGGAGACCCTCCTCACCTAAACACACACCCCCACTGGAGAAGCTGAAGTTCTGTTTGCGGGAGAAGTTTTTGACTTTACCTGGAGCTGAGTCAAGTTAGAGAGCTGAGCAAAATACAAGAGCAGAAGAAGAATCAAAAAGGCCCTGGGAGCTTGCTGGGTCTCCAAGCAACCTATTCTTGCCTGGCACCACAGAGATCCATCGGGAGGGTGGCCAGAGGAGCAGGGGTTAAAACTCCACAGGGAGAAGGAATTCTCTAGCTGAACTTTGTAACAATTTGAACAGGGCAGGAAGCCTCCTGGCCAGAACTCAGGAGAGCGTGTGAATCTGTAGTGCAGACTTCACAGGCGGTGGAAGAACTAAAGCCCTTTTCTTTTGCAGCTGGGAGGCAGATGGCCTTTGACAACTTCTCAAGCCCATCTCACCCTGCGACTGGGGTGTTGTGGGGGTGCATGGTGTGAGACAGGCCTTTCAGGTTGTGTGGGGACTGGGTGAAGCCTGCGACTGCTTGCTTTCTCCCACTCCCCTGACAACCTGCATGACTCAGCAGAGGCAGCCATCATCCTCCTAGGTACACAACTCCAGTGACCTGGGACTCTCACTCCCATCCCCCACAGCAGCTGCAGCGAGACCCGCCCAAGGAGAGTCTGAGCTCCGACACGCCTAGCCCTGCCCGCACTTGATGGTCCTTCCCTATCCACCCTAGCAGTGGAAGACAAAGAGCATATAATCTTGGGAGTTCTAGGGCCCTGCCTACCACTGGTCCCTCTCCACACTACTACAGCTGATGCTTCCTGGAAAGTGCCACCTCCTGGCAGGACGCCAACCTGCACAAAAGTAGAGCATTAAACGACCAATGGTAAGGACCCTCACGGTGCCCATTGCACCCTCTGCCACCTCCACCAGAACAGTTGCTGCTATCCACGGCTGAGGAACCAATAAATTGTTCACATTATAGGACTCAATGCAGACAATCCCTAGTACCAGCCTGGGGTTGGGTAGACCTGCTGGGTGGCTAGACCCACAAGGGAGACAACAATCATTGCAGTTTGGCTCATAGGAAGCCACATCCACAGAAAGAAAAGGAGAGAGCATTACATCAAGGGAACACCCCATAGGACAGAAGAATCTGAACAACAGCCTTCAGCCT
The DNA here is from genome assembly GCF_000001405.40 of Homo sapiens. Taxonomy (NCBI): domain Eukaryota; kingdom Metazoa; phylum Chordata; class Mammalia; order Primates; family Hominidae; genus Homo; species Homo sapiens. Next base: position 56,366,636 of record NC_000023.11, on the reverse strand, counting down.
TAGACCTTCCCTCTGATACAGGCTTCCCAAATGAGAAGAAACCAGAAAACCAGCCCTGGTAATATGACAAAGCAAGGCTCTTCAACACCTCCCCAAAATCACACTAGCACAAGTTAAAAAGCAAAATCAAAACAACAACAACAAAAAGTACTCAAGCAACAAAGAGCATGATGAATGCAACAGTACCTCACATTTCAATACTAATGTTGAATGTAAATGTTTTAAATGCACCACTTAAAAGATACAGAACAGAAGGATTAATAAGAACTCACCAACTAACTGTCTGCTGCTTTCAGGATACTCACCTAACACATAAGGACTCACATAAACTTAAAGTAAAGGGGTGAAAAAAAGGCATTTCATACAAATGGACACCAAAAGCTAGCAGGAATAACTATTCTTATATCAGGAAAAACAAACCTTAAAGCAACAGCAGTTAAAAGAGACAAAGAGGGACATTATATAATGGTAAAAGGCCTTGTCCAACAGGAAAATATCACAACCCTAAACATATATGCACCTAATACTGGAGCTCCCAAATTTATAAAACAATTACTAATAGATCTAAGAAAAGAAATAGACAACAACACAATAATAGTAGGAAACTTCAATACTCTGCTAACAGCACTAGACAGGTCATCAAGACAGAAAGTCATCAAAGAAACAATAGATTTAAACTACACCTTGGAATAAATGGGCTTAACAGATGTGTACAGAACATTTCACCCAACAACAGCAGAATATACATTCTATTCAACAGTGCCTGGAACTTTCCCTAAGACAGACCATGTAATAGGCCATAAAGCAAGCCTCAATAAATTTAAGAAAATTGAAATTACATTAAGCACTCTCTCAGACCACAATGGAATAGAACTGGAAATCAGCTCCATAAGGAACCTTCAAAACCATGAAAATACATGGAAAATAAATAACCTGCTCCTGAATGACCACTAAGTCAAAAACGAAATCAAGATGGAAATTAAAACATTCTTTGAACTAAATGACAATGAAGACACAATGTATCAAAATCTCTAGGATAAGCAAAAGCTAAGAGGAAAGTTCAGAGCCTTAAATGCCTATATCAGAAAGTCTGAAAGAGCACAAACAGACAATCTAAGGTCACACTTCAAGGAACTAGAGAAACAAAAACAAACCAAACCCAAACCCAGCAGAAGAAAGGAAATAACCAAGATCAAAGCAGAACTAAAAGAAATTGAAACAAAAAATACAATACAAAAGATAAATGAAACAAAAAGCTAGTTCTCTGAAAGATAAATAAAATTGATAGATCGTTAGCAAGATTAACCAAGAAAAAAGAAAGAAACCCAAATAACCTCACTAAGAAATGAAACAGGAGCTATTACAACTGACGCCACTGAAATATAGAACATCATTCAAGGCTACTATAAACACCTTTATGCACATAAACTAGAAGACCTAGAAGAGATGGATAAATTCTTGGAAAAATACAACCTTCCTAGCTTAAGTCAGGAAGAATTAGATACCCTAAACAGACCAATAAAAAGCAGCAAGATTGAAATGGTAATTAAAAAATTACCAACAAAAAAAGTCCAGGACCTGACAGATTCACAGCAGAATTCTACCAGACATTCAAAGAATTGGTACCAATCCTTTTGACACTATTCCACAAGATAGAAAAAGAAGGAACATTCCCTAATTCATTCTATGAAACCAGTATCACCCTAATGCCAAAACCAGAAAAGGACACCACCAAAAAAGAAAACTACAGACTGATATTCTTGATGAACACAGATGCTAAAATCCTTAACAAAATACTAGCTAACCAAATTCAATAGCATATCAAAAAGATAATCCACCATGATAAAGTGAGTTTCATACAAGGGATGTAGAAATTGTTTAACAAGTCAATAAATGTGATTCATCACATAAACAGAATTAAAAATGAAAATCACACAATTATCTCAGTAGATGCAGAAAAAGCATTCGACAAAATCCAGCATTGGTTTGTAATTAAAACTATCAGCAAAATCAGCATAGAAGGGACATACATTGATGTAATAAAAGCTATCTATGACAAACCCACAGACAACGTAATACTTAATCAGGAAAAGTTGAAAGCATTCCCTCTGAGAATGGGAACAAGACAAGGATGCCCACTCTCACCACTCCTCTTCAACATAGTACTGGAAGTCCTAGCCAGAGCAATCAGACAAGAGAAAGAAATAAAGGGCATCTAAATCAGTAAAGAGGAAGTCAAACTGTCACTGCTGATGATATGACCGTTTACCTTGAAAATCTTAAGGACACCTCCAGAAAGCTCCTAGAACTGATCAAAGAATTCAGCAGTTTAATTAATGTACACAAATCAGTAGCTTTTCTATACACCAACAGCAACCAAGCCGAGAATCAAATCAAGAACTCAACCCCTTTTACAATAGCTGCAAAAAAAAAAAAAAAACTACTTAGGAATATACCTAACAAAGGAGTCGAAAGACCTCTACAAGGAAAACTTCATAACACTGCTGAAAGTTATCATAGATGACAGAAACAAATGGAAACACATCCCGTGCCCATGGATGGGTAGAATCAATATTGTGAAAATGACCATGCTGCCAAAAGCAATCCAGAAATTCAATACAATCCTCATCAAAATATCCCCATCATTCTGCACAGAATTAGAAAAAACTATTCTAAAATTCATCTGGAACAAAAAAAAAGAGCCTGCATAGCCAAAGCAAGACTAAGCAAAAAGAACAAATCTGGAGGCCTCACACTACTATACTATAGTATAGTAGCATCCAAACTATACTATAGGGCCATAGTCACACAAACAGCATGGTACTGATATAAAAATAGGCACATAGACCAATGGAACAGAATAGAGAACCCCAAAATAAAGCCTAGTACTTACAGCTAACTGATCTTCGACAAAGCAAACAAAAAACATAAAGTGGGGAAAGGACACCCTTTTCAACAAATGGTGCTGAGATAATTGGCAAGCTACATGTAGGAGAATAAAACTGGATCCTCATCTCTCATCTTATACAAAAACCAACTCAAGATGGATTAAGAACTTAACCCTAAGAACGGAAACCATAAAAATTCTAGAAGATAACATTGGAAAAACCCTTGTAGACATTGGCTTAAGCAAGGATTTCACGACCAAGAATCCAAAAGCAAATGTAATAAAATCAAAGATAAATAGCTGGGGCGTAATTGAACTAAAGAGTTTTGCATGACAAAAGGAACAGTCAGCAGAGTAAACAGACAACCTACAGAGTGGGAGGAAATCTTCACAATCTATACATCTGACAAAGGACTAATATCTGGAATATACAACAAACTTAAATCAGTAAGAAAAAAAAATTCAAACAATCCCATTAAAAAGTGGACTAAGGACTTGAACAGACAATTCTCAAAAGGACATATACAATTGGCCAACAAACATATGAAAAAATGCTCAACATCACTAATGATGAAGAAAATGCAAATCAAAACCACAATGTGATACCATCTTAGTCCTGCAAGAATGGCCATAATCAAACAATTAGAAAACAGTAAATGTTGACATGGATGTGGTGAAAAAGGAACTCTTCTACACTACTGGTGGTAATATAAACTAATACAACCACTATGGAAAACAGTGTGGAGATTTCTTAAAGAACTAAAGGTAGAACTACCATTTGATCCAGCAATCCCACTTCTGGGTATCTACCCAGAGGAAAAGAAGTCATTATTTGAAAAAGACCCTTGCACATGCATGTTTATAGAAGCACAATTCACAAGTGCAAAATCGTGGAACCAACCCAAATGCGCATCAATCAATGAGTGGATAAAGAAACTGTGATATATGTATATATGTGTGTGTGTGTGTGTGTGTGTATGACGGAATACTACTCAGCCATAAAAAGCAATGAATTAATCACATTCGCAGCAACCTGTATGAGATTGTAGACTATTATGCTAAGTGAAGTAACTCAGGAATGGAAAACCAAACATCGTATTTTCTCACTTATAAGTGGGAGCTAAGCCATGATGATGCAAAGGCATAAGAATGATACAATGGACTTTGGGTACTCAGGGGAAAGTGTGGGAGGGTGGTGAGGAATAAAAGACTACAAATATGATGCAGTGTATACTGCTCTAGTGATGGGTGTACTGAAATCTCAGAAATCACCACTAAATAACTTATTCATGTCAGCTAATATCACCCATTCCCCAAAAACCTATGGAAATAAAAAATTTTTTAAATGAATTCACAAATATTTTGTTTTATGTTTAAATAATAATAATTATATATACTTCTGTAAACTGGATGCCCACAATGATGAACAAAACTTGAGTATTAAAAAATAAAAAAATAGAATAATGAATAATACCACTTTTTGAGGTATATTGGCATATAGAAATGTGTACATATGTGTTTGGGATAAGCACACACGCTTAAAACCATTACCACCATCAAAACCATAAACATGTCTATCACCTCTCCATGTTTTCTTTTGCCCCTATTATTATTATTATTATTACCATCATCATCATTAGTTTTGTGGTAAGAACACTTAACATAAGATCTGCCTTCCTAACAAATTGTCAATATACAATACAGTGTTGTTAGTTATAGGTATTATGCTATCTAGTAGATCTCCAGAACTTATTTATCTTTCATAATTGAAACTTCATAACCTTTAACCATAACCCACCATTTTCTTCTCCACCACGCCCATGCAACCACTTTTCTACTCTCTCCTTCTGTGAGTTTGATTATTTTAGATTACACATATAAGAGACATCACACAGTATTTGTCTTTGCATGACTGGCTTATTTTACTTAGCATAATGCCCTCCAGGCCCATCTATGTTATCATAAATTTCAGAATTTTCACCTTTAAAGCCTGACTATTATTCCACTGCGTGCATACTACAGTTATTTTATCCATTCATCTATAGATGGAAATTTAAGTTGTTTCCCCATCTTGGCTATTGTGAATTATGAATAATGCTGCAATGATCAGGAGAGTGCAGACATCTTTTTGAGATTCTGATTTTAGTTTTTGCATATATACCAAGAAGTGGAATTGCTAGATCATATGGTAGTTATGTTTTTAATTTTTAAATTAATATTTTTTCGGCTCAACAAATCATAATTTTATGTATTTATGAGGTACAATATGTCTTGAGATATGTACACAATGCAGAATGATTACATCAAGCAAATTAACATATCCATCACTTCACTTATCTATCAGTTTTTATGGTGTATGAAATGTATCTTAATTATTTTGAATTATACAATACACTACCATTGACTATAGTCATCCTGCTGTGCAAGTGACCTTATAACTTATTCCTATCTGAAATTTTGTATTCTTTTTTTGAGGAACCAACGTACTGTTTTCCACAATAGCTGTACCAATTTACATTCCAAACTGTGTACCATGGTTCCTTTTCTCCACATCCTCATCAACATATTTTATTTCTTGTATTTTTGATAATAACCAATCTTAAAGATGTGAATTTTTATTTCACTATGGTTTGAAGTTGTATTTTCCCAGCAATTAGTAATGTTGAGCACCTTTTCTTATACCTGTTGGCCATTTGCATATCTTCTTTCATGACATGTCTATTTGGATTCTATGCCAATTTGTAAGTTGGTTTACTTGTTATTTACATTTTTGCTATTGAGTTGATTTCCGTATATACTGTGGATACTAATCCCTTATCAGATATATGGTTTGCAAATATTTTGTCTCATTCTGCAGGTTGTCTCTTTATTCTGTTGTTTCCTTTGCTGTGCAATAGAGTTTTAGTTTGATGGAGTCCCACTTGACTATATTTGCTATTGTTGCCTCTGCTTTTAGTGTCATATCCAAAAACTCATTGCCAAGATCAGTGTCAAGGAGCTTATTCCTATGTTTTCTTCTAGAAATTTTACGGTTTAAGTCATATATTTAAGCCATAAATCCATGTTTAGTTGATCTTAGTATATGGTGTAAGACAGAGGCCCAATTTTATACTTTTGCATGAGGATATCCACTTTTCCCAACAACATGTATTGATGAGATTATCATTTCCCCATTGTGTATTTTGGCATTGTTAAATATTGATTAACCATATATGTGTGGGTTTATTTCTTGTCTCTCTATCGTGTTCCATTGGTCTATGTGTCTGTTTTTATGCCAGTACCATACTGTTTTGTTTACTATAGCTGTGTAATATAATCTGAAATCAGATATAATTGTCTCCAGCTTTGATTTTTCTTGCTCATGATTGCTCTAGCTATGTGAAATATTTTGTGATTCAATTTGAATTTGCTTTAACTCTTCAACTGCGGTACTGTGCCAGAGTTTGAACCTGGTAGTTCACACTCACTTTTCAGGAACATGGATCTGAAGTTCTAAGTTATAAAATATGATGGGCTCACATTCTCAAAGCCCAATAGCTGTATATTCAGTCAACAAACATTTTGTGAATGTCTACTAAATGACAGGCACTGTTCTATGCAAGAGAAATATAGCATTTAAAAAGACATAAATCTTTGTTCTCAAAAAGCTTCTATTTTAGTATTTGGGGGAGAAAGACAATAAAAAATTGGTAAAGATATAATATATCAAATGATTATAAGTTCTGCAAAGAAAAATAAAACATTAAGATTATAGAGAAGGATAGTAAGATACAAATGTTTGATATAGAATTATCAATATTGAGGATGTTACAAGGAGTCAGACCACAGAAGGTCTGTGGGCCATGGTGAGGACTCTGGTGTTTACTGTGAGTAAAGGGGAAAGCTGTCAGAGACTTTTGAGCAGAATAGCAACACAAACTGAGATTTTAATAAAGTCACTCTGGTTAATACAGTCACTCTGATTTTAATACAGACACTCTGAAGTGTCACCTAAACCTATATTACAATGTAGGGGCCCAAAGGAAAACTGCAGGTACTACAGTTGAGAGGTTATTGCAGTAATACAGGTGAAGGATGATGGTTTGTACTGTAATTGAACTCTCCATAATAACTTTTAAATGACTGAAACAGTATAACTGGATTATTTGTAACACAAAGGATAAATGCTTGAGGAATGGGTACCCTACACATTACATACCTGCATCAAAATATCTAATGTACCCCATAAATATATATGCCTATTATGTACCCACAAAAATTAAAATTAAAAATTAAAAAAACTTGTGAGGTATGGATGCTGCCCAGAATAGGGATATTCCTTTTCTTTAATGGATAATTACAACTGATAAGTGTTTCATTATCCATAAACATAATTTTTTCTTTAGTTATTAGCAAGTCTTGGTTTTTCTTTGCATTGTAAAGTGGGAAAAGTTGCTGGAAAGAAAAGTTCCTGTTGCCAAAGTAAGTTACAAATTGGCAATATTTATAACATCCAGCCTTATCTCAGAAACAAGCTCTTCTTCCAGGCTCTCTCTTGTGTGAAGACAATGTTAATGAGCTCCATTTCTTTGCAGTGCCACTTAAACCTGTATAAAGCCTCTCAGATTTATGATTGCTTTAAAGAGAAATAAAATTGCAGAATTAAAGGAACATAAGAACACTTGCATTCAAATGCTCTGATGTTCACTAGGTGTCTAAACTTGGGTAAATTACTTAACTTTTCTGAGCGTCAGTTTTCTCATCTGTAAAACGGGGTTGCATAGTTTTGTTTTTCCCTAGGGACTATTTTTTTTCCAGGACTAAGCAAGTTAGATGTGTATAGCACTTAGCTTAGTACCTGGTACACAGTACTTAACCTGCTCCCAAAAAAAAAAGCCCTTATTCCATCAACTCCACAAAATCTGTCCCCTTCATCACTGTCATTTAAGTGAACATTTAATCCACCCAGAAACTCAAATTAAAAACTCAGATATGCCTGGGGAGCCAAGATGGTGGAACAGAAACAGCTCCAGTTTACAGCTCCCAGCATGGGCAAAGCAGAAGATGAATGATTTCTGCATTTCTAACTGAGATACCAGGTTCATCTTACTGGGGATTGTCATACAGTGGGAGAAGGACAGTGGGTGCAGTGCACCAAGCATGAGACAAAGCAGGGCGAGGCATCACCTGACTCGGGAAGTGCAAGGGGTCAGGGAATTCCCTTTCCTAGCCAAGGAAAGGGGTGACAGACAGCACCTAGAAAATTGGGTCACTCCCACCCTAATATGGCACTTTTCCAATGGTCTTAGCAAACGGCACACCAGGAGATTATATCCCACACATGGCTCAGAGGGTCCTATGCCCACGGAGCCTTGCTCATTGCTAGCACAGCAGTCTGAGAACAAACTGCAAGGTGGCAGCAAGGCTGGGGGAGGGGCGCCCACCACTGTCAAGGATTGAGTAGGTAAACAAAGCAGCCAGGAGGCTCGAGCTGGGTGGAGCCCACTGCAGCTCAAGGAGGCCTGACTGCCTCTGTAGACTCCACATCTGGTGGCATGGCATAGCAAAACAAAAGGCAGCAGAAACCTCTGCAGACTTAAATGTCCCTGTCTGACAGCTTTGAAGAGAGTAGTGGTTCTCCCAGCATACAGCTTGAGATCTGAGAACAGACAGACTGCCTCCTCAAGTGGGTCCCTGACGCCCAAGTACCCTAAGTGGGAGGCACCGCACAGTAGGGGCAGACTGACACCTCACATGGCCAGGTATTCCTCTGAGACAAAACTTCCAGAGGAATGATCAGGCAGCAACATTTGCAGTTGACCAATATCTGCTGTTCTGCAGACCCGTCTGCAGACACCCAGGCAAACAGAGTCAGTAGTGGACCCCCAGCAAACTCCAACAGACCTGCAGCTGAGGGTGCTGACTATTAGAAGGAAAACTAACAAACAGAAAGGACATTCACACCAAAACCCCATCTGTATCTCACCATCATCAAAGACCAAAGGTAGATAAAGCCACAAACATGGGGAAAAAACAGAGCAGAAAAACTGAAAATTCTAAAAATCAGAGCGCCACTCCTCCTCCAAAGGAATGCAGCTCCTCACCAGCAATGGAACAAAGCTGTATGGAGAATGACTTTGACAAGTTGAGAGAAGAAGTCTTCAGACAAATCAAACTATTCAGCGCTAGAGGAGGTAGTTCGAACCCATGGCAAAGAAGTTAAAAACCTTGAAAAAAAATTAGACGAATGGCTAACTAGAATAACCAATGCAGATAAGTCCTTAAAGGACATGATGGAGCTGAAAACCACGGCACCAGAACTACATGATGAATACACAAGCCTCAGTAACCGATGTGATCAACCTGAAGAAAGGGGATCAGCGACGGAAGATGAAATGAATGAAATGAAGCATGAAGAGGAGCTTAGAGAAAAAAGAATAAAAAGAAACAAACAAAGCCTCCAAGAAATATGGGACTATGTGAAAAGACCAAATCTACGTCTGACTGGTGTACCTGAAAGTGACGGGGAGAATGGAACCAAGTTGGAAAACACTCTGCAGGATATTATACAGGAGAACTTCCCCAATCTAGCAAGGCAGGCCAACATTCAAATTCAGGAACAACATTCAAATTCAGAGAATGCCACAAAGATATTTCTCGAGAAGAGCAACTCGAAGACACATAATTGTCAGATTCACCAAAGTTGAAATGAAGGAAAAAATGTTAAGGGCAGCCAGAGAGAAATGTCGAGTTACCCACAAAGGGAAGCCCATCAGACTAACAGCGGATCTCTTGGCAAAAACTCTACAAGCCAGAAGAGAGTGGGGACCAATACTCAACATTCTTAAAGGAAAGAATTTTCAACCCAGAATTTCATATCCAGCCAAACTAAGCTTCAGAAGTGAAGGAGAAATAAAATCCATTACAGAAAAGCAAATGCTGAGAGATTTTGTCACCACCAGGCCTGCCCTATAAGAGCTCCTGAAGGAAGCACTAAACATGGAAAGGAAACAGTGCTACCAGCCACTGCAAAAACATGCCAAATTGTAAAGACCATTGAGGCTAGGAAGAAACTGCATCAACTAAAGAGCAAAATAGCCAGCTAACATCATAAAGACAGGATCAAATTCACACATAACAATATTAACCTTAAATGTAAATGGGCTAAATGCTCCAATTAAAAGACACAGATGGGCAAATTGGATAAAGAGTCAAACTCATCAGTGTGCTGTATTCAGGAAACCCATCACATGTGCAGAGACACACATAGGCTCAAAATAAAGGGATGGAGGAAGATCTACCAAGCAAATGGAAAACAAAAAAAGGCAGGGGTTCAACACTAGTCTCTGATAAAACAGACTTTAAACGAACAAAGATCAAAAGACACAAAGAAGACCATTACACAATGATAAAGAGATCAATTCAACAAAAAGAGCTAACTATCCTAAATATATATGCACCCAATACAGGAGCACCCAAATTCATGAAGCAAGTCCTTAGAGACCTACAAAGAGACTTAGACTCCCACACAATAATAATGGGAAACTTTAACACCCCACTGTCAACATTAGACAGATCAACGAGACAGAAAGTTAACAAGGATATCCAGGAACTGAACTCAGCTCTGCACCAAGTGAACCTAATAGACATTTACAGAACTCTCTACCCTAAATCAACAAAATATACATTCTTCTCAGCACCACACCACACCTATTACAAAATTGACCACATAGTTGAAAGTAAAGCACTCCTCAGCAAATATAAAAGAACAGAAATTTAACAAACTGTCTCTCAGATCACAGTGCAATGAAACTAGAACTCAGGATTAAGAAACTCACTCAAAACCTCTCAACTACATGGAAACTGAACAACCTGCTCCGGAATGACTCTTGGGTACATAACAAAATGAAGGCAGAAATAAAGATGTTCTCTAAAACCAACGAGAACAAAGACACAACATACCAGAATCTCTGGGATACATTCAAAGCAGTGTGTAGAGGGAAATTTATAGCATTAAATGCCCACAAGAGAAAGCAGGAAAGATCTAAAATTGACACCTTAACATCACAATTAAAAGAACTAGAGAAGCAAAAGCAAACACATTCAAAAGCAAGCACAAGGCAAGAAATAACTAAGATAAGAGCAGAACTGAAGGAGCTAGAGATACAAAAACCCTTCAAAAATCAATGAATCCAGGAGCTGGTTTTCTGAAAAGATCAACAAAACTGATAGACAACCACAAGACTAATAAAGAAGAAAAGAGAGAAGAATCAAATAGATGCAATAAAAAATGATAAACAGGATATCACCACTAATTCCTCAGAAATACAAGCTGCCATCAGAGAACACTATAAACACCTCTATGCAAGTAAACTAGAAAATCTAGAAGAAATGGATGCATTCCTCGACACATACAGCCTCCCAAGACTAAATGAGGAAGAATTTGAATCTCTTGAATAGACCAAAAACAGGCTCTGAAATTGAGGCAATAATTAATAGACTACCAACCAAAAAAAGTCCAGGACCAGATGGATTCACAGCCAAATTCTACCAGAGGTACAAAGAGGAGCTGGTACCATTCCTTCTGAAACTATTCCAATCAATAGAAAAAGAGGGAATCCTCCCTAACTCATTTTATGAGGCCAGCATCATCCTGATACCAAAGATTGGCAGAGACACAACAAAAAAAACAGAATTTTAGACCAATATCCCTGATGATCATTGATGCAAAAATCCTCAATAAAATACTGGCAAACCGAATCCAGCAGCACATAAAAGAGCTTATCCACCATCATCAAGTGGGCTTCATCCCTGGGGTGCAAGGCTGGTTCAACATATGCAAATCGATAAATGTAATCCAACATATAAACAGAACCAATGACCAAAACCACATGATTATCTCAATAGATTCAGAAAAGGCCGTTGACAAAATTCAACAACACTTCATGCTAAAAACTCTCAATAAATTAGGTATTGATGGGATGTATCTCAAAATAATAAGAGATATCTATGACAAACCCACAGCCAATATCATACTGAAAGGGCAAAAACTGGAAGCATTCCCTTTGAAAACTGGCACAAGACAGGGATGCCCTCTTTCACCACTCCTATTCAACATAGTGTTGGAAGTTCTGGGCACGCCAATCAGGAAGGAGAAGGAAATAATGGGTATTCAGTTAGGAAAAGAGGAAGTCAAATTGTCCCTGTTTGCAGAAGACATGATTATATATCTAGGAAAACCCTTTGTCTCAACCCAAAATCTCCTTAAGCTGATAGGCAACTTCAGCAAAGTCTCAGGACACAAAATCAATGTGCAAAAATCCCAAGCATTCTTATACACCAATAACAGACAAACAGAGAGCCAAATCATGAGTGAATTCTCATTCACAATTGCTTCAAAGAGAATAAAATACCTAGGAATCCAACTTATAAGGGATGTGAAAAATCTCTTCAAGGAGAACTTCAAACCACTGTTCAATGAAATAAAAGAGGATACTAACAAATGGAAGAACATTCTATGCTCGTGGGTAGGAAGAATCAATATCGTGAAAATGGCCATACTGCCCAAGGTAATTTATAGATTCAATGCCATCCCCATCAAGCTACCAATGACTTTCTTCACAGAATTGGAAAAAACTACTTTAAAGTTCATATGGAACCAAAAAAGAGTCCGCATTGCCAAGTCAATCCTAAGCCAAAAGAACAAAGCTGGAGGCATCACTCTACCAGGCTTCAAACTATACTACAAGGCTACAGTAACCAAAACAGCATGGTACTGGTACCAAAACAGAGATATAGATCAATGGAACAGAACAGAGCCCTCAGAAAGAACGCCGCATATCTACAACTATCTGATCTTTGACAAACCTGACAAAAACAAGAAATGGGGAAAGGATTCTCTATTTAATAAATGGTTCTGGGAAAACTGGCTAGCCGTATGTAGAAAGCTGAAACTGGATCCCTTCCTTACACCTTATACAAAAATTAATTCAAGATGGATTAAAGACTTAAATGCTAGACCTAAAACCAGAAAAACCCTAGAAGAAAACCTAGGCAATACCATTCAGAAGATCGGTATGGGCAAGGACTTCATGACTAAAACACCAAAAGCAATGGCAAGAAAAGCCAAAATTGACAAATGGGATCTAATTAAACTAAAGAGCTTCTGCACAGCAAAAGAAACTACCATCAGAGTGAACAGGCAACCTACAGAATGGGAGAAAATTTTTGCAGTCTACTCATCTGACAAAAGGCTAATATCCAGAATCTATAATGAACTCCAACAAATTTACAAGAAAAATCAAATAACCCTGTCAAAAAGGGGGCAAAGGATATGAACAGACACTTCTCAAAAGAAGACATTTATGCAGCCAAAAGACACATGAAAAAATGCTCATCATCACTGGCCATCAAAGAAATGCAAATCAAAACCACAATGAGATACCATCTCATAACTGTTAGAATGGCAATCATTAAAAAGTCAGGAAACAACAGGTGCTGGAGAGGATGTGGAGAAATAGGAACACTTTTACACTGTTGGTGGGATTGTAAACTAGTTCATCCATTTTGGAAATCCATGTGACGATTCCTCAGGGATCTAGAACTAGAAATACCATTTGACCCAGCCATCCCATTACTGGGTATCTACCCAAAGGATTATAAATCATGCTGCTATAAAGACACATGCATGCGTATGTTGATTGTGGCACTATTCACAATAGCAAAGACTTGGAACCAACCCAAATGTCCAACAATGATAGACTGGGTTAAGAAGGTGTGGCACAAATACACCATGGAATACTATGCAGCCATAAAACATGATGAGTTCATGTCCTTTGTAGAGACATGGCTGAAGCTGGAAACCATCATTCTCAGCAAACTATCGCAAGGACCAAAAACCAAACACCGCATGTTCTCACTCATAGGTGGGAATTGAACTATGAGAACACACGGACACAGGAAGGGGAACATCATACACTGGGGACTGTTGTGGGGTGCGGGGGGGCACGGATAGCATTAGGAGATATACCTAATGCTAAATGATGAGTTAATGGGTGCAGCACACCATCATGGCACATGTATACATATGTAACAAACCTGCATGTTGTGCACATGTACCCTAAAACTTAAAGTATAATAAAAAAAATAAAATATATTTTATAAGAAAGAAAAAATGATAGTCATAGAAAAATAAAAAAAGAAAAAGGAAACTTTTATTAAAAAAACTCAGCAAAATACTATGCAGCCTTAAAAAATGATGAGTTGATGTCCTTTGTAGGGATATGGATGAAATTGGAAATCATCATTCTCAGTAAACTATCACAAGAACAAAAAACCAAACACCGCATTTTCTCACTCATAGGTGGGAATTGAACAATGAGATCACATGGACACAGGAAGGGGAACATCACACTCTGGGGCCTATTGTGGGGTGGGAGGAGGGGGGAGGGATAGCATTGGGAGATATACCTAATGCTAGATGACGAGTTAGTGGGTGCAGCACACCAGCATGGCACATGTATACGTATGTAACTAACCTGCACAATGTGCACATGTACCCTAAAACTTAAAGTATAATAAAAAAATCTACTTTATTTAAAAATTTATTATTTTCTCCACCTCCACTTCCTTCATTCTTCCTACATTTTTCAAGACTACCATCAGCTCTTACCTGAATAACTACAACAGTTTCTTCTTTTGTATCTCTGCTTCCACCTTTATTTCCTTTCAGTTCAGCATCTGGAATATTCCTTTGAAAACATAAACCAGATGATACATTTTCAGTACTTAGAACCATCCAGAGGCTTCCATAACACTCAGAATAAGAGCTTACATTTTTAAAGTAACCTACGAAGCCCCATTTCTTATGGTCTCATCCTAGTTTTCTGACTTCAACTCCTAACTCTTTTACTGTCACTCATTACACTCCAGTTAAATTGCTCTTCTTTCTATTCTTTGAAGACAAAGATGGTTCCTCACTTAGGGTTATTGTACTTGTGTTTCTGCTGTCTGGACTGTTATCTCCCAGATGTTTGCAATTCACTTTCCTTCATTTTTTTAAGCCTCAGTTTAAACCTCCTCTCCTTAGGATAAGGAATCATCAGAGAATCATATAAACACCTCTACGCAAATAAACTAGAAAATCTAGAAGAAATGGATAAATTCCTCGACACATACACACTACCAACCAAAAGAAGTCCAAGACCAGATGGATTCACAGCTGAATTCTACCAGAGTTATAAAGAGGAGCTGGTACCATTCCTTCTGAAACTATTCCAATCAATAGAAAAAGAGGGAATCCTCCCTAACTCATTTTATGATGCCAACATAATCCTGATACCAAAGCCTGGCAGAGACACAACAAAAAAAGAGAATTTCAGACCACTATCCCTGATGAACATCGATGCAAAAATCCTCAATAAAATACTGGCAAACCAAATCCAGCAGTACATCAAAAACCTTAGCCAACACGAACAGGTGGGCTTCATCTCTGGGATGCAAGACTGGTTCAACATATGCAAATCAATAAATGTAATCCATCACATAAACAGAACCAAAGACAAAAATCACATGATTATCTCAACAGATGCAGAAAAGGCTTTTGACAAAATTCAACAGCCTTCATGCTAAAAACTGTCAATAAGCTAGGTATTGAGGGACATATCTCAAAATAATAAGAGCAATTTATAACAAACCCACAGCCAATGTCATACTGAATGGGCAAAAACTGGAAGCATTCCCTTTGAAAACTGGCACAAGTCAGGGATACCCTGTCTCACCACTCCTATTCAACATAGTGTTGGAAGTTCTGGCCAGGGCAATCAGGCAAGAGAAAGAAATAAAGGGTTTTCAATTAGGAAAAGAGGAAGTCAAATTGTCCCTGTTTGAAGATGACATGATTGTATATTTAGAAAACCCCATTGTCTCAGCCCAAAATCTCCTTAAGCTAATAAGCAACTTCAGCAAAGTCTCAGGATACAAAATCAATGTGCAAAAATCACAAGCATTCCTATACACCATTAACAGACAGAGAGCGAAATCATAAGTGAACTCCGATTCACAATTGCTACAAAGAGAATAAAATACCCAGGAATACAACTTACAATGGATGTGAAGGACCTCTTCAAGAAGAACTACAAATCACTGCTCAACGAAATAAAAGAAGACAGAAACAAATGGAAGACCATTCCATCCTCATAGATAGGAAGAATCAATATCGTGAAAATCGCCATATTGCCCAAGGTTATTTATAGATTCAATTCCATCCCCATGAAGATACCAAAGACTTTCTTCAGAGAATTGGAAAAAACTCCTTTAAATTTCATATGGAACCAAAAAAGAGCCCACATAGCCAAGACAATCCTAAGCAAAAAGAACAAAGCTGGAGGCATCACACTACCTGACTTCAAACTATACTACAAGGCTACAGTAACCAAAACAGCATGGTACTGGTACCAAAACAGAGATATAGATCAATGGAACAGAACAGAGGCCTCACAAATAACACCACACATCTACAACCATCTGATCTTTGACAAACCTGACAAAAACAAGAAATGGGGAAATGATTTCCTATTTAATAAATGGTTCTGGGAAAACTGGCTAGCCATATGTAGAAAGCAGAAACTGGATCCCTTCCTTACACCTTATACAAAAATCAATTCAAGATGGATTAAAGACTTAAATGTAAGACTTAAAAGCTTAAAAACCTAGGCAATATCATTCAGGACATAGGCATGGGCAAAGACTTCATGACTAAAATGCCAAAAGCAATGGTAACAAAAGCAAAAATAGACAAATGGGATCTAATTAAACTAAAGAGTTTCTGCAAAGCAAAAGAAACTATCATCAAAACAGGCAAACTATAGAATGAGAGAAATTTTTTGCAATCTACCCATCTGACAAAGGGCTAATATCCAGAATCTACAAAAAACTTTAACAAATTTACAAGAAAAAAAAAACAAACCCCTCAAAAAGTGGGCAAAGGATATGAACAGACACTTCTCAAAAGAAGATATTTATGCAGCCAACAGACATATGAAAAAATGCTTATCATCACTGGTCATCAGAGAAATGCAAATCAAAAGCACAATGAGATAGCATTTCACATCAGTTGGAATGGCAATGATTAAAAAGTCAGGAAACAACAGGTGCTGGAGAGGATGTGGAGAAATAGGAACATTTTTAAACTGCTGGTGGGACTGGAAACTAGTTCAACCATTGTGGAAGTCAGTGTGGTGATTCCTCAGGGATGTAGAACTAGAAATACCATTTGACCCAGCCATCCCATTACTGGGTATATACCCAAAGGATTATAAATCATGCTGCTGCAAAGACACATACACACGTATGTTTATTGTGGCACTATTCACAATAGCAAAGACTTGGAACCAACCTGAATGTTCATCAATGATAGACTGGATTAAGAAAATGTGGCACCTATACACCATGGAATACTATGCAGCCACAAAAAAGGATGAGCTCATGTCCTTTGTAGGGACATGGATGCAGCTGGAAACCATAATTCTGAGCAAACTATGGCAAGGACAGAAAACCAAACACTGTATGTTCTCATTCATAGTTGGGAATTGAACAATGAGAACACTTGGACACAGGAAGGGGAACATCACATACGGGGGCCTGTTGTGGGGTGGGACGGGGGGAGGGATATCATTAGGAGATGTACCTAATGTCAATGATGAGTTAATGGGTGTAGCACACCAACATGGCACATGTATACATAAGTAACAAACCTGCATGTTGTGCACATGTACCCTAGAACTTAAAGTATAATAAATAAATAAATAAATAAATAAATAAATAAATAAATATAAAAAGCCAGAAACAACAGATGCTGGAGAGGATATGGAGAAATAGGAATGCTTTTACACTGTTGGTGGGAGTGTAAATTAGGTCAACCATTGTGGAAGACAGTGTGGTGATTCCTCAAGGATCCAGAACTAGAAATACCATTTGACCTAGCAATCCCTTTACTGAGTATATACCCAAAGGATTATAAATCATGCTATTATAAAGACACATGCAGACGTATTTTTATTTTGGCACTATTCACAATAGCAAAGACTTGGAACCAACCCAAACATCCATCAATGATAGACTGGATTAAGAAAATTTGGCATATATACACTATGGAATACTATGCAGCCATTAAAAAAGGATGAGTTCATGTCCTTTGTAGGGACATGGATGAAGCTGAAAACCTTCGTTCTCAGCAAACTATCACAAGGACAGAAAACCAAACACTACATGTTCTCACTCATGGGTGGGAATTGAACAATGAGAACACTTGGACACAGGAAGGGGAGCATCACACACACCGGGGCCTGTTGTGGGGTGGGGGGAGGGGGGAGGGATAAGATTAGGAGAAATATCTAATGTTAATGACCAGCTGATGGGTGCAGCAAACCAACATGGCACATGTATACCTATGTAACAAACCTGAACATTGTGCACATGTACCCTAGAACTTACAGTATAATAAAAAAAAGAAAAAAATGTGGCACATATACACCATGGAATGCTATGCAGCCATTAAAAAGGATGAGTTAATATCCTTTGCAGGGACATGAATGAAGCTGTAAACCATCGTTCTCAGCAAACGATCACAAGGACAGACAACCAAACACCACATGTTCTCATTTATAGGGGGAATTTGAACAATGAGAACACATGGACACAGGGTGGGGAACATCACACACTGGGGCCTGTTGGGGGGAGGGGGTCTGGGGGAGGGATAACATTAGTAGAAATACCTAATGTAAATGTCAATTTGATGGGTGCAGCAAACCAACATGGCACATGTATACCTATGTAACAAACCTGCATGTTGTGCCTATGTACCCTAGAACTTAAAGTATAATTAAAAGAAGAAAGAAAGAAATTTCCACACTGTTTTCCATAGTGGTTGTACTGGTTTACATTCCCACCAGCAGAGTAGAAGAGTTCCTTTTTCACCACATCCACGCCAACATCCACTGTTTTCTGAGTTTTTTATTATGGCCATTCTTGCTGGACTAAGGTGGTATCACATTGTGGTTTTGATTTGCATTTCCTCAATCATTAGGGAGGTTGAACATTTTTTCATATATTTGTTAGCCAATTGTATATATTATTTTGAGAATTTTCTGTTTATGTCCTTTGTCGAGTTTTTGATGGGATTTTTTTTTCTTACTGATTTGTTTGAGTTCATTGTAGATTCCAGCTATCAGTCCTTTGTCAGATGTATAGATTGTGAAGATTTTCTCCTATTCTCTGGGTTGTCTGTTTACTCTGCTTACTATTCCTTTTGCCGTGCAAAAGCTCCTTAGTTTAATTAAGTCCCAACTGCTTATCTTTGTTTTTATTGTATTTGTTTTGGGGTTCTTGGTCATGAAATCCTTGCCTCAGCCAATGCCTCGAAGGGTTTTTCCAATGTTATCTTCTACAATTTGTATAGTTTCAGGACTTAGATTTAAGTTCTTAATCCATCTTGAGTTGCTTTTTCTATACAGTGAGAGATGAGGATCCAGTTTCATTCTCCTACGTGTGGCTAGCCAATTATCTCAGCATCATTTGTAGAAATGGTTGTCCTTTCCCGACTTTATGTTTCTGTTTGCTTCACCAAAGATGAAACTGTAAATATTTGGGTTTATTTCTGGGTTCTCTATTCTGTTCCATTGGTCTATGTCCCTATTTTTATACCAGTACCACACTGTTTTGGTGACTATGGCCTTATATTATAGTTTGAAATCAGGTAGTGTGTTGTCTCCAGATTTGTTCTTTTTGCTTAGTCTTGATTTGGCTATGTGGGCTCTTATTTTGGTTCCATATGAATTTTAGAAATGTTTTTTCTAATTCTGTGAAGAATGATGGTGGTATTTTAATGGGAATTGCATTGAATTTGTAGATTGCTTTTGGCAGTTTGGTCATTTTCACAATATTCATTCTACTCATCCATGAGCATGGGATGTGTTTCCATTTGTTTCTGTCATCTATGACTTCTTTCAGTAGGGTTTTGTAGTTTTCCTTGTAGAGGTATTTTGACTCCTTGGTTAAGTATATTCTTAAGTTATTGTTGTTGTTGTTTTGTTTTGTTTTTTGCAGCTATTGTAAAAGGAGTTGAGTTCTTGATTTGATTCTCTGTTTGATCGCTGTTGGGGTATAGAAGAGCTACTGATCTGTGTGCATTAATCTTTTATCAGGAAACTTTGCTGAATTCTTTGATCAGTTCTAGGAGCTTTCTGGAGGAGTCTTTAGGTTTTTCAAGGTAAACAGTCACATCATCAGCAAACTGTGACAGTTTGACTTCCTCTTTACTGATTTGGATTCCCTTTATTTCTTTCTCTTGTCTGCTTGCTCTGGCTAGGACTTCCAGTACTATGTTGAAGAGGAATGGTGAGAGTGGGCATCCGTATCTTATTCCCGTTATCAGAGAGAATGCTTTCAACTTTTCCTGATTAAGTATTAAGTTGACTGTGGGTTTATCATAGATGGTTTTTATTACATTGACGTATGTCCCTTGTATGCCGATTTTGCAGAGAGCTTTAATCATAAAGAAATGTTGGATTTTATTGAATGCTTTTTCTGCATCTATTGAGATGATCATGTGATTTTGTTTTTAATTCTGTTTTATCACATTTATTGACTTGCGTATGTTAAACCATCCCTGCATCCCTGGTTTGAAACCCACTTGATCATGGTGGACTATCTTTTTAATATATTGTTGGGTTTGGTTAGCTAGGATTTTTTTAAGGATTTTAATATCTATGTTCATCAAGGATATCAGTGTGTAGTTTTGTTTTATTTTGTTTTGTTTGTTGTTGTTTTGTTTTGTTGTTTTGTTATGTCCTTTCCTAGTTTTGATATTAGGGTAATGCTGGCTCATAGAATGAATTAGGGAGGGTGTCTTCTTTCGCTTTCTTGTAGAATAGTGTCAAAGGTTCGTACCAATACTTCTTTGAATGTCTGATAGAATTCTGCCATGAATCTGTCTGGTCCTGGACATTTTTTTGTTGGTAATTTCTTAATTACCATTTCAATCTCTCTGCCTATATTGGTCTGTTCAGGGTATTTAATTCTTGCTGATTTAAACTAGCAAGGTTGTATTTTTCCAGGAATTTATCCATCCCTTCTAGGTTTTCTAGTTTATGTGCATAAAGGTTTTCATAGTAGCCTTGATGATCTTTTGTATTTCAGTGGTTTCAGCTGTAATACCTCCTGTCTTGTTTTTTAGTGAAGTTATTTTGATTTTCTCTCTTCTTTTCTTGGTTCATCTTGCTAATGGCCTATCAATTATATTTATTTTTTCAAAGAACCAGCTTTTTGTTTCATTTATTTTTGTATTTTCTTTGTTTCAATCTCATTTAGTTCTGCTGTGATTTTGGTTATTTTCTTTCTTCTCTCTGGCTTGGGTTTGGTTTGTTCTTGTTTCTCTACTTCCCTGAGGTGTGACCTATAATGTCAGCTTTTGCTTTTTCAGTCTTTTTGATGTAGGCATTTAGGGCTATGAAGTTTCCTTTTAGCACCACCTTTGCTGTATCCCAGAGGTTTTGATAGGTTGTGTCATTATCGTCGTTCAGTTCAAAGAATTTTCCAATTTCCATCTTGATTTTGTTTTTGACCCAATGCTCATTTGGGAGCAGGTTATTTAATTTCATGTATTTGCATGGTTTTGAAGGTTTTTTTTGTAGGTGATTTCCAATTTTATTCCACTGTGGTCTCAGAGAGTGCTTGATATAATTTAAATTTTCTTAGATTTATTGAGGCTTGTTTTATGGATTATCATAGGGTCTATCTTGGAGAAAGTTCCATGTGCTCTTGAATAGAATATGTATCCTGCAGCTGTTGGATAAAATGTTCTGTATATATCTGTTAAGTCCATTTGTTCCAAGGTATGGTTTAAATCCATTGTTTCTTTGTTGACTTTCTGTCTTGATGTCCTGTTTAATGCTGTCAGTGGAGTATTGAAGTCCCCCACTATTATTGCGTTACCGTCTATCTCATTTCTTAGATCTGTTAGTAATTGTTTTATAAATTTGGAAGCTCCAGTGTTAGGTGTATATATGTTTAGGATTGTGATATTTTCCTGTTTGACCATGTCTTTTACCATTATATAATGTCCCTTTTGTCTTTTTTAACTGCTGTTGCTTTAAAGTTTGTTTTGTCTGATATAAGAATAGCTACTGTTAGGGGATTTTAATATCTGACTTTCAACAATGGATAGATCACCCAGATAGAAAATCAATAAGGAAACATAGGAATTCAACCTTTCACTTTAGAACAAATGGATCTAACAGACATATATAGGACATTTCATTTAACAGCAGAAAAATACACATTCTTCTCAAGTACACATAAAACATTCTCTAGAATAGATTACATTTTAGGACACAAAACAACTCTTAAAGAATGTAAGAAGATTGAAATTCTATCAAGTATCTTTTCTGACCACAATGGTATGAACCTAGAAATCAGTAACAAAAGAAATTTGAGAAAAATCACAAATATATGACAATTAAACTATATGTTCCTGAACAATAAACCGTTCAAAGAAAAAATTAAAAGAAATTTTTTAAAATCTTAAGGCAAATGAAAATGGAGACATAGCTTACCAAATCTTATAAAATGCAGCAAAAACATGTTCTAAGGAGGAAGTTTAGCTCTATGGGGCCAAGGTGGTCAATTAGAAGCAGCTGCAGTTTGCAACTTTTACGGAGACCAATGGAAATGGTGGGTGAATTTTGAACCCTCAACTGAGGTATTCAGATTTTCACATTGAGACTGACTAGGCAGACAGCTCAACCCACAGAGAGTGAGGAAAAGCAGGGTGGGGTGATGGCCCACCTGGGAGTGGCATGGAGCCAGGGGAGCCCCCACCCCGAAACCAGAGGAAGTGGTGAGCGATTGTGTGACCCTGCCCAGGAAATCATGCTTTTCCCGTGCATCTTTGCAACCTGCAGATCAGGAGATCCCATTGTGAGACCACACCACTAGGGCCTTGGGTCTGAAACACAGAGCTATGTAGAGTCTTAGTGGAGCCCTTGCTCACTTGCCAGAGCATGCAGGGAAACGCAGGAGTTTTGTCTATCCCAGCCCTCAGAATTTCAGCAAAGCAGGAAATCCATTTGTGCATTCCCCTAGGAAGGGGGCTGAATCCAGGGAGCCAGGTGGCATGTTCTGCTGACCTCACTTCCACCACACCTCACAAGTTCAGACCCACTGGCTTGGAATTCCAGCTGGCCAGTGGCAGCAGGCTGGCGATGGCCTGAGACAGACTGAGTTCCCGGGTGGAGGGGTGGCCATGATTTATGCAGTTCGAGTCAGTGGCTCTAGCTTGCTGGCACTGGGGACCAAGGGGAGTTCCCCACAACACAGCACAGCTGTTGGGCCTGATTGTGGCCACTCTGCTTCGTTAAGTGGGACCCAGATCCATCCCCCATTGCTGGGTGTGGCCTCCCTGCAAGAATTTCAGCAATTCCAGCCCGGGTTATATGAACAGAACTCTTGTGGCTCCCTGGGATAGAGTCCCAGAAGGGAGGGGCAGCTGCTGTCTCTGCAATTCAGCTAACTTAGTTTTTCCAGCCT